>NC_000007.14:94627991-94931021 GCF_000001405.40 Homo sapiens | reverse complement strand
ATTCTACAGAAGGCAACATTAATCTTCATAACTATTTTGTACGGATACGCTAACAGTCTAGCTTAACCTGCAAAACTGACAGCTAAGCCCAGCACTGGTTCTTTCAGGACCTCATCTCTGATTCCAAATCTGCCATGACCTTGTGCACAGCTCTAAGTTACTATTACATATTTTAAATGGCTCATTTTAAATGGCTAAATAGGTAATGTTAACCTACTTTACCAGAAATAAATGCAAGTCTCTATCTTTGTATCTCTGTAACTCCTTTCCCCTTCCTGATGTGCAGTACTCTTTCCCCAGTCTCAATCCACATATACCATTGGCTTTCCTCAGAGTTACTTACTTCACCTACCAACCCATCTCTATAAAAGTATAAAGATAGGGCTGGGCATGGTGGTTCACGCCTGTAATCCCAGCACTTTAGGAGGCCGAGGCGGGCAAAATCACTTGAGGTCAGGAGTTGGAGACTGGCCTGACCAACACAGTGAAACGCCGTCTCTACTAAAAATACAAAAATTAGCCAGGCATTGTTTGGGGGCACCTGTAATGCCAGCTACTTGGGAGGCTGAGGCAGGAGAATCGCTTGAACCTGGGAGGCAGAGGTTGCAGTGAGCTCAGATTGCACCACTGTACTCCAGCTGGGGTGACAGAGTGAGACTCCATCTCAAAAAAAGAAAGAAAATGTTTAGCAACCTTTATGCTTCTTAAAATCTTTCTAATCTTTTTCTCCAAACTTTCTCTGAAGCGCTATTTCTCAAACTCTATTTCTCCAAAATGTGGGGCTCCCCCATCATGCTGCCTCCCAACACTCTCCTGCTGTCTTACCCCTTATTCTCATGTTTCCTCTCCTCACAGTATCCCAATGACATATATACCTGGATCTAACACTCAGATCCACAGCCTTGGCTCTAAGGCCCCTATGAGTTCATCCCTCGTATTTTGCAACTATTGGATCAAAGACAATCAATTCCCTGTTTATGTCTAGTTAATTCCTACATTAGCTCTCATTTGCTGAGCATCTGTTATCAACCAAGCACTAGGCAAGATCCTTTGTGGGGAGAGTAGGAAAAATACATGGATAAATAAAAAATAGTCACATATGATTTTTGCACTTAAAAGTTAATTTCACACAAAATAGCACCTCTTATCATCTTCTGCCTAATCCAGCTTGCCCAGTTTACCCTTTGCCTGTTTCAGCCTCCATTCTGACAAACATTCATCAGTCTCATCCGTGTTCACTGTGACTGCTGCATTCCCACCCCACACCTAGCCTTTCTATCTATCTCCACTCTCTATTAGAGTGGTTTTCTAATATACAAATCTAAAAATGCCTTTCCATGCTCAAAACCCCCTCCAACTAGTATGTTTTCAGAAAAGTGTGCAAACTAAGTCTAGCACAAAGGAAGCTTCTTAATCTGCCCTTGCCTTAACATGTACCAACAATATTAAACTTTGTGGTACATGCCTTACCATGTACCAACAATATTTTGCCTATAAATAAATCATACTCTGAGATCTGCAAAAGACAGCATTTTTTTCTCTTTTCTGTGCCTCGCTGTTAGGTTGCACACTTGTCCCTTTTTCTACCAACACTTATTAAACCTTCGAAACTCAGATAGAGTTTGGCTTCTCCCAGGAGTTTCCTGGAACTTGCCTCCAGAACCCAAGTGTCCCCTCTCCGCACTCACAGCATCCTGTGCACACCTCTATTGCAATGCAACTCTCAGTACATTGTGACTTACGTGTCCGTCTCTCCCAAGCGAATTCAAGCTCCTTGGGAGATGTATTCTAATATGTAATTCAGGTGATTAGCATACTGCCTAGCTTAAAGCAGACACTTTTTACAAAAAGATGCTCTCTTAGAAGAAGCAATTTAGACTAAGAATTTGTCCGATAATTGAAAATGGCAGTTAAAGTTAGAAATCATAAAAACTGATGTATATTTTAATAGGTCTATATTAATGTAAGACACCTAGAAGTATATTCATTTACCAATCTTTTGACATCAGGCCAACACCTTTACTTTGAGCTTAGGTCTGCAAATTAATGATCCACAGTATCTTTCCTGCATAATTCATTGGCTATGATGGCCAGTTTGGTTTTCTTTAAAGTGGGACAAAAACTTGAAGACACTCACAAAATAATTGGAGTGGCACATCTTTTTAGATATTTGTTGAAAGAGTTTCTGTCATCTATATCTCCCTCATCTAATTTAACAAGATCTTTAAGTGACATATTTTATCAGCTCTTCCCCAAAGAATTCAATTTACATTTTTATAGCAAAAAAAAATATTTTCACACTCATGTTTTATCAATTTACATAGTACTGAATACACACTTAGAAAGACAAATAAAGAGGGCAAAAAGGTTTAGGAATGTACACAACCAACTCCTAGTCAGCCTATGACTGTAGGTGGTGAGGTGAGTAGTGAGGGCATAAGAACAGTCTGTGAGGTCATCAGTCAGCATGTCCTATCCAGCAAATGGAAGACATCAGTTAATCCAGAAAGCTGAATAAACAGAAGTTGGTTGAAAGCTTCTAGGATAAATGTTTACTGAAAGAACAGAGAGAAAAAATGGGGGACCAATGGATCTTCTCCACCCTTCCATAACCACCAACAAATAGGAGAGGTATATATAGCAAAGTGATGATGTCATCTATCCCTTTAAATTATTCAATGACTCCCCATAGTTTGCATTTCATTTCCAACTCCTATGTATACAAGTCCCTCCTTGAACTACCACCTGCCTACATTCTTACACTACACACACACACACCCCCTTCATGTTCCTCCAACTGTTCTGGTTTACTCTTTTCTCAAACACACTTTTCCCTCAGCTTAGGATTTTTCACTTCTCTACCTAATTAATTCTTATTCATCTTTAAAGCTTCAACTCAAGCATCACTTCCTCTGAGAAGTCCTCCCTAATGATTCCTCTCCTCCTGATAAAGGTAGACTCCCCTGCTTAGGAGCACCACAGCAAGCTGCTATATCAAAGTTGACATGTGTACTGGCTTCCCTGGGTCAGTTCCAGATTATGTCTGCTGCCCCAGTGTAAGTATTCATAACATCCCCTTTCATTCTCAAAAAGTGTCCCAATTTTGACAATAAATCCCAATGGTCACCCTAGACATTGCATGATCCAAAGAGGACTAAACAATGGTCTGTGCCCTTATTTTTAAAGACAGTAATAATAATCAGAACACTGAATTTCTCAACAGTTTGGACAATAAATTATATATGGTCACCCTATGTATATACCTCTATCACAGCACTTATCACACTATCCTACAAATGTTTACTTCTCTATCTCCTTCAAAGTCTATAGTCTCAAGGAGAAAAGGTTTGTCTTATTTATCTCAATATCTACACAGCAGAGCTCGAAATCAACACATTTTAAACATATTCAATGTTTGTTGACTTTTATCAATCAACTCAGAAGACAATGCTTCTCTAAATAGCTGTAGCATAACCACTTATTTATAAACACTTGAATAATAGGCGATTTATCAGCCTTGACTAATGCCTATATAGTAATTATAAAATGTTATAATATTAATCTCAAGATGAAAAACAGCAGTAACAAAATCACATCTGACATAGTAGCTCAATTCATTCAAATAATATAATGAACCTTCATATTAAGTCATATATTCTTACCAACATCCTGCTAAAAGGTGCTTTTATTAAATTCATTTTAGAAATGGAAAAACAATAACTTTTATAGTTACATTTTTAAATAAAGAGGATATTATCAAGGGCCCTGAAAATACTAAGATTCTTCTACTTCAATGTCTACAATGCATTTTACAAAACATGGTTTTTACGTATCTGCAAAAACATACATAACCCCCCCAAAAAATTATTGTACATTTAAAAAGAAAATGCAGAAAACAGCTTAACCATTCTCTTCCTTAGGATGCTATCAAAAGCTATTTCTGCCTAGGAAAAACTTGTTTCTACATAAACAAATTTGCATGAACAAGCAAAGCTATTTCATATTTCAGCTTAATAACAACTGTCAGACATTTTCCAGATAATGTAATTCACGGAGGAAACATCCAGGCAAAAAATACGATTTCAAGACCTTGGATTATTTGGTCCCATGCAATTTATTACTAATTACAAGTCACCAAGAAAATGAAAAACTGTTTTCTGGATAAACAAATTCACAGTCAGCAAAAGCTTGATTAGAGAATGAGACAACCGACTACAAAAATAATTACAAAATTATAACTTAGCTATGGAATTAAAACCAAGCACATTTCTAAAATCAATATTAAGGGAGTAGGGGGACAGAAATGACCCCAAAAAAGTAATTCCTCTCTAACCACTGAAAAAAAACAAAAGAAACCACATTTTAGTAAACAAGTCAGGAAATAAAAGGAAGACAAAAAGACTAAATAGTAAAAGAAATAATTCAAATTTTTTAGTTAATTAAATTTTTGATAACTTTCATTTTCAGAATATAGATACACTCACATACTCAAGTTACCAAAGGTGAGGCAAGTTACTGCAACCTCTAAATAAGTAGCTTTACAACTTTCTGATGGAATCTCAATTTTTAGATTTTCTTGCAACTAATTACAAGCTTTGGTGATCAAAGTAAATATAAAGTTAAGGCAAAATGAGTACTCTCCCCTTCAGCTTCCATAGTTATATCTCAAACAACCATATTTTAATGACTGTGGTTACTTATGAACTGTCATTACCTTACAGGGCAATAGATTGAGATTTCCCAAACGAAAGAGAGCACAACAGCTTCAGCAAGCCAGAGCAGTGGCCAGGAAAGATTTTAATCTGTAATGGAATCACCCAGCTTTCATTTGTAACTGCTAACCTGAAGGATTTTACCTATAAATAAATCATACAAGCATTATACATATAAAAATGTTAGCCCAGCAGTGGCCCACACCTGTAATCCCAGCACTTTAGAGGCTGAGGTGGGAGGATCGCTTGAGCCCAGGAGTTCCAGACTAGCCTGAGAAACACAGTGAGACTCTGTCTCTACAAAAATGGAAAAAAAATTAGCTGGGCATGGCAGCGCACGCCTGTAATCCCAGCTACTCAAGAGCCTAAGGCAGGAGAATCCCTTGAGCCCAGAGGTCGAGGCTGTAGTGAGCTGTGATCATGTCACTGCACTCCAGCCTAGGCAACAGAGTAAGACCTTGTCTCGAAATATAATAAAAATAATAATATTAATATCATCCCAACTTGGACCTTCAGGTGGGGGGAGGGGGAGAAGAGGAAGGAGAAAGGGCAGAGATGATGAACATAACAGGTTATTAACACCAACTGTGTACCTACAATGTGCCAAGCGGTGTGACAATCCTAGAGACACAACCATAAAACAAATTCCCTGCCCTCAAAATTTAAACAAACTTTCTTAAAAGATCAGGTGTCTGCAGGATCTGAATACAGGTCTGTCTGATTCCAAACATATAATCCTCTCCTACAACACACTGCCCAACAGAGGGAATCCCTTCAGCAAATTTTCTAAGAATGAGAGGGAGAGAGGAACCAACTCCCCCACTAAGACATGTGGGGGGAAAAATGAGTTTCCTCCCCGAAACAGCTTCAGAAGGGGCAATCAAAACAAGAAAGCTTGACCGTGATGGTTAATTTTATAAGTCAACTTGGCTGGGCCATGGTGCGCAGATATCTAATCAAACATTATTCTAGATGTTTCTGTGGGGGTGTTTTTAAATATAATTTGAGGAAAGCTCATTTCTTTCCATAATGTGGGTGGGCCTCATTGAAACAGTTGAAGGCCTGAATAGGACAACAGACTGACTCCCCCACAAGCAAAAAAAAAATTTTCCAGCAAAAGGCTTTTATACTTGAACTGCAATGTCAGCTCTTCCCTGAATCTCTAGCCTGCCAACCCACCCTGCAGCTTTTTGACTTGCCAGTCTCCATAATCCTGTGAGCCAACTCCTTACATTTTTCTCTGTATATATACACATCCTATTGGTTCTGTTTCTCTGGACAACTCTAATATGCCAGCTAAGTTAAATATAGGATATGGAAAAAGGATACCTTCAGAAATATTTCATATCAATATTCTGTTTATTTCAACCGTCCTCCAGCTACAGACTTTCAACCATCTGAGGGACAGGCTTCAAGGGTTCTAATGGATGAACTCTCAATAGTTCTCATTCTAGATTAAGAGTAAGAATTTCGTTTGGTAGGCCAGACGCAGTGGCACACTCCTGTAATCCCAGCACTTTGGGAGGCCGAGGTGGGTAGATCACCTGAGGTCAGGAGTTTGAGACCAGCCTGGCCAACATGGTGAAACCCCGTCTCTACGAAAAAAAGAAAAATTAAGCCAGGCATGGTGGTGCGTGCCTGTAATTCCAGCTACTCAGGAGGCTGAGGTGGGAGAATCGCTTGAACTCGGGAGACGGAAGTTGCAGTAAGCTGAGATCACACCACAGCACTCCAGCCTGGGCAACAGAGCAAGACTCCGTCTCAAAAAAATGCTAATAATGCAGTCAGAGTTAGACTCCATCTCAAAACTAAATAAATAAAGAATTGTATTAGGTAATAAGAGTCAAAACCCAGTAACTCAAACTAAAACTCTTCTGATTGCCACATCTGCAAATGGGACAATCTCCTGAGGGAGCTCCAGTTCACTAATGCTACTACTCACAGAACTCGTTATACAGAGAAGGAGCCAGCAAGATAAAAATTCCACAAGTGTCATAGTCTCTATGGAAAAACATAAGCCTCGTCTCAAACTTGATTGGGTACATGATTAACTAAAAAAAGATATCACTGCCTCAAATCATTCACAAATTTACATAAATATGCAAAATCACAACCAGTGAAATTATTTTTTTCTTGAACTCCAATTTTCTTTTTCCAGTGTAACCATTTTATAGAAAAGAGTCAAAATTTTACATGGTTTGTCTGTTAATGTTGCCTCTTTTTCTTTAAATAGTTCTTATAATTATATACAATCATCTATATATCACTACTAGAAACCCAGTATACAATAAAATATTAACAGAATTTATCAACCATATTGTAGTAAGGTTTAAGAATACTTAACAAAAAGTGATAATCCAAACACCAGATTATATTGTAAGGCAATTTAATTAGGACTTCACCAGAACTTATAAAATCCCAGAACTGCTTAAAACTGTAAGATCAGAGTAATCTGCTCATCTCATTAAACAAAAAGCAATAATTTAAACTTCCAATTTCAGAAAACTCTGCCACCCAACAAAAATATGTTTGTCATCATTTATATACTACAACATTATCTACCAAAGCTTTTCAAAGGTGGAAAATTACCCAATAGATGAGAGGAACTGACCCTTTGACTCTAACTAAAAATATAACATACTACCATATAGTCTAACCATACATCAAATGAATCTCTTTTCAACTAATATGTTTTTTAAGAGGAACAACAGGAAACCACATATTGGCTGGTGTTTTAGGACAGGAAACATATTCAAATGGATTCTGTGGAGGCCTAGAACTCAAAATCCTATTTTTAACTGGGTGTGTACATGAGTTTTTTCAAAGGATTATATATAAGCAAGATAATGAACTTGACATCTCCACTGTCTCACCTTCACAGAGAGCAAGCCTGTTGAGGCTCAATAATCTAAGACATCAGAAAGACATTATGCCACATGGGAAAATGGTTAAGTTTCCTTTAAGTACATGTTTATTATTTTTAGTAAGACTACTCATTAAAATATGTTTCACTTCAAATTCATTATACCCAGTGTTTGAAAGCATATTTTAAGTAACACATTAGAATATCATATACACAATAGTCGAACTTAAGGAAAACATCTCAGGCCTATGCAAATGCTATATAATCACAATTTAAAATGAATTGGAGGGTCTCCTTCCCCATAATACTTACAAGGTTAGCCACAAATGTGGGATCAATTTTACCAAGGTTTAAGAAATATGCACTTAATGAATTCAACTGTCAAAAGTTCATCCATTTTCTTAAAGTAACACCTTCTTCAGTGTTACATAAATTTACACTATTAAACCAAATTTTTTTTCTGTGACATGTTGTCCTCCAAATAAAAGTACATTAAAAGACTAATTATTAGAATTTGGGGCAGCATTTTAAAAAGTGTTTTTGTTAACTTCCTTATGTTGTTATTGCTGATCATTCCAATTGTGTCCCACCACTATCTTTTAATGTAATTAAAGAAGTAATACATGCTTATTGTAGAAAATTAAGTAAATTCAGAAAAGTATACATTCATTTAACATTATCACTGTTCTCTCAATCCAGAAATTACCAGAGTTGACATTTTGATGTATGTGTTTTTAATCTTTGTCCTAGCTGCAAATACACATATTTTTAAAGTAAAAATATGACAGAAATGCATATTCAGCATTTAACCAGACTTTTTACTATGAAGTATTTACATCTTTAAGTAATCTTAGAAAACATGAGTAATACAGCTTTATCCTATTATACTATATGCATTTATCGTAATGAATTTAACCATATCCCTATTACTGGATATGTGAGTTGCTTTAACTTTTACCAACTCATTTAAATAACACATTGATGTAGTCTTTACTAACAAACACTGATTTAGAAAGTAATAAAAACCACTCAGAAGTCATATCAAAAAAGCCTATAAGCACATAAAAAATCTTCAATCTCAACAATATATCAAGTAGAAATTATAACAGTTATTTTCACCTACCAAACTGAAAACTACAAAGCATATAAATAAAACTAAGTACTGGCGCAGGGATTGTGAGAAAACTATTCCAATGCAGTGCTGATTATAAACTAATACACCCTTTCTGAATAACAATTCCGGCAATAACAATATAATTCACCCTTTCTGAATTATATATAAAGGGCTTTAAAATAATTTTATTTTTAATTAATTTAAATATAATTTAATAAAATTATAAATAATATTATAAATTAATAAAATTATATTTTTTTAGGAATCTATCCTAAATAATAGGTAATTCTAGACGCTAAGCAAGAAACTGTATATAATACAGATATGAAAATCATAGATTTCGGGCCCAGCCCTTCTTTTTCTTTTTTGAAACAGGGTCTTGCTCTGTTGCCCAGGCTGGAGTGTGGTGGCTCAATCACAGCTCACTGCAGCCTCAATCTTCCAGCCAGCCTTTATTTTTCAAAAGACTTACTTACAGGTTTGTTTGTTTTAGTGCTCAGTGCTCAATGATAAGATTTCTAAAAGGAAATAGATGCTCTGGACATAGAATATTATATAACACCTGGTGTATAATTTAAATTACTGTATTTTATTATTCCACCTACAGAATAAACTTCTAAAAATAAACACATTCTAGGTAATGGTAGATAAGGTGTCATTCAAACATCCTACAATAAGTTTTGCCTTTCCCCCTGAGAAATGGGTTATTTAAAAAAATAATAATTTTATACATATATAATATCAATTAACAATGAAAAGTGCAAATTTATGTCTTTCTCTTCCTTTACAAAACAATTTTGCACATCAATTTTACCCAAAACAAGTACTTCGTAAAGGAATCCATCAAAATAACACTACTCAAAAACAGATCTTTTTTTTTTTTTTTGAGCCGGAGTCTAGCTCTGTCGCCCAGGCTGGAGTGCAGTGGCGCCCTCTCAGCTCACTGCAACTTCCGCCTCCCGGGTTCACGCCATTCTCCTGCCTCAGCCTCCCGAGTAGCTGGGACTACAGGCGCCCGCAACCACGCCCAGCTAATTTTTTTGTATTTTTAGTAGAGAGGGGTTTTCACAGTGTTCGCCAGGATGGTCTCGATTTCCTGACCTCGTGATCCGCCCGCCACAGCCTCCCAAAGTGTTGGAATTACAGGCGTGAGCCACCGCGCCCGGCCTCAAAAACAGATCTTAAAAACTAACCAATAAACCTGCTTTTCCCTCTCCTCTGTGGACCCTAACCATGAAAAGAAAACTCTTCACAAGCCTGA
This sequence comes from Homo sapiens, assembly GCF_000001405.40. Lineage (NCBI taxonomy): Eukaryota > Metazoa > Chordata > Mammalia > Primates > Hominidae > Homo > Homo sapiens. Next base: position 94,921,071 of record NC_000007.14, on the reverse strand, counting down.
AAAGGTACCTCTGACTGTGAGTACTATTTAAGATTGTTATATTGAAGATTAGACAATTTTCTGATATGAATGTAGCCTCCATGAGGCTGTATACTTACATATTTTTAAAAGAGGAGGAGTAAAAAGAAATTTTTGGAGGAGAAATCCGAGGTGAATAAAAGAGAAAAGACCATCTTACTATACAGCAACAGACTCAACATGCAGGTCACTCAGTTTCATAGGGTCATGCCAGTTCAAAGGCATCAAGACAGAAATACCAAAGACCTAATCCGCAAGATTCTCACTGCTTATTCCTGTAAAGAAACCTTCATGGTCATGACTCTATTCACCTTTTTGACCCTTGCCAACCACTCTATGTCCGAATCTAGCCCTATATATTTCAACTGGCATGGAAAACAACTTGGAAGATTAGCTTTCCCCGGCACAAAACTCATCTGACTTATAAAAGAGGGCAGGAGACTAACAGATCTGTGAGCAGTTTCATTTACCATTATCCATAAATACTTGGTGAACAGTTTTAACTCCACAAATACTTTTTAAAAATACCAATGAAATAGATTAAGTAAGCAAAGAACAAAACTTTCCTCCTAAAATATAAAATTTCCTGATATCTTCATACTGTATTTCGCTGTCTTCTTTGTAAGGATATGTGCATGAGAAAGAGTAAGTTAGGCTGAAAACCGGGAACTGTAAAAAAAAAAAAAATTATCAATATTTCAATCATGTTGAACTGTGCTATGAAGCTATTTCCAGAGCAAAAGTGAGTGAAGCAATTAATATGTCAGCAACTATATTACAAAACATTTCTTTCTTTATTCTTAGTTTCCTCAGCAGGGTGTTTTAACATATAGTTAAACCCATACTTTCAAAAGTCAAGTTGCTCTAAAAATCCACTCTATAAAATTGTGCTCCCATGGACTTAATATTTTACTCATTTTAAGGTTTCTACTATAATCTATAGAATTATTGTTCTCAAGAACAATTTAACATAAATTTTTCATTTTGATATTTCAACAAAAGATGTCCAGAATTTTCTCTTTGAAATCATAGCACAAATATTTATGATTATGGTATAGTACAAATATGTTTAAGACACAGAGAATTACAGGATGGTAAAGCCGAGAAACAATCTTAGTGATAAATTACAAGTAAGACAGCCTCAATTACAGGTAAGAAATTCAAGGCTTCAAGAGGCACACTTGTCCAACCTGACAGAATATCAAGTACCTCTCGATGTTACCATTATTATTACTAGTTAATGATATTTAATAGTAATATAGACTATATAGTAATATGCTCCAACAGACAATACATAGTAAACTAAATAAATATCTGCTTCAAATCACTCATCTTATAGATGGTTACAGTACAGATAATAGCATGTAGGCACAGGAAATCTATATCGAAATATTGAAGGATGAGAAAAAATTTTAAAGTAGTGAAGCTGTCCGTGAACAATTCCAATCAAAGTAAAAGAATAAGGAAAGTGACAATATAAGAGAAGTAGGATAGAAATAAGCATCAGATTATTAGAAAAGGAACAGGATTCCTTCACGCTATAAAAAGACCAATGTAAAGATGAAACTCAGCATCAATGCCACTTGTACCTTTAAAGAAACCCTATGTTGGCAGGACATGGTGGCTCACACCTACAATCCCAGCATTTTGGGAGGGTGAGGCAAGAGGGTCACTTGAGCCCAGGAGTTCAAGACCAGCCTAGACAATATAGCAAGACCCTGAATCTACAAAAAAAAAAAAAAAAAAAAAAAATGTAATTATCCAGGCACTGTGGCACACACCTGTAGTCCCAGCTACTTGGGAGGCTGGGGCAGGAAGATCCCTTGTGCGCAGGAGTTCAAGGCTGCAGTGAGCTTTGATCGTGCCACTGAACTCCAGCCTGAGCAACAGGGCAAGACCCTGTCTCTAAAAGGAAATAAAGAAACCCTATGCTGAATCAAACACTCATGCTTCATGTGTAGCAATTTTAGATTACATTAAGAGAAGTGCGGTGTCCCACGCAAGGGAGTTGTTCAGCCATCCTCTCAGCCACATAAACCTATTCTTCCTCAGTTATACATTTCATTCTTCTTGAATCCTACTGTCTCCTCAGCTTCATGTGTTCTTCCTCTCTATGAAACACATAAAATGGCAGATAGCATTTGTTGCTCCCACATCATGCCACTTAACTTTTAGACCATATCACCAACCAGAAGAAAATTCTTTATGCCATTGCTCTCTAGACTTTCCTGTAGTGTGCTATCCTTTTGATATCTTAAATTTAATATATTCCAAGCCATACTCCTATATTCTTCTTCAAGTCTCCTATATTCTTTTTTAAAAGCATTTGTAAGAAATGTCCAGAAGTAAGTCTACAGAAAAAGCAAGTCAATTACTGCTTTCCAGAGGATGAAGAAGGAAGGGGAATTGGGAATGACAATTCACAGACACAGGGTCTCTTTCTAGGATGATGAAAAAGTTCTAGAATCAGATAAAAGTGATGGCTGCACAACACTGTGAATATACTAAAAACCACTGAATTGTGCACTTCAAAGTGGTGAACTTTGTTACCTGAATTTTATCTTAATAAAAAATTGCAAATTAAAATTAAATAAAAAGAAGAGTGAGTGCACCACCTCCCTACACACACCAGCATGCCCCTCCTTCTAACTTTCCTTTTACCTTCCAAAGTAATAAACTCTCCATCGGTAGAATTATTCAAGCAGAAGCTGAAACATCATCTGTCAGGAGTATGCTACTGAAGGGCTTCCTGAAGTGACTGGGAAATGACGCTAGATTACCTTCAAGTATATTTCATCTCTAAATGTCTATGTCACAAACTAAAGAGATGAGAACCAGGAGAAAACTGTAAAAGTGACCAGAAGAAAAACTATAAAGCATAACTTGAAAAGTTTTCTTCCTTTTCAAAACCATAGCTATAGAATATAATGAAGCAAAAGAACAAAAAGAAAATAGGTCCAAATGAGAGCATAGAAAATCAAGAAAAATATCAGGTAAATTAGATAACAGCATAAAAAGCAACAATCTATAGTAATGTTTGTTTTGTTTATACAGAATTTATCCCACATCTAACTATATTTCTCTATGAAAATTCCTAAACTTGTTTTCAAGTGGTAGAGAAAGTGTTAGAAAAAAATCTAATGCAGATGAGATTTCAATCAAATTACTTGTAATGGGCATATTAACTGGGTTAACAAGGTAAACGACACATGGATAACATAACACAAAGTGATTTTCCTCCAAATTTGGCATCTTATCTTTCAAGTACATGAACCCAACAATTAGTGTCATTTGTGAGAAAGTTTAGAGGGAACACAAAGTATGTATGATCCAAAAAGCAAGCAACTGCTGGGCACAGTGGCTCATGCCTTTAATCTCAGCACTTCGGGAGGCCAAGGCAGGAGGGTCGCTTGAACCCAGGAGTTCAAGACAAGCCTAGACAACATAGTGAGACTTCATCTCTACAAAAAAAAAAAAAATAATAACAGGCATGGTGGCGCTTGCCTGTAGTCCTAGCTGCATGGGAGGCTGAGGCAGGAGAATTACTTGTGCCCCAGAGGTCAGGGCTGCAGTGAGCCATGACTGCATCACTGCACTACAGCCAGGGTGACAGAGCAAGACCTTGTCTCAAAAAAAATTAATTAAATTAACAAAAAACAAGAAACTTTAAATATTTCTATTACAAATAAATACCAGTAAACATCTGAAATAATCTGCTGTCAAAAGAATCCCTTTTTAAACACTAAATGATCACTGTTCAGTTTAAAAGTATAGCTATACCTCTGGATTTTAGAAAAGGGGTTCATTCAACAAATCTTCATTATTTGATTTTACAAAGTATATTAAAATATTTGACATATTTCATTTACCTGGTTATGAAGCATAGGTCATAAAACATAAAAATTTAAAAGGAAATCCAATTTAAATGTTATACCATCGGCTGGGCACAGTGGTTCACGCCTATAATCTCAGCACTTTGGGAGGCCAACGCGGTCAGATCACTTGAGGTCAGGAGTTCGAGACTAGCCTGGCCAACATGGTAAAAACCCTGTCTCTACTAAAAATATAAAAATTAGTCTGGAATAGTTGTGCATGCCTGTTGTCCCAGCTACTCAGAGGGCTGAGGCCTGAGAATCTCTTGAACCCAGGAGGTGGAGGTTTCAGTGAGCTGAGATCGTGCCACTGCACTCCAACCTGGGTGACAGAGCAAAGCTCCCTCTCAAAAAACAAAAAACAAAAAACAAACAAAAAAAAAGTTGTACCATCAAAGTTATCCAAGAAAAGCAAGTTAAATCATATGACCATTCTTATACTAAGTTTATTAATTTACACTTGCAAAAGAATGAAAGAAATGAAATTTCTGATTCCATTAAAAACTTCTTCCTCCCAACTTTTTATAACTAAAAACTTAAACCACACAAAGAGCCTAGGATGTGACTTTTTAATGACCCAAATGCCTTGAGTTAAGGATAATAATCCACTTTGGGATCCAGAAACAGAGTATTCATGCACTTTACAAGATTATACCTTATTTCATCTTCAGAGAATATTATTCCACCCAACCAGATATAGCAGCCCATCTGGAAAGGAAATTTATTACATGTTGCTTCCCTAACATGCTATGGCCAGCCACTTTCAGAAGCCAGAAGATTGTACTTCAAATTCATATTCCAAAGAGTGATCTCTTGATCAGCGGCATCGGCACCACTTGAGAGCTTGTTAGAAATGTAAAATCTAAGGTTCCCCTCCAGACATACTGTTAACGTGGTTTTCCTGTATTATTTCAGAATATGAAATTCTATTATAGAGGTAAACAAAACTAATGGGATGGATGAAACACTTAAGAAGTGATAATCATAGATGGTAAATAAACTAACAACTTATGAGACAGAGGCAACACTCAGGCTGGGCCAAGTATTGATAATGAGAATGCAAGCTGGTGAAATGAAGGCAGTCAGCAGATGCGTAATAAATAGGTAAGCTGGGAGTAAGACATGACAACAATAAAATAAATAGAAATTATGATAAAATGAATGAGATTTACTTATAGACAAAAAGCAGTGGAAATACCAAGTCACCATTATGCCTGGACTGATAGCTACATTACTTCCATATCAGTCATCTACTGAAGACACCAAGGATGGTCCCATGGCTCATCAGCAGGCAAACTAGCAAAGCTACGGCTGTACCTAAGTGTATTTGTCACATCTCTTCAACAGAACAAGTGTGTATCATCGACCCAGGAAATCATTAGTCTATGGAGTCTTGGCTCAAACATCAGCTCTGGTCCTCATAACCACATCATTAATGGGGAAGGGTTATGTGAAAGAAAGATGGGACATAGGAACATTGTTTATCCAGGACAGGTAGCGTGGTCCTTCCAACCTGGTTTGAACCTGAAGTGTGTTAACTTACTCCATAGCTTTCCTCTTGCTTCTGGATTTGTGTTTAACTGGTTTGGTAAATCATGTGATTCAAGCATTTTAATTTGTTTTCTGAGTCTTCTATTCCATAACCTCTGAGATAGCTTGCCTGCTGGTGTACTTGTAGCTCAACCATTGTATCAAGGTAATTTCCCATAGAATACCTACTGAATCAGAATCTTGATGCTAACAAGATCTCCCAAGTGATTCATATGCATATTAAAGTTTAAGAAGCACTGACAAAACTGTTATAAAGGAAGCCTCCGCAAAGACAAAAAGTTGGATCTCAACAGAACTATTCCCTGAAAACCATCCTGAACAAAAAAACTTCATATATCCATGAATGCCCTAACTATGACTCGGAGCCCCCAAAAAGGGAGAGAATACAAGAAGATCCATTTTCAACAACTATCATGTAAGGTTTGAAGAAGCTCTGGTGCCCTTGCTGATTATTTGAATTCTAATCCTGTAAAGCTCCATATGATTTGAGAAAACACAAAATATAGCACAATGTACCTCAATATTAACTCTGCAATATCCTTCTTACTGTGAGTTAGAAAAATCTTTTTCAGATATGCTGTTTCAAGAATAACAATCCATTGTAACACAATAGTATTTGAGGGGAAAAAAAAATACCAATCCAAAGGACATAAGAAACAGAGAAAGGTTGTGACTTCCTTAATGAGGCTGCAGCAACCTTAGAAAGATCATCAAAGCACAGAGTTGGGAACAGCCTGAGAGCTTCCTTAATGGGCTGTACACGTCCCACCGACCAGCAGCTCCTTACTTCATCAGCTCCTCATTTTATGTATTTGTTGTATTTGTTATATTTGCATTGTCCCTGACACATATTAGGGGCTCCATAAATGTTCTGAATTAGTAGAAAAAAATGACATGTCACCCTCTCTTGTTTTGATTCATCTAAGACAAATTTACTTTAATTCAATCCTTTCATTTTGAAAAATTCCTGAAAATGAAGGCATAATTCCATCTCGAATTAGCATGGTCCATAACATTCTCCCATGCCATATCTCAAAGTTGGATTTTAATTTGCTATTATTAATCCCATTCTAATATTTCATGACCCTATGAAACATAACAATCTATCTAATAAGAAATAACTGTCTGTGAAAGATAGGAAAGTCATACTAACTGATGGCTGGCAATACAGTCTGACCATTTTTAAAAATCAAGGTATATGTACAAGTACAAGGTATATGCTACACAGGAAAGATCAACTATTATTCTGATGTTTTTCTAAGTCCAGATTTAAGACATCTTATGGAAATATCTATGTAAAACATCTATAAAAAGAACTGAAGTAGTCACTGAGGACAATATTACACATACAAAGATGATAAATAAGATCTATAACAAAAAACTAAAGGTGCTAGGAATTTTTAACCTAGTACAGAATAAAGTGACAGCCAGGAAAAGAATGTAAAAGTTCTAAAAATCATTTATTTAAAGAATACATTCCCTGTTGCTTCTTTAAGAGGAAGTATGTTTAAGCTTCAAAGGAAAAGACTGAGGTTAGGAATTGCAACTTCCCATTCCATAAATAAAGTTTTATGAAAAGAATAAAGAAACACAGATAGAAAATGGTTGCATGTATTCCTTTCCAAATAATCTATCAAATCCCTTTCACTATATGCATTTAGTACAACCAAGTGCCACTAAAGGACTCACAGGACATTAAAAATTTTGGCATAGTTTTTTATACTGTTTTTTATGGATTTTAAATACAATGTGTTTAAGAATTGACTCTACAAACTCACAGAGGAAAGGGGTAACCTTACAGATTTTTGTGTCTTCTTCAGCTAACAGCATGAGAGAACACACATGATAAGCCTTCAATAAATACTTTAATTGGATCTAATAAGGTATTACCACCCTCTGCAGCAAAAAAAATCTTAATTGGAGAATAACCTAAACACTATGGCCACCACCATGACCAGTAGAAAGCAGCTCTCAAATTTTCCAAGTGAATCCACTTGCATATTTAACAATGGAAGCAGCAAGAAAGAGTAATTGTGTTATTCATTACAAAGGGCTAAGAATGAATCTTCTGTTTGCAAACTTAATCCACTCCAAGAAGTCCTGTTAACTGCCCAATCAAATGCAATACATTATCTTTGTTTCACAAGTCTTATGCTTGATCTAATTTGTTTTAGAAATCTTATTCTTGATGAAATGCATTAAATGTAGGTAATGTTTCATTATTTGCTAGATAAAATTGTCATTATATGAAAATTAAGAGGCAAAATACTTATTGTTATAAGCAATCATAGCACAAATTAGTTGAACTTCAAAATATCATTCCCAAAAAGCTGGTTTGTTCACATATAAACAGACACATTTCAATGATAAATCCTTTAAAATCCATTAAACCAACTAGTGCACAGTTATGTTTTGTGCAGCACAGGACCCAAATACAGGCTGGTGTCCCACTTGGTTGACTGGGTAGTGGTCTACTTGATAAATTTTCATAAGCTGCTATCCCTTGTATTAAAAAGTTAGTCACTGGGTTTAACAACTCCTTGAAGAGTTCATTTCAGTTATTCCTGCCTTTCTCAATGTGAAACGATTTAATCTTATTGCTTTCTTCCTAAAGGGTAGAAAGATGATGTTCAAGGGGGATGCGAATGGCAAAGTTTAGGAGCTCACTGGATAGGCTTGGGGGAAAGGCACCTTTAAAGACCATCTAGAGTAGGGCAGTGGGGGTTGGGGAGGAATAGGAAGGCAGGAGGAGATAATCACAAAGGAAGGTGGTAAAGCACTGCAAAGAAACTTACTTTCAAACTGAATTGACATCTGTAGTTTATTTTAAACTACAGTTTAACTTAACATGACCCATTCTGACCCAGAACTTCTGCCTTACACTAATAAAATGAAAGTCTGCCTGCTAACATCTGTAAATAATTTCATAGATTATTACTTTATTTCAGAATAGTATTTCATAATCAGAACAATGTCAGATTTCTCTTTAAATATTTCTATGTAAATTTATATTTTAGAGCCTTATATGGAAGGTCCCAAAATGAAAATAACAGACAGTGATTTTAGATTTTGAGGAGAAAATTTACAGGAATATATCAAATTCCAAGTCTATCATATATACACACTGTGTAAGCTAGAAGCCCCTAGAATGTGGTCTAAAACTACACATTCTGCCACCATAACCTTCCAGATTCCCCAAGGAGAGCATGCCAGCATCTCAGGACTGAGCTGTGGGCAAGTACACTTTGAAAAAGCACCCCAGGAGATTCTGGTACTCAACCAACCACCTCCTGCCCCTATTGCCATTATCCACTAATAACATTCTACCACCCACTGCTGATGTACTTTGTGCTATTCTTCCATACCAAATGTTAACTAAGTGAAGTCATTAGAGCATGTGAATTCCATTGGCATTTATCCAGTTTTTAAGAGGTAAAAATAAATCCATGAATGGCAAATCAATGTTATTTCTTTCAAAAAATTCATTTTAAAGCTATGTAACAAATTTTGAACTCAGACTGTTTACAGTCAAAGCTTTTCAAAGTATTTAAGTCAGCTAATATATTTCCATAAATTAAATTTTCACCACCAACTAGCAGTACCCCCCAAAAAAAGTTCCAACAAAATTCCTCACAATCCACTTACACTTAATAACTCAGATTTTTTTAAGAAAGTAAATCGAATATTATTCCCAGATTACCAAAACTCTCCCATTGTACATTATACTTCATACCTTAAAGTGTGTACATTCAGAAAATATTATTTATGAATAATTTTAGGTAAAACTAAAGTAATTACATTTCAAACTAACACTCCTGGTTTTCAGTACTCACAATACTCATACTCCAGTTCATTGGAACGTATCTCACAATTCCCGAACTTCTTCAGCTTTAATATTACTCACTATTGATGTATGCCATTATAAAGCACATTTAAGAAATGTAATTGATATCTCTCAAACTCTGAACTTTTAAAATCACCTGACAACAGGTGATTTTAAAGGTATCAACAATCTTGAATCCCTTACAAAAACTCCTACTAGTTGTCAAGTCTATTCTACATACAATTAGGCCCTAGTACTAAAAACAAATTTAGAAAACAAAATGGAGAAAACACACTTACCTTAATAGGAGCACTACTAAACTTAATTTTCCTATTTGCTGGGATTTCTTCTTCTTCTGGCAATCCAACAATTTCCGAGTACTCCATATCAGGCTGATAGTAACTGTTCTCATCACTATCTTCCTCCTCATCCTGCTCAGTGCCTGTCTCTCCCCAGTCTGAATTATACCTGGATCTCACCCTATACACATTATAGTCACTGTGCATGTACACATGGGAACCATCAAAATTATTTGAATCTTCAGGTACTTCTTTTCCACAACTGGATGCAGAAGCATCAGGAGAGGTGAAATCACCACCTGCAAGTTCTTTCCTCTGTTGCTTTGCTGCCTCCCTTCCAACCAAATTAGCTTCAGCATCTTCTAACAGTTGGCTTTGTGGTGAAGGGATTTCGGACTTTGGCATTGCCTTACTTTCAGCACAAGGTTCTTCAGGACCATCTTTGTCAATGCTGTCGGGAGTCTGTTGATTAGATGTGGAGTCCTCGGGTTCCTTGCTCTGCTGGATCTCTTCACCAGGTATCGAAGCTAGAGAGGTACTTTTAGAAGCCACTTCTGGTACTGGAGTTGCATTACTCTTGTGAGCATCCTCTGTATCAACACCTCGCTTGTTTGAAGGAGGCCAGGAATTAGAATCCTTCAGGTGACCAAATGTGTCAAGATTTGTAACAGTAACAGATGGTAAATTCAAGGGATAATGCCCAGTCACTGAGTATTCATTGTTTTCAGCCTTCTCAGAAATGATGGCACTGGGAGAATCAGTGTTCTCAAATACTGCACTCAGTTGACTCACAGTTGGGGAGACAGCCTCAGTTCGGGAGCTAAGGCTGTCCAAGGAATCAGTACTGCCTCTGTTGGACTTGGAACCTCCCCATTCATCCTGAGGTTCACTCCCTCCAGCTTTCTCTTTCTTTGGGGAATAGCGGTTGTTCTGTCCTGATTCATGCACACTTCTCTCAAACATCTTTCGAGTCTCAGTGAACTTGGAATATGAAGGGCCATCGTACATAGTGTCAAATCTACTAATTCGTTCAGAAACAGAAGACTCCAACTTAACAACTGAGCCATCTGTTTTTTCCAGAAATTCTTTGGGCTTCATTCTTCTCTGAGGAGATGAATGTCCACCTTTCCCCCTTGTTTTGGCAATGACTGCAGCATTCTCGTTGGGTTCCATACCCATCTGCATAAATAGGTTTTTAATTCTGTTGACATTGGAGCCATATTTCCTCCCCCTGCTCTGCTGGGAGCCCTCACCTTCTTTTGTTTTTTGTTCCCCATCTGACTTGGGTTTGTCAAAGGTACTTTTCAGTGCCTGAAACTCAGTTCGATATGCATTCCTGTGAGGAGAGGCACTTCTGAGAGTGGTTCGTTCACCTGAAGACTCAGTTTTCAACATTTTCACTTCAGGGGTGAAAAGCCAATGTTCATAATGATCAAAGAAAAAAACCAAAAACCAAGATACCTCTCTTCTCTAATCACCAGTATTGGGTCAAGAAAAGTACCTCTCAAATGGTATACGGTGTCAGTGATCGTCCCAACAGGTGTATTAGGAACTTAGTCACAGTCAAGAGTTACACAGAATGATTTTTTCAAAGCAAGACTAGAGGTTCATCTGCAATAGAAAAGAATGAATTTCTGAATTCATTTACTTATTTGAATTTATGTCTAGTCAAATAACATACATTTTTTTTTCCAAATGGCTTAGCCACGTGGCAAACAGAAGAGATTACTCATTGAAATGGGAAGTTAAAAGTCAAAAAGTTATCATTCTGATTGGTCTTTGGTAAAAAAAAAAAAAAAAAAGTTCCAAACACAATTTGGAGATACCTATCAAAATCTCACACACACACAAACACATACACACACTCACAAATACAAGCTACACATAAGTATATTTGAAAGCAATACTTTAGCCCAAGTTTTGGTCGCTTTTGTGAATGCCCTTTAAAAAGAAACCAGCAGTTCATCGATCTTTAAGAAATCATCAAACTGTCCAGAAAATCAACTTCATTTAGGATTCTCCACAATTAGGTAGAACTTATTCTTTCTAAGTACAATTAAGTTTGGAATCTATGTTTACAAACTCCAAAACATGCCTACAGCGGCATATTTTACTTTTTTTGGTCCAATGTTCTCATCTACAGCATCCCCAAAGCAATACTAATGCAATTTCAGATCAAAACAAGGAGAAAAAAAGTTCCTGAATAGCAATAAGTTTCACTAAGTTCAGTTATAACAAGTATTTGGAAGTTTCCTAACAGTGGTTATTATTAATTATGGAGTGGGATGCAGACTACCAAGGGAATAAATGCGTAAGAATGTGACAATCAGAAAGCAAATATACTGTGACACCCCTTTTCACAGCCCTGATTTGTTTATTCTTTCTTGCCTCTAACTTACTACAGTTCAACACGCAACGCAATGCATGCTTGCTGGTCTCTTTAAGCCCACAGCAGGATTTTATATCAATAAGCCAGCAATCAAATACTTCAAGATATGCTGAGGAGCAGACAATGCAGGCAGTTCTAAAGATTTTTCATTTTATTTTTGTTTTGTTTTGATATTAGACCGAGCCACATCACCCTCACGCACAATCAGCTGAGGAGGCACACACTTTCACTTAAACCGTCTCCAAACTCGGCTCCTGGCCCAGCACGCATGCATGGCCCATGCAGACAAACAAGAAAGGCTTTGGAGTGTGGTGCCTGTTTTTTTCTTTTTTTGTAAAGCATCGACAATCTCCTTTTACCCTGACCATTCTTTTTAAAGCCACAAACACCCTCCCCTCTCCCCTACACACACCCCCCATTCCCTCCCCCGCCAATTCCAACCCAAGGAGGCGGGGGCGGGGGAGATGGGGCCGCCGGGGGATTCAAAACCTGCCCTCACAAAAGACAAACATAAATAACACCAACTTGAGAGGCAGCCGATTCCCAAGCCCGGTTCGGGACGCAATCCCTCGGCCCTGGGGCAGGACCGGGAGAGCAGGTGACGCCAAGCGCTATGGTAGGAGGTCGCAGTCTAGCTTTGTGCCAAGAAGCACCTGAAGTCCTAACACATTGGCTGCAGCTCCCGGCGGCTGCCAGGCGGATCCCACTGTGACACGGAGAGAGACGAGCTCCCTGGCCACATTTAAAAAAATAGAAAAGAAAAAAAATTACAGGGTAATGAAAATAAATCCCTTTGTTTTTCCTCCCAATGTGCCAGGAAACAATAGATCCCACTGATAATGCCTCCGATCTTCAACCTATTGCTCCTCCACCACAACCCACCCCCACCCCCAGCCTGCAACTCAGCCTTTGTACAAGCCGATTTTTTCCTCCTCTCCACCCTCCCCAACTCCTCGCCCCGCGCTCAGCCTCCCCCTTACCCGAGCGGGAGCGCCGCGGGCGGGGAGGGTCGGGCCGCCGCGGCTCCCACCCCCTCCTCGCAGGCGCCCCCCGCCCCACGGTGGACGCGGCGGCTCGGCTCGGCGCCGGCCCGCTGGGTACACCGCAACCCGCTCCTCACGGCGCAGCGCGTAGGGCGGCTGCGGCGGCCGCTTCCACTCGCGCGTCGGCCCCCAGGCGCTCCCTGCCCGCGGCGGGCGGCCCCGGGAGGCGCGCTGCGCTCCCCAACGCCATTGCGGGCGGGCGGCGGCCCGAGCAGCGACGCGCCCGCACGCTCGGGCCGGCCTGGGGCCAGGGGTGCCGGCCGGGGAAGGGGTTTGGCCCACGTGCGGTCGCCACGCCGGGCCGTTTCGGCGGCCGCGGTGTAATGGAGGAGAGGCCGCGGGGGTGAGGAAGGCCGGGGTAACAGGTGCCTCACCTCGGCTGATGGGATTAACTCTAGGGCCGCAGAGAGAGGGAGCCCGGCAGCAAAATCCCGGGAGAGGGAGAGAGAGGGAGCCTCTGGCGGCCAAGGAAGGGCGAAAAGCACCGGCCCGAGGCGAGGCCGCCCCACCCCCTCGGCCGTGGGCGAGGGGCCTCTCCGGCCTGGGGCAAGGCCCCTTCCTGTTCGGGTGTTGGCTCCGGAACTTGGTTCTGGGGCTGACCGCTGCTGGGGCCCCACTTAGTCTGAGTCTGCAGTTAACTCCGTGACCCCAAGGCATCCAAGTCCCAGGCCACTCTGCTGACCTGGAAGGCCAAGACGTAGGCCCAAGTCTGGTGTGGCCTTCACCTAAGCCACTGCGCCTGGCCTACTACTCACCTTGACCTTAAGATCTCACTGCCAAAGAGAAAGGGATGAGGAGGTCTTCTACCTTTCCTGTCTAGGGAGAGTTTTTCAGCTCACTCCCCCCCGAACCCCGCCCTTTTCTAAAGGCTCAGTACAACCTCTTACACCCCCAAGTACCGGAAGTGTTACCACCTTCCTGCAAGATATAAAACTGATCATGACTGTCAATACAGATGTTTAAACCAATCCTTCCAAAAAGCCTAGGGAGCAGGAACTCTTAAAAAATAATTTTTCAAGAAGGTAAAAACATGACAATGGTAGAAATATAAAATGAACATTGGTCAAAATTTTTATAACTCTTTTAATTAGGAAGGGAACCCCAGCAAGATACTGCAACCCATTCACGTGAGACTGTGAAGAGTAGACATAGAGGCAAGAAGAGGCAAATCTGCTTACTATTCTATAGAGCACTGAAATGTAATGTTTATTATTATCTGCTTTACAGGGCGGTAACCAGTTGTATCTGTAAAGTAACAAATTTGCATTCTGTAGATAAAACTCATTTACATTACCAAACGTTTCTACAGCTTACTGAGTAGTAAAATAGCCTAGTGAAAGTCAGTCTAAGTAAGGTGCAGACGACTGTAAATTTCACAACACTCCGGAGTCCTGTAGATAACATCCAGCATTCCATTGAAAGGACAAACAGTAATCTTTTGCTCATTTCAAAGTCTTTCACAAGTTTTCCCAACATAACTATTTTTAGCCCCATTTCACTGATGGAAAAACTAAGGTTTAGGTTTTGTAACTTACCCGCTTCTTTATTGGCTATTAATAGTAAATGATTATGGCTGAATATGAACCCAGGCAAGTCCGTACACAAATTCTATATACTCTGGGAGCAAAATCTTTTCATTTCAGAAGGATTTTGTAACTACTCAATACTCAGTTCTATGTATTTTTTAATTTTAAGCAGCAAGGGCTTTTTTTTCCTTTAAGCATCACCAAATTCTGGGTCCTTTCCCAAGAAATTGGCATTCTCTGTCTACGAAGTGGATGTCACTTCTATAAGCATAAACAGATGTAACAGGCAATGTGAGGGGGCTGTGGTTCCAGGCTCCACTTTTGGAAAGAACATTTCTGCTGTCTGGGATAATCTAGTGGAAAAGTTCCTGTCATTTATTTGCAGTATGGAAACCAGGTTTTTTAGGCGAATAACCTAAATAAATGCAGAATCTAATCACTGAGTTCTGTCTGTAGAAGAGGGGGCAGAGTTGGCAATAAAGACAGTCTTACACCTCTTTGCAGAAAGATGATTCATACAGAAAAGCACCCTAAAGGATTTGGTTGGTTTGAGTTTTATCTTTTGAAAATCTGAAACTTCTGGAAAAGTTCATACTGAAGGAATGATAGAGTTTTAAACCCGATGGTGAGAATTTAAGATTCCTAGATTTCCTATAATGGACCTTCCATTTCCAACACTTACTTGAATGTTTGAAGGGTCTATTAGACTGCTAATCCAATACATGCGGCTATTTAACTTTAATTAAAATTAAATACAATTTAAAATTCAGTTCCTTAGTCACACAAGCCGCATTTGAAAGGCTTGATGGCTACATGTGCCTAGTGGCCACTCTGTTGCACAGTGTAGATACGCAACATTTCCATCACAGAAAGTTCTATCAAACAGTGTTGTTCTAGACCACATTTTCACTTCTATGAACTTTATAAGGGTTAACTTAGTTCAATAGATCATTAATGTATTAGGCATTAGAGGTCATACATTTTATATGTTCCAACTGGAAAGGTGGTGAAAAGTGAACTTCATTACTGACATGCAAAAAATCCAAAATGTGTTTGGGGTGGGGGAGTTCTCAGTTTTCATATATGATACCTTAACCTTTCATAAATTATATAGAATATTGTGGGCTGTTATTTTCATTTCCTTTGCAACCAATAATACCATGATTAGTATTAACCATGTGGTCACAAGGTTAGAGGATAAACAAAAAGTACAAAGTATATTCTATATTGTTTTAGGGGTTTTCTCAATGTATTTTTAAGTTTTCGTGATGGACATTCTAAGAACTATTCAAAGAATTAAGTTATTCATGTGTGTATGTGAATCATTGGGTGCAGCTGTGAAATTAAGCCCAAACTAAGCCTGAATCAAATTTTAAGACTAGGGAAAACTGGCTAAGCTGGTACTAAAGACTGCCCATCACACTTTCATTTCTAACAGGAAGATACCTAGCTGGTTGTGTACTAATGGAAGTTCCTGAAGGGAGAGAAAAGACCAGAACAAACTAAAAGGTCTCTAGACTTAACTTCTTTATGGAGAAGGCAAAGTAATGGGAGAGCAATTTCAGTAGGTAATTTTACACATAATTGTAGCGTAAAAGGACATGTTATTCATACCACTGTTTTCTTACCGATATGCATAATGTTTTGATAGTGACGAGGCAGCTTTTTAATTAAAAGTTTAATTATAACTACTTATTTCACATTTGTAAGTATCACAGAATGCTTTGTTGACTTCAGTCTTGAATGTTGATATTCAATTTTCTTAAAGGTCTCTTTAAAATAAATATCTGTATTTGAGGATAAAAGTTTAAGTTTACTTTTGAGTCTTATAATATTTCACACAAACTCCATCATAGAGGTAGAATATACTTCTCTAAAATAGTCCTCAGGCTCACATTCAGATTCAAAGATATCTATGATCAGTCTTATTTTGTGATGTTAGCTATAAAATTAACATTAAAGGTGTCATTTCTACCCCAATAAATTGATAATGATTCAGCATGGCTTTCTACCTACACTCATGGCTTGGACATGCCACTGAAAATTTAAACCATCATCTCTGTCCATTTCCCATTCTACAAGTATCTTGGATTTTCAGCTTTAAAAGTTCATAAGGTTGAGTATTTAGTTTTACTTGCCATGAGTAATGAACTGTAGAACTCTTCGGGATTCCTTTAGGTCATTTTTAAGTTACTAATATCTTATCTCTACAAATAAACAACAACAAATTTACACAGTGTGTTTAGGCTAAAGTGATACAACTTCTCTTTCTTTGCTATTATTACTTTGTCCACCCACACAAAACACAGGAAACCAAGAGTTTTATTGGACCAGACATTGGTATAATGTTTTCATTGCTGTCACAGCTTCTGAGGTTGAAACAACAGCTGCTATAACCATTAGTTTTCAGTTTTGTAGTGGTGCATGTTACACTTTTAAAGACAAGTATGAGGCATTTATTTGTTTCTACAGAAGCTCATTTTTCTTTCAACAGATTAGCCCCTCTAGCAGGACTCTAGTTGTGGTTTTCTGTCTGCAAATCCTCCACCTACAAGTTGCACCTGAACTCAAATTGGCATGTTGCTGATCTTACTTCAGAATAATTTATTCATAATCTATTATTTCGAAGTAGGCTCTGTTCCATATTATTTTGAAGTAGCTCTATTCCATAGCATTAGCCTTGGTGAATTAACTATTAAAGTAAATAAATAAGCATCCATGTTTGTCTACAATTAAACAGGAGATTTCTGTGACTTTATTTCCATTTTCAATCTAGTTCTAGTAATAAACCTTCTTGGTGAGGTCCACAATAGTCCCATTTTATACAAAATTTACATTATAACAGAATGCATTTTAAGAACATCGTAATATTTAATTTGTGTATGCAGTCATCAGCTTTTGGAAATAATTCAATGATAAATTTGCTCTGAAGTTACTAGTACATTTTTCATAGGTTCTTAAACAGCCATAATCCATGTTCATCCAGCATAGTAATTTATTACCATTACTTTAACGCATTGTTTCAAATAAAGTTTGAAAATGTATCACAATCCCTTACATTGTTTGCACACCATTAAATTTCTCAGTTGGATCAATAATGAACAAGTGCTTATCCCCATCCATCAGAAGGCAGATCTTGAGCTGGTAGCATTCTCATTCTTGTCCCTGGACGGTACTCAACATCGTGATTACATCTGGAAATGTTGCATGTCTTAGACTCTCCTTAAGTAAATGATACTACGAAGTTATAATCACTTAACTAGTATTTTTTATTAGATTCTAAATGCATGGATGGATCACATACTTTAGAAAGGCTTTTTGGCATTATTAGAAGAAAAAATTTTCAAACAAATTGTAACATTTTAGATTTCTAAAAATATATATAGACAAGATGAAATAAACAGTCTGGAAAATCTTGTATCTGAATCCTGTTATTACTTTTTTTAATTGAACAAAACACTGTTACATTTAAGTTGCTCTTTGGCATGGAATTCTCTGAGCACAGCAATCCCAGACACAATGATGGGTTAACAATTATTTGGTGAACATGGATATTTCACAGAGAGGTCAAGATGTCAGTTTGGGCATCAATTAGATCCAGATTCCGTGGGATAACCCGGACTGCACATCGAGGTCTTCAGCCTTTGCCTCTGATAATTCTCTGGACTACAAGCCAAGTGTTTGTTTCCTTATACCAAGTTACTTTTAAAGGAAAGCTATGGACACCAAGGTTATATGTGTATATGCAAAATGACAAGATGCTTTTACTTTCAATATTGAATTTTGACCAAAAACCATAAAAGCTAATCTAAATATTTATTTTGTGAATACAGAAACAGCATGTGGACAGTTAAAAGCAATACCTAGCTGCGTCCTCAAAGGACATGAAATTCATATCTGATGATACCAAAAATAGAAATAAACATATTAATGTGAAATGAAATGGAATTGATATGAATTAAAATTGTAAAAGAAGCTTAAATGTATCATTTTTTTAAAGAAAAACGAGATATCATTTTTATGAGGAATGCAAAGTTGGCCTGTTGTAGCTTTAAAGGGAAAGAAACCAAAGTCTATGGATTTTTTTAAATTACACTTTGTTCTAGAATCTAACGATCTAGTCTGACATTATTTTGTGTAGCTGGAATCATTTTCTTATAATAAATTACATGTCTGTGAGTGCAGTGTACTATAATGTAATTTATGCAAAGCGTACATATTTTGTTATTGCTTTTTGAACTCATCTCAAGAGCCTCAAAAATTAAGCAAGGCCAGCAACATACCAAATGATAGACTACCACATGCTTACCCAAAGGAGAGTTGGACCAAGGCCAAGTGAAGCATTTAGATGCATAAATAAATAGTCGTTTATTATGCGATGTAGCTTTATTTTCCAAAAATCTAACACTAAGCTTAAAATTGACACTGAGATACTCTTGGATGACTACTGACCTAGAAACATCCATATTTAGAGAAAGGCTCAGTTTCCAAAATATTTGTACATCATTATCACCTCATTAAAACTGTTCTGATCTCTTCTGTGGGATTTTCAAATCACAAGATTATTGCATATTACAATGATTTTATTTTGCTTTAAATGAAATTGTTCCCAAGTATGGAGAATATGACTTCTCTAAAAGATTCTAACCATATATTTGGGTTGTAAAGTCTAAGAAATAAAACGACTATATAATTCAGAACTGACCAAGGGATCAATAAAAATAACACAACATGCTTCCAGTAGACAGTACTATCTTGTAAGATTACCTATGAAATTTGTAAAAATCAAATATGCAATTGATATTGAATAGTTCTTGGCAGGATTTACACTTTGAAAAAAAAGGAAACTGCCATGTAGGTTAGATTAAAATAAAAAACAATGTTGTGGCCTACATAATTTATATTAAATAAGTTAATAAAATCCCACTATGTTCCTTGCTCATAGAAAGTTTGATTATCTGGATTTAAATCCTCATCCTAGTGCTAGGCACCAAAGATTAATTTTAGTTGCCCTTGTCTTTGTAAAAGATGCTTGGAAAGCAGTGTAAGAAAACACATAAATTATATTGCAAAACTGGAAAAGTTTTCCCTTTTTATGAGTATCATATTCACTGACTCAAAACCTTGGGTGATAATCAGAATCACCTAGAGAGCTTAATCAGATTCAGATCCCTGGGTCCCATGCCAGCCTTTCTGAACAAGAATCTCTTGGGTAGGATCTAGTAAACTCCAGAATGCTCTGAAGGTGATTCTGTTGAGCAGCTGGGCTAAGGATGGATGTTAGGGAACACTAACTAGATTATGTAACTGATATTAAAATCTAGTAAGTTGTTAGCGTCTAGTGTACACCTAAAGTTCTCACTCTTGTATTACTATTTGGTGGACCCTGTGTAGTAGGGTGTTCATATACATGGAGACGCTTATGGGACTATGAGCAGGAGATACTAGAACCCATTCTAACCCCATCTTCCCTGATGTTTTTGCTTAAAAAGCTCTACTCCTGGCTTTTTGGTTAAGATGATAGTGACAGCCATTGCTTCTATAGTTACTACCCTGATTAGCTCTCTACATTGATCCAAGTAGGCTAGAAAAATGTATAAATGTGGTACTCACATTTCCAAGAACTGAGAAGTCTTCTTGAGTTCCACTGTTCAAAACTTTCCTCTAACTTCAAGACTATTCAGAAAAATGTTAGTCTCTTAGTTAGAATTTATTTAAATATGTAAGTACTGTAGTATATTAGCTACCTCTGTTGAGATTTCAGAAATGTTTAGAACTGGTGGATATTTCTCAGAGTCACTGAAATTCTATTTCCAGCAGAAAAAGAAATTATGGAGTCAGTCGAATATTGAGCATGTTGCTAAAATATCATTCTAACAAAACAGGTAAGATCATGACTCTCATACATATATAAAATGAAAACAGGCTAACAATTTTATTTAACTCATTAATTAGGAAACTGGCAAGGTATTACAACCAGATCAATGGACGTCGTAAAAAAAAAAAAAAGACACAGTTATAGTCAGGAATACTGAACTGAAGGTGTAAATGAAAGCAAAAATGGCGTCTTCCTCAGTGAAGGTGGGAAGGCAAGGAAACCTCCAACTGACAGAATTTACAGGTCTATACGTGGGAATTATTTTGCATTGTTATCAGCTCTCTATAATTCAGAGAGCTGTAAAATAGCTCAAAAACAAGGAAAGATTAGAATTGAATACCTGGAAGAGTGTAATCTAAACAATGTATAGTTTTCCATTAAAGCATAATGTTCTTCTTACAATGTCAGACAACAGGACTTCTATAAGGTTTTTATTTTTATTCTCAAACACTTATACTAAGAATCTTTGGGCTATGCACAGAAATGTTCATAGCAACATTATTCATAATAGCCAAAAAAGAAAAGCAACACAAATGTCCATCAAATGATGAATAAATGAAACATAGCATATCCATACAATGGAATATATTTGGCAATAAAAAGAATTGAAGTACTGACATGTACTAAAACATGGATGACGCTTGAAAACATTGTGCTGAGTGAAAGAAGTCATCACGAAAGGCCACATACCGCATGATTCCATTTACACAAAATGTCTAGTATAGGTAAATCTACAGAGACAGAAAATAGTTTGTGGTTGCTTAAGGCTGGGGCTAGAGGCTTGGGGCTGGTAAGGGATAGCAAATGAGTACAGAGTTTCTTTTAAGGGATACAAAAATATTCTCAAATTAGATCATGGTGCTGGTAGCACAACCCTGTGAATACGCTAAAACACACTGAATTGCGTACTTTAAATTGAGCAATTGTACAGTAATGTGAATTATATCTCAGTAAAGTCATAAAAAAATACTTGGGCTAATCAATATTGAAGACCACAGCCTCATAACCAATTGCCTATCTCTGGTGAAATTTTCGTATCTTAACCAAGTTTATTGATTAACACTGTTGTCTACCACTGAATGATTCTCTTAAAGGACTAGACACATGAGTCAGGGCTATTCAAATTATAGCTTAAGAGTTACTGAACTAAAACTAAGTGTAATAATTCAGATTCTTACAGTTATGTGAGAGTTTGCACACAGAGGGGAAACAAAATTGGAAATAAATAATATGTTTCATCTCTATACAAAAGCATTAGATAAATAATTTCACTCTCTGTTGGGATTTACAGAATCTCCATGATTTGAAATGAGTTAACTATACCTTGCTTAAAATCCTTTTTGGAATACAGGGAATATAAATTAATATATAAATAAATAACACTGCTGATTTGACACATCTAAAAATTTAGAAGGGAATATGTGAGGTATTCATGGATAGATAACCTCTGTGGATACCTGGTTTTATTTGTTTGGTGTTTTCTTTATTTTCTCAGATGCCTCATAGTCAAAATTTTTTCTACGCATAAATAAGTATATGTCAGGCAATGTGAGTGATTTTTAAATAAATATGTCAAAAATTTGCATCTAAACGAGTTTCATCTCAATGTAATTTCCTAAGTCTACTCAGTAATGAACATCTTCATACCTTGAGATAGAATTTGACATATATCAACAATCTAAAGTCATTTGCAGTCAAATATGACATGAGAAATGAAAGTAGTGAATCCACTTTTATAAAGTAGCGCAATGACTGAATCAGAGGCTGATTTATAACAAAAGAGAAGTTCCAAAGGATTTTTTTTTTTTGGCATTATTTGAAAAGGCATATTCTTGGAAGGGGACAAGACTCATTTCAATGCATTGGTTAGGTATTTATTTTATTGCATTTTAGTCACATCTCATTATTGTCACAGCAACAGCTTAACAATATTTTACAATTTATTATACAAAAAATTTCAAAGACAAATAAGAATTATTGCTTGTAATGTAGTTACACTGCACAGCTTCATTATACAATGTGTGTTGTTAACATGGCACAGCTTCACTATGCAATGGATAGTTGTCACTGACATGCCAAATAATGGATAAGAAGCTGACACAGAACATTGTCTCATAGACAATTTTCTTGTTAAAAGTATGACATCATTTTGAGAAAGGAAAACAAAGCTGGAGGCCTCACACTTTCTGATTTCAAAACATGTCATCAAGCTACAGCAATCAGAACCACATGGTGCTGGCAAAAATACAGACATATAGACCAACAGAGAGCCCTAAAATAAACCTTCTTATATATGGTCAAATGATCTTTGATGAAGGTACCAAGGCTACACAATGGGGAAATGATAGTCTTTTCAATAAATGGTGCAGAGAAAACTGGGTACCACATGCAAAAGAATGAAGTTGGACCCTTACCTGATACCACCTATAAAAATTAACTCAAAATGGATTAAAGATCTTAATATCAGATCTGAAACTATAAAATTCCTAAAAGAAAACAGGGAGAAAGCTTCTCGACATTGGATTTGGCAATGATTTCTTGGACATGACACTAAAAGCACAGGCAACAAAAGCAAAAACGGACAGGTTGGACTATATCAAACTTTAAAACTGCACAGCAAAGAAATAATCTAACAGAGCAAAAGTGCAAACTATGTGATGAGAGAAAATACTTGAGAGTATATATCTGATAAGGTGTTAATATTCAAAATATATGAAGAACTACAACTGAACAACAAAAGCCCAAACAATACAATTAAAACATAGGCAAAGGACTTGAATAGACATTTCTCCAAATAAGATATACAAATGGCCAGAAGCATATGAATTACTAATCATTAGGGAAATGCAATTCAAAACCACAATGAGAAATTACCTCATACCCAGTAGGATGATAGGGGTGTGCAGAAACTGGAATCCCTGTGCATTGCTGGTATTAATATAAATGGTACTGTTGCTATGGAAACCGGTCTGGTAGGTCCTCAAAAATAATTAACATAGAATTACCATAGAATCCAGCAATTTTACTTCTAGGTACATATCCTCAAGAATTGAAAGCAGAGTCTCAAAGAGATTTTTGTACATCCATGTTCATTATAGCATTATTCACAATAGCCAAAAGGTAAAAACAATCTAAATGTCCATCAACAGATGGATGGATAGAGAAAATGTGGTGTATGCGTAGAATAGAATATTATTCAGCCTTAATAAAAGGAGGAAATGTCATATGCCTCAATATGATGTACTCTAAGGACATTATGCTAAGTGAAATAAGGCAGTCACAAAAAGACAAATAGTTGACTAAAATAGTCAAACTCAGAACAGAAAGTAGGACAGTGGTTGCCACAGGCTGGGGTTGGGGAGGTGAGAAGGGAATTTGTTCAATGGATGTGAAGTTTCAGTTTTGTAAAATGAAAAAGTTCTGGAGCTGCATTACACAATAATGTACATATAGTTAACAGCACTGTGCTTTACACTTTAAAAAGATTGATTATAAATTTTTTGTTATGTGTTTTTGGCCACAATTTTTAAAAGGGTGATTTCATTGCTGCAAGACAAACCTATAGCAAAGAGAACCGATTTTACACGTATGATAGTCCCTGAAGAATCAATGGAATCAAGGTGAATTGGTAGGAGAAATGTACTTTGTTAGTTTTTGCATTTCTAGCTTCGCAAATGCCCCAGAAGGTATAGCAATTGCCTCCTAATTTGGGGAGCACTTTATTACTTAGCTGTGTTTTAAAAAGATCCTACAACACAGGTGAATGGCATTAAGTCACTTAGAGACTCAAACAGTTTGAGACCTGGCTAAATTCTGTTCTGCTCCCAAGGTGTTTTAAAATGTAGGTTTTATTATTATTCAGGTTTGACTAGTTTGAATAATTTCGGCAGGCTCTAGGGTGTAGAGGTTGTCTCTAGTTTTCAGGTACCTGGTCCTGGGGTGATTATGGAAAGGAACAGTAACTCAGAGTGTGAGAGCTCCCTGAGAGCCTCATAAAGGAGGTGGTAGTGGGCATGGGCTCTGGATAAATTGGTTTACATTTGAAGGGTGCTCTCCCTGGAACTGACTAGCTCTGGGAGGGGTGGTCCCTCCAGGTTCAGCGAGGCCCCAGATGTAAAAGCATTAAAACTACAAAAAATAAAAAAGTATAATTAATGCAAAAGGAGAAATGGACTTTAAATATTTCTATCAATTCTCCAAGAAATTTGTATTTTTTCTCCTATAGGGCTTATAAGAATTGGGTAATCAGCAATCTAGGGACATACTCTTTGGTAGGAATCTGGAATGAATATATTCTGTTTTGCCAAAAAAAAAGAAAGGGCAGATGTGCTGTGACAATCAACTAATTGTCAAAGTTGGAAGATTCCTTCTTAAAAAAATTAAAGCTGTCAAGGAGGCACATGTTTTAATAGAAGGCCACTCCATATCTGTAATGATTTGGCTGTGTTCTCACCCAAATCTCATCTTGAATTCCCATGTGTTGTGGGAGGGACCCGGGGGGAGGTAATTGAATCATGGGGGCATGTTTTTCCCATGCTGTTCTTGTGATAGTGAATGAGTCTCACGAGATCTGATGGTCTTAAAAATGGGAGTCTTGGCCGGGCACCGTGGCTCTCCCCTGTAATCTCAGCACTTTGGGAGGCCGAGGTGGGCAGATCCCTTGAGGTCAGGAGTTCAAGACCAGCCTGGCCAACATGGTGAAACGCTATCTCTACTAAAAGTACAAAAATTAGCTGGACATGGTAGCCCACACCCGTAATCCCAGTTACTAGGGAGGCTGAGGCAGGAGAATTGCTTGAATGTAGGGGCAGAAGGAGGTTGCTGTGAGCCAAGAACGCACTACTGCACTCCAGGCTAGGTGACAGAGCAAGACTCCACCTCAAAAAAAAAAAAAAAAAACAAAAAAAAAACAACAAAACAAAAACAAAAAACCAACAACAACAAAAAAGCAAAAATGGGAGTCTCCCTGCACAAGCTCTTTTTTTTTTTTTTTTTGAGACAGAGTTTTGCTCTTGTACTCCAGCCTGGAGTGCAATAGTATGATCTCAGCCCACTGCAACCTCCGCCTCCCAGGTTGAAGCGATTCTCCTGCCTCAGCCTCCTGAGTAGCTGGGATTACAGGCATGCACCACCACGCCAAGCTAATTATTGTATGTTTAGTAGAGACAGGGTTTCACCATGTTGGCCAGGCTGGTTTCGAATTCCTGACCTCAAGTGATCTGCCTGCCTTGGCCTCCCAAAATGCTGTGATTGCAGGTATGAGCCACTGCACCCAGCTGTTCTCTTGTCTCCTGCCATGTGAGACGTGCCTTTCACTTTTTGCCGTGATTGTGAGGGCTCCCCAGCCACATGGAACTGTAAGTCCATTAAATCTCTTTCTTTTGTAATTTGCCCAGTCTTGGGGTTGTCTTTATCAGCAGCATGAAAATGGACTAATACAACTTCCAACAGAGATGGACCCAGGGCCTATTTGTGGGCAAAGCCAACATTTTCTTCCACAAGCAATTCTAGGTCTTCTTAGTACTTAGAGAAACGAATGAGGGAGACTGCCAAGTCCTGCTCCGGAGAGCAACAGAACTTTGCCATAATTATTTTTGCCTGGGGAATTTTTAAAGATGATACATAAAATAACTCAAAAGCTCCCACAAAATGTGTGACTTTGAAATATATTCTAGTGAACCCTCCAAGATAAACTGGTTGCAAAATATATCTCTAGCTATATTCATTTGATCGTCCATGTAAGATCATTACCAAATATTAGCAAATATCTGCCTCAAATGATTATTTACAACTCATACTGGTGGCTCTTAAACCATTCTTTCTGGGAATGATTTAATAAAAAAATCACAGTTTATTGAGGTATTATTTAGTTCATTGACAATAAAAATATTTCATTGGGACACTTAATTTAGCATTATCTCCTTGGGACTATGTTTATTACATAAAGCAAAGTATATCATGAGTGGTTATACTAAACCCACATAAGTGATCAATCACACAAATTCAAACACATGTGTGTGCACAATTTTGGTTGTGGTTTTCTGGGTTTGTAAGTGCAATAGCTTCTGAAAGTTTGAAGTTGCTGAGTAGAAGGGGTGCTTTTTGTCCTGATAAACCTGTGGCTGGAGTTGTCCTAAAAGCAGAAGCAAGGGAGTACCCACTGGGGAATGTCCCAAATCGTCAAACAGGGCCAGTTGGGATTCAAAAAAAAAGAAGCCGTAAATGCCAGTATGATCAGTCCAAAGCATTCATTTGGGAAACTTACCTACCAAGCAGGCTCCAGCAATCCTCGAGTTGGACAGCAAGAGAAAAGGGATATCCCACCTAGGTATGTCTACAGTGAGGGGGTCAGGGTATGGAGTTTATATGAAGGCTTAACAGATTTGGCTTAGGGCTGCTGCCAATTTATTTCTAGTAAACCTAGATACTTTTATCAGTGTCTGGGAATACTCAAGGTTTGGGTTCAAGCCTTCTGGGAAAAAAATCTGCAACTGGCAGGGTCACAAAGTGATGTAGGCACTCTGTGATTTTTGGTGTGGACATAGAAAGAAATGGGGAAGTGTGGGGGATAGGGGATAACTGGGGGACCCTGCAAGGGGTGAGGAGCAGTCAAAAGCCAGCCAGATGGCAAATTGTATTTTGTGTTCATCTACATAGATAGCTCCCTGGTTCTTTTAATGCTCCTCAATTCCCAAGGTGCCAGAGACATTGTTTTCTTCTGGTCACAAACATTTCCTTTCCCTAGTAGAATCTCTCAATGCAGTGCTTCGTGTTCCTGACTTTCTCCTCTCCATTGTCAAAACTTTCCAATCTAGTGTTTCAGTCATGGAAACTTTTGCTTTTGTTGCCAACTAAACAGTGTTGGCAGTTCAATAATAGTCGGATTCTTTTTAAAAAATATTAGTGGGCCTCGGCCGGGTGTGGTGGCTCATGCCTGTAATACCAGCACTTTGGGAGGCCAAGGTGGGCAGATCACGAGGTCAGGAGATTGAGACCATCCTGTTTAACACGGTGAAACCCTGTCTCTACTAAAAATACAAAAAATTAGCCGGGCGTGGTGGCAGGTGTCTGTCGTCCCAGCTACTCCGGAGGCTGAGGCAGGAGAATGGTATGAACTTGGGAGGTAGAGCTTGCAGTGAGCCAAGATGGCGCCACTGCACTCCAGCCTGGGCAACAGAGCAAGACTTCATCTCAAAGAAAAAAAGAGTGGGCCTCATCAATTAAAGGCAAGTGGTTAACTCTTGGGACCAGATCTCAGGTTATACTAAACATCTTAGGTAAAAATCTTGGCCTGTTTTTATTAGGGTTCATGCATTTTCCTTGCTGATATGCAAGAACTCCTCATGTATTACATATTGATCTCTTTTAGGTTTTAAGCACTGCTAATATCACATATCCCAGTCTGTCATGTCTCTAACTTTGCTCATGTTGATGCTTAATTTTTATGTACTCATGATCTTCTTTTTTTTTTTCTTGCCTTGTAACTTTTGCTTTTTGGATTTTCTTAATGAACTGATTCCTTATCTTTATATCACAAAGATATTCTCCTACATTATCTGTTTTTTAACACAATGGTTTCACTTTTCATATTTAGTTATTTTGTATTAGCCCACTTTCATGCTGCTGATAAAGATGTACCCAAAACTGGATAATTTATACAGGAAAAAGGATTTAATGGACTTATAGTTCCATGTGGCTGGGGAAGCCTCACAATTATGGCAGAAGGTGAGGAGGAGCAAGTCACGTCTTAAGTGGATGGCAGCAGGCAAAGGGAGAGTTTGTGCAAGGAAACACCTCCTTATAGAACCATTAGATCTCCTGAGACTTACTCACTATCACAAGAACAGCACTGGAAAGACCCACCCCCATGATTCAATTACCTCTCACTAGGTCCCTCCCACAACACATGGGAATTCAAGATGAGATTTGGAGGCCTGGAGCAGTGGCTCATGCCTGTAATCCCAGCATTTTGGGAGGCCACAGCAGGTGGATCACTTGAGGCCAGGAGTTGGAGACCAGTTTGGCCAACATGGTGAAATCCTGTCTCTACTAAAAAATATAAAAATTAGCTGAGTGTGGTGGTGCACACCTGTGGTCCCAGCTACTCAGGAGGGTGAAGCAGGAGAATCATTTGAATCCAGGAGGCGGAGGTTGCAATGAGCCAAGATCACACCACTACACTCCAGCCTGGGTGACAGAGTAAGACTCTGTCTCAAAATAAAATAAAATAAAAATAAATAAATAAAATTAGGGTTTTTTTTTCTACCTATATGTGCTAGCCACTAATATTTGGAGGTAAAGGCTAGTACAATCTCACTATTAGGTGATATGTATTACAATTAAGGAACTCCTGGACTAAATTTTACCACACTTACATACACTTATTAGCAAGCAGGCTCAAGTTGTTCTATAAGCTCAAACAAGTCCTAATTATCTCTTCTTTTAGGCACTCCAACAAGCTCCTTGTATGAAAATTTATTTGGAAATACTGTGTAATATTATAGCAGCAGGATCCAACGAACGTTTTAGGAGTCAGAGGAGGAAATTTTAAGCTATGTAATTGAATACAGGACAGTTCAAATATTACATGTGGTGTACCACTCAGTGCATTTCAAACTTTAAAGCGCATTCAAATCTTGTTGAAATGTAAATCTTTTAAAAATACTAATCTGGAATAGGTCTGGGGTGAATCTGAGATTCTCAGTTTCTAACAAAATTCCTCCTGTTGCTGGTGCTGCTAGTTTAGATTTCACTTTGTCTATCAAGGGTATTAAACCACTGATCTTGGTAAATTATTTCTTCTTTTCTTTTTTGAGACAGGTTCTTGCTCTGTCACCCAGGCTGGAGTGCAGTCACGCGATCTCAGCTCACTGAAACCTCGACCTCTTAGGCTCAGGTGATCCTCCCACCTCAGCCTCTTAAGGAACTGGGACTACAGGCACACACCACCATGCCTGGCTAATTTTTGTATTTTTTTGTAGAGACTGGGTTTTGCCATGTTGCCCAGGCTGGTCTTGAACTCCTGAGCTCAAGCAATCCTCCCACCTTGGCCTTCCATAGTGCTGAGATAATAGGCATGAGCCACTGCGTCTGGCCTAGTCTTGATAATTTTTTTTTTTTTTGAGACTGAGTTTTCACTTTTGTTGCCCAGGCTGGAATGCAGTGGCACAATCTCGGCTCACTGCAACCTCCGCCTCCCAGGTTCAAGCGATTCTCTTTCCTCAGCCTCCCAAGTAGCTGGGATTACAGGCGCCTGCCACCACACCCGGCTAATTTTTGTATTTTTAGTAGAGATGTGGTTTTCACCATGTTGGCCAGGCTGGTCTCAAACTCCTGACCTCAGTTGATCCGTCTGCCTCAGCCTCCCAAAGTGCTGGGATTACAGGCACGAACCACCGCGCCTGGCCTAGTCTTGGTAAATTTTTATACCCTGTTCATTCAGGGGTAGGAGGGCCTATACAGTCTTCTTAGTCACACATATATCTTGAACACCAATGAACAATTTCTAACATTTTTTGTATTTTAAAATGCACCTGGTGTTGATAGTAATTGGAACAGCTACCTCTCTAAAGCCTGGATTACGGAATTACTTGGTCTTTCAAATTGAAACTACCTATCCCTGAACTGTGTATTCAGTATTAGGGTGCTTATAATGTTAGCTCACATTTATATTATGGTGCCTGTGGTGGATCATTTGATATAAATTAGCCTCATTCCCACTCTGAAACTCTAAGTTTGATCCTCCTCTTTACCATTTCTTCTTCTCTGTTTCAAATCTGAATGCAGGCCAGGCTCAGTGGCTCACACCTGTAATTCCAGCACTTTGGGAGGCTGAGGTGAAAGGATCCCTTGAGGCCAGGAGTTTGAGACCAGCATAGGCAAAATAATGAGAAGTTGTTTCTACAAAAATAAATAAATAAATAAATAAATAAATAAAGACAATAAGCTTTTCTCCTCACCACTCTCCCTCATTTTCACTTTGAATTGTGACTGTAGTGCCTTTACCTTCAACCCAGGCTGAGACATTGAACATCCTGGGTAACATTGTATAACAGAGTAACTTTTACAGAAATGTTGGTGCCAGATTAATTAAATGAGATTCTCTGGAAGTGAATCTCCAGGTTGTTGTAGTTTAGTTTGTACACTTTCCCTAGGTAATCCTAATATGCAGCCAGGGTTGAGAATTATGACTGTAGTACACTGATTCTCAAACTTGGCTGAATTTTGGAATCCCCTGAGGAGTTTTCTAAAAATACAGCTGCATGGGTCTCACCCCAAAAGATCCTGACTTCATTTTTCCGGAGTGCAACCTAGGCATCAGGATTTTTAGGAGTTCCCCAAGGGATGTTAATATTTCTTAAAATTTGAAAAGCACTACCCCAGTAAGTGATAATTAGTAAGATCATAACTCGACAGCCAATTCCCAGAATGCTGCTTGGTTCTGTTTATAACCTCAACTTCCAGAATTGGTTGAAGCAAAACAGCAGGATGCCTAGCAATTTCTTTCACATTAGGGAAAAGGATTTGGTTTACTTTCAAGGCATACCATACCCAGGTCTCACTGAAATCTGGTCAATGTTATTTGTAAGAAAGTTATATTTGTTTTATTATATGCATGTGCCTAAGGATACACTAACAGAGTTTTAACACAACTTAAGTTGCATAACTAAATTGACAATGCAGATCAGAATCTGGAGAGATGGGTTAGGAAGAAGGCTTATTAGTCTACATTTTTAAGGAGGCTCACAGTTGATGCTAACAGCATTTGTGAGACTATGGTGAGCATGCCATAAAAGTAGAATTGCCTAAGTGCTTGGTAGCCATCTAATTGTTTATCTGGTGTCTTTTGAGGCTGAAGGGGATCAGGATATGCCACACCAAAATTTGCCACTTTGGTATAAGAATTATTTTGAATTGAAGGCAACTGAAAATCAACAGATGCAGGAGGACTTCTCTGCTCTTCCCTTATCTGCCTAAAAGCAGCACATAGATTTTCTCTTGTGCTGTTTCCCTTTCCTGTACCAGGAAGAGGAGAGTAGCTCATCACTGGAGATGGAGAATTAACACTAAGATGAGTTTGCATCAACAGACTTTACTAAAATAATCTTATTCTCCATCAGTTCTCCCATATATTTCCTAATCACTTCCCCATGATTTATTATTGGGTTTTAAAGCCCAACTCCCTTTCCCTTTGTCATAATGGTATGCAAGTCCCTGAGTTTAACTGTTTCTTTTAGTTCTTTTTTATGAACTCTCATGCAGGTAAATATTATAAAATAAGTGTGTCTTTACTCCTGTTAACCTGTCTTTTGTTAGTTTAGTTCATAGGCCCTGAGTCACTGATCTAAGAGGGTGGCAAAAAACATTTTCCCCTCCTTGACAGTTTTGGCAATGAGGATGGGCTGGTTGGGCTTGAAGTCTTTGCTTGCTCCTGAGGCTCTGGCTGAGATCTCAGGACGTCCAACAAAGCTGGCAAGATAAGAATAATTACCAATGCAGCCACCTGGATTCCTACTTAGAGTCTAGTTAAGTGAGGCCTGTAAGGACCTCTTCCTAAGTTTAGCTTAACAGGAAAAAAATGTTCGTAAGAACTAGTTCTTTGGATATTGCAACTCTTGGGATTTTGATTTGAGTCATTTTGTTATTGATCTTTTCCTTCCCTGGGATGGTCACTGTTTTATCTTAATCTCTGTGTTTTGTGTCATTTCTCCATAAGGAGGAGAATCATAGAACACAAGAATAAGTCTTACAAGCCTATTGTTCAAGTCGGCCTCACAGACTGGTGAATTTATAGTTCTCACCAACCCAGCATTCACGTTGACAAACTTTGTCGTGGGTCACTGATTAAAAAATACCGGATAATGTTCTCCTTCCTTGTTTTGTGTTCTGAGAGCTTGGCTTGGATCCAGAGAGTGTTCTCTCTCTGGTGTTCTGCCTGCAGGGGGAGGAGAGTAGCAGGCACAGGTTCTTGGGCCTTTGTCTAGCAATGACTAGCTATCAGGATAGGGCACCCAAGACACAAGGTGCACAAGCAACCGTTTCTGTCTGACTATGCCAGCTCTCAGAGGAATTAGTCTAAATAATTTTGTTTTTTCCCTCCTGCAGTTTGCATTCAAAGAATTAGTCTAAATAAAGGGCCCTAGTCCATAAGGAGCCCTTGTCTCTTCCCACATTGCCTTGTCAGTACTGGGGAAGTCCCATCTCTGTATTGCCTGCCTGGTGTCAGTCTCATGGATTAGCTGGGCTGTGATTGGCAGCATCTCACTATTTGGGAGACTGGAGACATGACTTTTCACAAACACCATTCTTCACTGCCTGTGGCAATGAAGTCCTTTGCTTTAGTTCTTTTTAGCTATCTTTGGGAAAGCCTTTGGATCATGAGAGCTATATCTTCTGCATTCTCTTTGGGAATCCCTCTTGTGACCATGGTTAAGTCATAAAAAGGCTTATTGGTTTTGAGTCACATTAAGAATAGATACGCCTTTGGAGGTATCTATTTTTAAAGAACTTTAAATCCTTTTAAAAGGATTTAGCTCTCACCCTAAACAAATGTCCTATTTGTACCTATGGGAGGATCAAATTGAAAGAGGATGCAAAAAAGCACCGTGGCTAGCCTAAAAGACTTTCTTAACAAGATTAAAGAGCAGAAATCAGATTTAAAAGTTTTTATTATTTTTATTTATTTATTTATTTGACGAAGTCTTGCTCTGTTGCCCAGGCTGGAGTGCAGTGGCTTGATCTTGGCTCACTGTGACCTCTGGCACCTGGGTTTAAGCGATTCTCCTGCCTCAGCCTCCGAAGTAGCTGGGATTACAGGCTCGTGCCACCACGCCCAGCTAATTTTTGTATATTTAGTAGAGATGGGGTTTCAGCATCTTGGCCAGGCTGGTCTTGAACTCCTGACCTTGTGATCCACCCACCTCAGCCTCCCAAAGTGCTGGGATTACAGGCGTGAGCCACTGCACCCGGCCTGAAAGTTAAATTCCACACCCACTGTAAATTCCTCCTCTCACCTCCCTCCTATACTTCCCTTTACTCCAACTCCCTTTCCCCGACCCTATAGAAGATTTTTTTGAATCTCTGGATCTCTGCCTCAAATTCTCCTCTCCATGATCTGGCCCTACCTCCACAAAAATTACTTTAATTCCTGAAACTCCTCTGATTTTCCCAGAAAATCCCTCAATCACTCAACTGTCCACTTTAACTTCTCTTTCTTCGCAAGAATTGCAAAAAGTACTCTAGCCTGACCTACAGGTGTAGACATACACATTACTATGTAAATGACAATAACCACAGATAGTTCTGGCAGAGGCTCTGTGAATGCTCAGCAAGACTTATTTTACTTTCCCTTATAATCCCACCTTCTTCCTAGGACTCCGTAATCAGATCCCATCAGCTCCAGGTCTTCCCATGCAATATGCATTGTGAATGTATCCTGGATTCCCACCATGAAGAATTCGTTTACCCTGGACAGTAGCAGGTCTTTTAAATTTTATATCCCTCTTACCTCCACTTTCTGAAAATTCTATCAAATTTAGAAAGTATGTAGAAAGAATCGTGGCTGTCCATAGCTTGACTCATAGGGCCCACAACAGGTTTCCAAGAGGTTTTCTTCCCACTCATGATTATATTGTAGTTATTCAACAAGCCAGGCGGCCCTCTGGGGAAAATCCTCTTCAACAGGGAAACAGATGGCTAGTACCCCTCCTTGGACCCCCATGAATGACCAGGAATTGACACAGTTGGAGACTGACATTCAAAGCTTAATAAGCGTGATTGTGAGGATTTCTCCCTCTAAGGTTGAATTCTTCACTTAGAAAGAAGGTGAACATCAAGCTGAGTGTGGTGGTTCATGCCTGTAATCCCAGCACATTGGGATGCTGAGGCAGGAGGATTACTTGATCCCAGGAGTTTGAGACCAGCCTAGGCAACATAGTGACCCTGTCTCTACAAAAAAAATAAAAAATCTTCCAGGAGTAGTGGTACATACCTGTACCACTCACCTCCTACATACCTGTAGTCCCAGCTACTTGTGTGCCTGAGGTGAGAGGATTGCGTGAGCCCAGGAGGTCAAGATTGCAGTGAACAGTGATTTTGCCATTGCACTCCATCCAGGGCAACAGAGTGAGACCCTGTCTCAAAAAAAGAAGAGGAGAAGGAAGAAGAATAAGAATAAGAAGGAAGAGGAGGAAGAGAGGGAGGGGGAGGGGGAGATGAAGAATAGAAGAAAAGAAGAAGAAGAAGAGGAGGAGGAGGAGAAGAAGGTGAACAACCTAAAGACTTCATTCAACAATTTACAAAAACATTCTTTTTTTTTTTTTTTTTCTTGAGACGGTCTCACTTTCTTACCCAGGCTAGAATACTGTAACATGAACATGGCTCCCTGAAGCCTCAACCTCCTGGGCTCAAGTGATCTTCCCACTTCATCCCTCCAAATAACTGGGACTACAGGAGTGCACCACCATGCCTGGCTATTTTTGTATTTTTTTTTGTAGATATAGCGTGTCACTATGTTGCCCAGGCTGGACTTGACACCTGAGCTCAAGCGATCTACCTGCCTCAGCCTCCCAAAGTGCTGGGATTATAGGTGTGAGCCACCGCACCCAGCCAATTTATAAAAACATTCTGTTACAGTAGGTAGCTAGTCAGGCATGAGCAGGGTGAGAGAGGGCTCTGCCTGACCAGGAATGTCAGGCAACCATCAGGTGATGGTTAGGCAGTTGTTAACTGACTCTACAATAATGACTGGCCCGTAGCCAGCGCCAGGGAAAGGCAGCCTCCCTATAGTCAGAAAAAATCTGAAACTAGTGATCAGCAGCTTCCCAATAAGATCTCAGGAATTGGGCAAGTGGGCTCACACATGCACATTAAGAGGCAAAATGGTGGAGTTTAACTGGTATATGACCTTCTAGGAGCATTTGCTGGTAAGGGAAGAATGCCCCAAGTGAGCATGCATACGACTCCAGTAAACACACTGTACATGCTCCCCTCCCAAGTGCTGGCAGGCCACCCACTGCACATGTGGACAGCTTACCCCCAAAGGAAGAATCAGGGGAGAAGGGATGCAAGACCCCAGGAGTATGCCAGTGTACAAAACCCCAAGTCAAAAGGTCAAGCTATGCACTTGATCTCTCAAGTCACCCCCTTGGCCCTCTTACAATTGTACTTTACATCCTTTCATTCCTGCTTTAAGCTTTTCAATAAACTTTCACTCCTTTTCTAAAACTTGCCTCAGTCTCTCTTCCTGACTTACGTCCCTCAGTCAAATTCTTTCTTCTGGGGAGGCAAGAATTGAGGTTGCTGCAGACCCCATATGGATACAAATTCTCCACTGGCGCAATTCTAAAGGTACATTGCAGTAAATCCACAGGTTCCAGAACATAGGAATTGCTTAATTTCTGCCTTAGTTTGCAATCTTCTCTCAAAAGACAAAAGCAAAATACAGATGCTCCTCAACTTACAATGGGGTTACGTCTCAAATTCACTATAAGTGGAAAATATCCTAAGTCAAAAATGCATTTAATATACCTAACACTATCATCATATGAACATCAAAGCCTAGCCTCGCCTACCTTAATCACGTTCAGAACACTTATATAAGCCTACAGTTGGGCAAAATCATCTGTCAACAAAGTACCTTATATTGACCTAAAAGGAAGAAGCTGGCCGGCACGGTGGCTTACACCTGTAATCCTAGCACTTTGGGAGGCTGAGGCGGCTGGATCACCTGAGGTCAGGAGTTCAAGACCAGCCTGACCAACATGGTGAAACACCATCTCTACCGAAAATACAAAAAATTAGCCAGGCATGGTGGCAGGCACCTGTAATCCCAACTACTCGGGAGGCTGAGGCAGGAGAATCACTTGAACCCAGGGGGCGGAGATTGCAGTGAACTGAGATGGTGCCATTGCACTCCAGCCTGGGCAACAAGAGCAAAACTCCATCTCAAAAAAATAAAATAAAAGGAAGAAGCTGAGGCAAAATTAATATAAGTAGAGTTTATTTGGCCAGCCTTGAGGATTGCAATACAGGAGCATAGATTCAGATTGCCCTGAATATACACTCTGATCAGTAGCAGTTACAAGTGGATTTTTAAAGGCAAAAAAAAAAAAAAAAGATGGGCACAGGGAGCGGGCTGATACAAATTTGTTTGTTCAGAAATTCTCATTGGTTTATAGAAATAACATTGATTAGTGATTGTACATTGTTAAGCTATAGGGTATGGGTTAGCGTGTCCACTGTGGCATTATTGGGCTAATTTATAGCTACTTGTGGCAATAGCCAGAAGTTTCAAGAGATGAATACATAGCTCAAAGGTGGAGGAGGGAGTGATTGCTGTCTCATTTTAATGCCTCTCTGGGCCTAATAATAGGAAAGGGCTCATATTCCTCAGATGAAAGTTCTCTTTATTCCTCACCTGTGGAGTATCAGTTGTGGTCATCCTTGTGATTGTGTGACCGACTGGGTGCTGACACTTGCTGTTGATGCCCTACACCACAAGAGTAGCATATTGCTAGCCCTGAAAAAGATCATTCAACACTTGAAGTACAGTTTCCACTGACTGTATGACTTTCACACCATCATACAGTTGAAAAATCCGAAATGGAAACATTGTAATGAGGCAGGATAGTAACCAGGTAGTCAAGAAAGTAACTATGTCCTCAGGATTCAGCAACAATGCCGCCCCAATAAGCCCAGTGTTTGCATTGTAGTCAAGCTCATTCAAGCAAAACTATCTCCAGTAGGAAACCTCCCCTGTAGAGAGCATGTGCATTGTGATTTGACCAGTCATCAGACTGACCCTTTGCTTATTATAACAGTAAAAATCACACCCCTGGGTGGAGCTTTAAAATATTAATGAGACATGTGATGTATAAACAAGCATGTACAGCTACTGTGCATGTGCACCCAGAGGACCACCCAAAACATGCTTCCTAGCAACCTCTTCCCACCCCCTTATGAATAATCATGTAAGCCTCCATAAAGGGAGTTTCCTTAGTAATGGTCAATGCTGTCTCATCCTCATGAGCAGTCCCCTCTGAATTGCCTCTTAGGGTATACTGTCTATTCTGAACCTAACTTTCAGAGTATTCTTTCTCCTTTGCAATAAATTGCTCTATGCAATATCTCCCTTGCTGTGTGTCTTTTGTTGAAATTCTTTTAAACTAAGAAGACAAGAACCTAGGATTCACAACAGCCATCAACAGTAAGTCAGGGACCATCTGTAGTGTGTAGTTGGATGGACAGGCAAGGTTATCATTGATTTTGTCAACCAATTCTTTCAAGAGTTAAAAACAACAGTTCTTGTCTTACTAATTGAGTCTTTACAAAAACAGAAATGCAGCTCTAGAGGTAATGCAAAGCCCACCTATGTTTCTTACCAATCTCAAAATTCATCTCAAAATGCTTGTAGATAATGTAGTAGAAGGTCAGGACATTGCAAAAGGGACTGTCCTATACTAAAAAAAGAAACTTAAATACTAATTACTCTAGGTTCTGATAATAGGCAAATATGCTCCTGAACTCCTCCTTAGAGCTTTAGAAAGCTAACATCATTTCTCTGTCATTCTGTGGTCAGAATGAGTTGGGACAGAGCAAGTAATCAGAATGAGTCAGGGAGGAGCAGGTAATCGGAATGAGTCAGGGTGGAGCAGGTAACCGAAAAATGTTGCTTTATGAGGAAATAAAGTTTAAAAGTAGAAGGCAAAGAATTGAACATACTGACATATTGATTCTTTGAAGAGAAATTTAGAACTCATATCTAACATTCCCTCCTCTTGCATCTTCCTTACAGTTCTTTCTCTTCAAACTTCTTTAACATGTCTTGGCTTAGTTGTTCTGCTTGATTTTCCAAAAGAAGAAGCTTCTCTGGATAAGGTGGAGGATAGCTAAGTGAGGTTTTAGTAAGTGCCATTCTTTTGAGCCTCTGCACCAACCCACAGATGCATGGTGTGACATAGCACCCGACAAGAATAAGTACACCCATTAAGACTGTGAGTGAAGTAAGAATTGAGGCTATTATTCTTTTCCATTTACTGAACCATTGTTCTAGCCATCCTGTAAAGAGGTCATTTACCCTGAGTTGTTGGCTAACTCATTGGACAGAGCAGTCAGACCTTGCAATGTCTTTGTTATACTTCCATCAGGGGCGGTGTTGTCTGGGATGAAGATACAACATTGAGTTTTAATTATGATGCAAACTCCTCCTTTTTTTGCAAATATCATGTCTAAGGCTATCCTATTTTTTCCAAGCCATCTGGCTAGTAGCCCCTAATTGCTCAGCTATTCCTTTAACAGCATTTCTAGTGTAGTTAACAGATCGCTGTTGGTTTTAATAGATGTAGTTTATCTAATCTACATTTTATTAATTGTCACCCACCAAAATATTGACTCAAATCCTGCAGGTGTTTGATTTCGGGCTTTAAATTGATCTGGTATTCCCCATGGGACTCTAATTGTGTCTAAATAGACTTGAGAGTCGAAAGACAAAGACACATAAGGGGCTTCTTTTGCTTTACGATGTCTTATTTTTCCTTTCTCTGACTGATGAAATGCAAGGGTGAACCAATTGGACTAAAGCACAAGTGCCACTTCAGTTACTTGGCAGAGTGTCCAGTCAAGGTCCGCCATAATACCAGTACACATCTGCTCAGGGATGAATAAAGGCTGATTGATTGGTAAGCTCCTGAAAATTCTTAAGGTCACTGCATCCCTTCAGGTCTCCAAGGAACACTAAGTTGCCTCCCTGTCGTGAGGGACATAAAATGAACTTAGTGTTGAGAGACGGAAGCTGGATAGCCCTCGGGGGCTGACCCTCAGGGTGTCAAACTTTGGGATATAGCAGACAGAGAGCTTGGCACAACTTGTTACCTCAGGCTGCAGAATCCTGGAAAAGAGCTACCATGCAGCCCACACCCGGTCGACTGGAGGACCACCCTAGTGGAAAGGGGACAATCTGGGCCTCTGGCCTGCTGTGCACACAAGCATAACAATTGCCTTTGTTTAACGTATGGACGGAATATTTAATCCATTTTAACCAGGCATTTACGGCTTTATACCCCGTTTCAATGGCTATGGTTTGCCTTAGGTTTCCTATTTTTACTACTGAGACCTTGCTTTTGTCACTTGGCATAAGGCGAGTCATAGTTTGACTTCGTAGGTTTGGAAAAGGGGCAGCTGTAGGAGGTGGAGAAGGGAGAACAAAGCACACCTTAAAGAAGCCTATAGGATCTTTTCCAGTGACTTCTGCTCCTAACACAGAAATGCTCTAAAGTGGGGTTAGAGTTGCTAGGGTTAGGAATAGTAACGGATGTAAGCACCGGGTAAGGAAAGGAAAGGAAAAGATAGATAGACTAAGCTTCCCTTAGCTTTAATTTGGTAGGGCTTGATCCAGGAATAATGGCCCATGATTCTGATAATAATGGCACTTGCTTGACTCAGGTGTGATGTGTCCATCCTTTTCCACTGTACGAACAGCAGTCTCGGTGGTTAGTAGCACAAGGTAGGTCCTTCCCAGGCTGGCTCAAGTTTCCCTTCTTCCCACCCTTTGATGAAAATGTGATCCCCAGGCCGATGCTGATGTACTGGAAACTCCAAAGTCGGTGCCTGTGCTAAAAGACCTCTTGTTTTAAGGGAAAAGAATGTGGAGGATAAAACAAGTATATAATTTCTAAGAAACTGATCTTTTGTTTTAAATGTGGGGACA
Source organism: Homo sapiens (assembly GCF_000001405.40). Lineage (NCBI taxonomy): Eukaryota > Metazoa > Chordata > Mammalia > Primates > Hominidae > Homo > Homo sapiens. The sequence continues at coordinate 94,880,967 of NC_000007.14, read as the reverse complement.
TCAGCAGTGGACTTTATTGTTCTTGGTGCCTTCTTGCTGAGAAATTTTCTTTAGCACCTATTTTTATTAGTTTTTAGACAAAGAAAGCCAAACACCATTTTATATTTCACAATGCTTCCTGTATGATTGTTATACCAGATAAGCTAAATTTCACCTTTAGCGTGTTGTTAATGTTAAACTTAATTTTAATAAAACCTTGTAGACATATTTATCCAACTTTAATTTCTGACCATAAGGTAAGATTTTTATACTCTTTTTAACTTTTTATAATTTTTGTTAAAGAGCAGGTTAGTGCTTTAAGAAAAACCAGTTGTGCTTTTAATGTCCAGTTCACAGAAAAACTGGATGATACCCCTTTAACTGTAGCCAATATGTTTACACACAGAATTTCCTTTACAATTAATGTTTCAAAACTTACTTAAATCTTTTAATAAAATATTTTTTAACCTTTTAATGTAGGTAAAAATCCAAATTCTTATGCTTCCTTATAATCCTTTTACCAAAAGTATATTTTACTTTCCTTACACACCTTGCACATAAACTGTTTCTTCAATAGTTTTACATTCAGGAGGCCTAATTGCTTTTAAATTATACAACATTTCTCGCATAAATTCCCTTTTATAACATTTTTTTCATGACTTTCACAGACAATTCCTCAACATGTCTCAACTTTCTGACTTGTTGCAAACATCCCTTTCTTTAAACAACCAGTTATTTTAGAACAAGAATTTACCATATAACATTCTTTCTACATAAATTCTCCGCTGCCCCACCCCCTGCTTTTTTTTTTTTTTTTTTTTTTTCCCAAAAATGATAACCATTCTTTTCCAAAGCAAACTTCCTTTAGGTCTGTGGATTAGACTGCCTAAGGCCACAAAATTAGAAGTTAGGATAGTACATGTTACACTATTAACTTTTAGCAAACTTTACTTTTGTTGAAAACCTTGTAAGTTTGGGAATTCAATTATTCTTTGCCATTAATAAGACCTCATTCAGTCCATATTAACTTAGAATTGGTATAGATGGCTCCTTCCTGATTCTGTTAAGTACTTTTAGGCTTGGTTGAGTGCAAACAGCTCGCAGGTTTGAGCAGACCATTTATTAGGCAATTTTCCTAACTTTTTCTACGAGAGTTTCCTTATCACTTACTGAATACCCACTGTGTCTTTTTCCCTCAATCACCCGGGAGGAACTATCTATCGTACTGTACTGAAGGGAGTTCCCCCAAGGTCGGGTCGGACCTTTGTATAGTAATTAATTAAGATTTAGATCGCCTGTTAGGAAACCTGCTGGGTTAAGGGAATTTTCAGTGGTTACTATTAAATCATCTTTTTCTAACAGAATAGCCTCATACTTTAAGGTTCTTGAGTTAGTAAGCTACCTTTTTGCTATTTTTCTTTTTTTAACTTAGGATAGTTCTGTCCTGATGAGGTGTGCTCAAAATGAGGTTTCCTCTAAAAGTTATTCTTCTACTTTCTTCTGTTAGCAAAGCAGTTGCTGCGACAGATTGAATGCATTTGGGCCATCCGTGGATTACTGGGTTAAGGATTTTTGATTACGAAGGCTATAGGTTGTCAGTGGCCTCAGTGCTTTCAGGCCATGCCCTTGTTTACACTGATGACAAGGTGGTATTGGAGTGTTATAGGGTCATGGAGAAGACCTTCAATTATCAATTATACGTTTTAAATTTACCCTGGCTTTTAAAGGAATAGGGTACACTATTTTCTCTTTATCACTTCTCTTTCTTTCTTTGACTCCCTCTCTCTTTCTCTCTCTCTCTTTGACTTCTTCTTTTTCTGTCTCTTTCTCCCTCTCCCTGCCTCTCTCTTTCTCTCTCTCTCTGACTGTCTCTTTCTCTCTATTTCTGACTTCCTCTCCCAGTTTCTCTTTCCTCTCTGCTGGTCTTTCTCTGCCTCTGCCAGCCGCTCATGCTGCTGTTCTCCCCTCTCCTTCCCCTTCCCCTCGGGGAGGGACTGGCGGGAGTGGAGCTACTCTTTCTTCCCCTGAGAAGAAAGGAAAGGGGAGTTCTGAATATACATATATATTTTTTACTACCGAGGTTTGTGTGAGGTTCAACCCCCTGAAATTTGCAGAAGGCTCAACCACTCAAACCAGCGGTGTCTTGCCTTGCCTGTCCCGGAAGCCTCAACCCCTCAAACCAGGGATGTCTTGCCTTGCCTGTCCTGGGAGGTTGACCTGTTTCTCCCCATTCCCCACTCTGAAGGTCCTTTGCACACTTCCCACTCATGCTGTCCTCTCTGGCCACTCCCCTAAGGGGGAATTAGGATCGTCTTAGTGTTGGTGTGCCGGTATAAATCCTATGGGAGGATCCACCCTAAGCCATATGAGGTAGCTACGGAAACACAGAGAGGACCCACTCACTCCGTCCAGCAGTAGAACTTATCACCATCCACATGAACAACACCGCAAATAGGGTTGTTTGTGATGATTCATGCACACATACATTCAGCCCTCCAGAATTTGACTACCAAGGAAGTACTTTACTGGCTCCCATGGCTTCTCCTTCCTTGGTCTGTGCACAGAGTCATCGCCACAAGTATGTGAGGATCCTTTACCCCAGGTTGCCAACCAGTTTCTTTCTGTGTTGCTGAGAGCTCGTGTTATTCCTGGCACTGAGTGGGTCCTGATTTCTCACCCCTGAGGCCACCACAAGGGGTGGGACATGCCTTCTCACAAGAAAGAAACACAGACTGCCCCCAGAGGGGAATGTAACCCCAAATTGTTATAAATAAAGTTTTGGTGCTGCAAAAGAAATAACACTCAAATGTAAAATTTTCTTTTTTTCTTCTCAGCAAGGCAATTTACTTCTACAGAAGGGTGCTCCCTCACAGATGGAGCAAAGGTGAGTGCACACCTGGGCCAAGAGAGGGGAAGGGGTTCTTATTCCTGAGCACGTGGCCCCTGCTGCTGTGCGGTTCCCCTATTGGCTAATGTTAAAATGGTTATGGAGTCAGGGTGGAGCAGGTAATTGGAATAAGTCAGGGTGGGGCAGGTGATCAGAATGAGTCAGGGCAGAGCAGGTAATCGGAATAAATCAGGGTGGAGCAGGTGATAGGAATGGAGTGAGTCAGTATGGTGCAGGTGATCAGAATGAGTCAGGGTGGAGCAGGTGATCGAAAAAGGTTGCTTTACGAGGAAGTTAAGTTTAAAAGTAGAAGGCAAAGAATTGAACATACTGACATATTGATTATTTGAAGAGAAATTTAGAACTCATATCTAACATTTAAAAATAAATATTGTTAAAAAGCTTTAGCCCTCATATTGAGCAAGTAATCTTAACTTGCTACATCTGCTAGAAATATAATTCAGATTTTAAAAAATGAAGCAGAGGCCGCGTGCAGTGGCTCACACCTGTAATCCCAGCACTTTGGGAGGCTGAGGTGGGTGGATCATCTGAGGTCAGGAGTCATAGACCTGCCTGACCAACATGGTGAAACCCTGTCTCTACTAAAAATACAGAATTAGCCAGGCATGGTGGCACACACCTATAATCCCAGATACTCAGGAGGCTGAGACAGGAGAATAGCTTGAACCCGGGAGGCGGAGGTTGCAGTGAGCTGAGATCACGCCATTGCACTCCAGCCTGGGCAATAAGAGTGAAACTCTGTTTCAAAATAATAATAATAATAATAATAATAATAATAATAAAAACAAAATGAAGCAGAAATGATTCATATAAATGAGTGAATTTTGTGTTTCTGTATTTATACCTCACTCATGGCTAAAATTTTATAAGATCTCTACGTGCATCTGTCTGTATGTTTATGTATATGTATGTACCCTGTGTAGATGTGATATTTATCTACCTCCAAATGATCTTAAGGTCAATTGACAATCAAGAAATGCAGGAAGAAGGTGAGGCACGGTGGCTCACACCTATAACTCTAGCACTTTGGGAGGCTGAGGCGGATGGATTGCTTGAGGTCAGGAGTTTGAGACCAGCCTGACCAACATGGTGAAGCCCGCCTCTACTAAAAAATACAAAAATTAGCTGGGCGTGGTGGCTGGTGCCTGTAATTCCAGCTACTTGGGAGGCTGAGGCAGGAGAATCACTTGAACCCAAGAGACAGAGGTTGCAGTGAGCTGAGATTGCCCTACTGTACTACAGCCTGGGTGACAGAGTGAGACTCCATCTCAAAAAAAAAAAAAAAAAAAGAAATGCAGGAAGAGTTTTCTGCTCTCTTCTGCCTAAAAGCAGGGCATATTTTTCTTTGTGAAGTTTCTTCCTCCCCACCCCACCCACTCATACCTAGGGATACAGAGTCAAAACCAAGATGAAGTGCATGACCAGACCTTACTAAAATAATCTATCTTCCATTATTTTCTTTATATATTTTCTAGTCACTTCACCAAAATTTACCATCCCCTAAAGCCCAAATCTCTTTTCCTTTGTTACAATAGTGAGTAAGCCCCTGAGTCTGTTTTGTCTAGTATCTGAGTGTTACTTCTTTTCTATGAACTCCCACTGGGTAAATATTAACAATTTGTGTCCTTTCTCCTGATAATGTGTCTTTTGTTAGTTTAATTCACAGGTCCCCAGACACTGAACCTAAGAAGATAGAAGAAAAGTTTTTCCTCCCTGAAAAATTTTACATTATGAAGGTCCCTGTCCACCAATACCCCCTTTACTGGACTGGGTGTGGTGATTATAATTTCTACTCTGGACTCACTCCTTATAATAAGGGAACCTTTCCTTAATTAAAGGTAAATATGCCAATATATGTTAAAGTTGATTGTACAAGTTGGATCGTTTTTGTCATATCCAACTAAATCAGAGTGAAGGGGCCAGGGGTAAAAAGCACTCAGGTACATAGCACCAGATCTAATAATTGAATTTTCCTTAAATCCAGCTGCTGAAAGGGCCTGCTGTAACCGACACCAGTTCTACCTAGTAGCTGCTGAAACGACCTGCTATGACTTTAAGACAGGTCTTGAACCCCTGACCTCAAGTGATTCCCCCACCTTGGCCTCCCAAAGTACTGGGATTACGGGCATGAGCAACCGTACCCAGCCAAGGGCTTTTAAAGGCAGAGGTAAATTTCAGGAGAGTAGAAGTTATGGACAAATCATACATGGATCATACATTGGCTTTGGCCTAAAAGGGTGGGATATCTGGAAGCCGGGGCTTACAGCTTGCAGGTAGATTCTACGATTTTCTGACTTGCAATTGCTTAAGGAAGAGAAGCTTTGTTTAAAAATTTGGGAGCAGCAGAAAAGAATGTTAGCTCTAGCCCCTGGGTGTGACCTTCTTCAGGCCCCCCAGGAGGAAATTTAGAACAAAGAATGGAGGTCAGTTTAGTCCTCAACTCCCCCTTATCTGAGATCTACCTGACAGTAGATCCATTTGGTGAGGGTCCAGGTTGGGGTCCAGGTTTCTGAAATAACAACTCAGGGATATATGTTAAGATGTTTCCTTTAGTTTCTATAGATAAGTCAAACATATTTAGACTCTAACTTTCTTGGCTATGGTTTTAGGCTTCTATTATCTTCTTGCTTAAGAAGTTACTTATTTACCTCTCAGAGTTAGCTAGGTGCCTGGAATTTCCCTTGAGGGAACTCCAGACTTTATTTCCCCATCCTTGGGGTGGGGAGGGGCTGGTCAGGCCCCTAAGAGGGAGTCCCAGCTCAGTCTCATTTATTGTTGAGAAATTCATTTATTAACCATTATCTAACATCCATTTAATTCACATGTTCTTAGCAAGTATTCTTGGATTCTTCAGGATGATTTCATGAGATATTAAATAAAGCAGCCATCATCTTAAGTTAGTTTCTTATTAGGCAAGTATCAAAACTCACAGAAGCAAAAAACCTAAAAAGTTAAACATATGGCTTCTTTATATTGCCATGTTTGACATACATCATGCAATTCATTTTTACTGTATATTTTTTCTTAGATTGAATTTATAATTTTATAATCTTAAATATCCAGCAGAGATAACATAAATGTATTTGACTAGTAAACCCAGGTAGAATAAAAATGCATGTCTGCATTATATTTAATGATAACAACTCTGAAGACAAACCTGTTTTTATTAAGCCAATAATATTAAATTAGTTTTATTTGCTAAAGGTTTTCCCAAATCATATGAACTTGAAAAGCATTTGGGTTTGAGAAAGAAAAAAACCTTTTATCTCAGGGATGTGAGCCCCTTTAAGTTATCAGTCCCAGAAAGGCATTTAAAATATAATAGCAGTTATGTCTCAGTCCCCTGTGAACTAAATAATTATCTCTTGGGGCCACTTGCTCTGTGGGATCTAGACTAACAGACGCCAAGTAGTCATAAAATGCCATACATTCTGTAGTTCAACAATGTATAACCAATCACTAACCAATGTTATTTCTATAAACCATGAGAATTCCTGACAAAAAACATTTGTAATCACCCCCTCTCCTGATTCATTCTTTTTTTCTTGAAAAATTTAAGCCTCTCTTTTGTTCTCTGGTACAATCCCCAAGGCAACTTGGAAGTGTGTCCTGGGTTGCAGTCCTCAATATTTGCTCTTGAATAAGCTCTCTTTAAACTGCATTCTGACTCTTTTGATTATTTTAGGTTGACAGGTTAGTTCCTATATTTCTGAGAGTTTTAGGAATACTTAAAAGCACTTATTTACTTTTATTTTTGAGATAGAGTCTCACTCTGTCACCCAAGCTGGATTGTAGTGGCGCAATCCTGACTCCCTGCAACCTCCACCTCCCACATTCAAGCAATTCTTGTGTCTCAGCCACCTGAGTAGCTGGGATTACAGGCATGCGCTACCACGTCTGGCCAATTTTTTTTTGTATCTCTTGTAGAGATGTGGTTTAGCCATACTGGCCAGGCTGGTCTTGAACTCCTGGCCTCAAGTGATCTGCCTGCCTCGACCTCCCAAAGTGCTGGGATTACAGGAGTGAGCCACTGCACCTGGTGGAGCACGTATTTACTTCTAAACCAATTAGAGCTCTTTAGGTGATTTTGGCAATACTATTTGGAGGTAGATAAATATCACATCTACACAACATACCTGCATATACGTAAACATACAGGCAGATGCACATAGAGATCTTATAGCTTTCATTCTAAAATTTTAGTCATAAGTCAGGTATAAATACAGAAATGCAAAACTCACTAATTTATATGAATTAGTTCTGATTTATGCTTCATTTTTAAAAATCTGAATTATATTTCTGGCAGATGCAGCAAGTTAAGGTTACTTGCTCAATATGACAGTTAAAGCTTTTCATCAATATTTATTTTAAAAGACTTCTAAGATTTTCATTTGCCCTGATATATCATCTCAGAGAGACTGTGAAATAAATTTTGGAGGAGAGACATTTTGGGAATACTTAGTGGCTTTCTGGGTTTCCAAAGCCCATCTGAGTGAGACTGACTTTTCGGGCTTGGACTGTATAGGAGATGGATGAGGCCTGTGGCTGCCGGCATTCTCCCACTTTTCTGGCAACACATGTAATGCAGCAGAGGCAGCCATAATCTCTCTGGGAATATAACTTTATTGGCCTGGAAACCACACCCTCATCCCCAGAGCAGCCACAGCAAGCCCCACCTAAGGAGAGTCTGAGCTCAGACAGGCCTAACCTTGCCTCCACCTGATGGTCTTTCTCTACCCACCATGGTAGCCTAAGACTAAAAACATAATAACTTGGGAGCTCTATGGCCCTGCCCACTGCCAGCCCAGAGCACGGTAGCTCCACTGGGTGGCTAAATCCAAAAAAAGTAATAACAATCACTTCAGTTCAGCTCTCAGGAAGCCCCATCTCTAGGGAAAAGGGGAGAGCACCACATCAAGAGAGCACCCCGTGGGACAAAATAATCTGAACAGCAGCCCTAGAGTCCCAAATCTTCCCTTCAACATAGTCTGCCCAAATGAGAAGAAACCAGAGAAACAATTCTGGTAATACGACAAAACAAGGTTCTTTAACACCCCCCAAAAATCACACTAGCTCACCATCCATTGATGGATCCAAACCAAGATGAAATATCTGAATAGCCAGAAAAAGAATTCAGAAAGTTAACTAATAAGCCAATCAAGAAAGCACCAGAGAAAGGTGAAGTACAACGTAAAGAAATCAAAAACAGATACAGGATATAAATGGAAAAATCTCCAGTGAAATAGATAGCATAGATAAAAAAACAGCCACAACTTCTGCAAATGAATGACACACTTTGAGAAGTGCAAAATGCACTGGAAAGTCTCAGCAATAGAATTGAACAAGTAGAAGAAAGAACTTTAGAGCTTGAAGACAAGGCTTTTGAATTAACCCGATCCGACAAAGACAAAGAAAAAAGAATTTTAAAAAATGAACAAAGCCTCTAAGAAGTTTGGGATTATGTTAAATGACCAAACCTAAGAATAATTGGTGTTCCTAAGAGATCTAAAAGTTTGGAAAACATATTTGAGGGAATAATTAAGGAAAAGTTCCTGGCCTTGCTAGAGATCCAGACATCCAAATATAAGAAGCTCAAAGAAGCCCTGAAAAATTTATTGCAAAAAGATCATCGCCTAAGCACATAGTCATAAAGTTATCTAAAGTCAAGATGAAGGAAAGAATCTTAAAAGCTGTGAGGCAAAAGCATCAGGTAACCTGTAGAAGAAAATCTATCAGATTAACAGCAGATTTCTCAGTAGACACCCTACAAGCTGGAAATGATTGTGGTCCTATCTTTAGCCTCCTTAAACAAAACTATTACCAGCTAAGAATTTTGTATCCAGTGAAACCATGCTTCATAATGAAGGAAAGATACAGTCTTTTTCAGACAAAAAAAATGCTGAGAGAATTTGCCACTACCAAGCCATCATGACAAAAACTGCTAAAGAGAGCTCTAAATCTTGAAACAAATTTTCAAAATACACCAAAGTAGAATCTCCTTAAAGCGCAAATCTCACAGGACTTAGAAAACAACAACACAATTAAAAAAAAAAAGAAACCCAAAGGTATTCAGGCAACAAATAGCATGATGAATAGAATAGCATCTCACATCTCAATACTAACATTGAATGTAAATGGCCTAAATGCTCCACTTAAAAGATACAGAATGGCAGAATGGATAAGAATTCACCAGCCAAGTATGTGCTGTCTTTAAGAGACTCACCTGACACTTAAGGACTCACATAAACTTAAGATGAAGGGATGGAAAAAGATATCACATGTAAATGGACACTAAAAGGGAGTAGCTATTCTTATATCAGACAAAACAAATTTTAAAGCAAGAGCAGTTAAAGAAGACAAACAGGGACATTAACAATAGAAGGACTAATCCAATGGGAAAATATTGTAATCCTAAATATATATGAATCTAACATGGGAGCTCTCAAATTTATAAAACTACTAATTTGATAAATTTATTTAATTTTATAAATTTAAAAATACTAAATTTATAAATTTATAAAAAATTTATAGAATTACTACTAGACCTAAGAAATGAAGTAGACAGCAACACAATAATGGTGGGGTACATTAATACTGCACTGACAGCAGTAGACAGGCCATGAAGACAGAAAGTCAACAAAGAAACAATGGAATTAAACTATACCCTAAACAAATGGACCTAACATATATTTACAGAACATTCTACCCAACAACTGCAGAATATGAATTCTATTCATTAGCACATGGACCAAGTGCTAGACCATGTGATAGGCCACAAAACAAATCTCAACCAATTTAAGAAAATTGAAATTACAGCAAGTGTGTGGTCTCTCAGACTGCAGTGCAATAAAATTGGAAATCAACTCCAAAAGAAACTCTCAAAACCATGCAAATACATGGAAATTAAATAACCTGCTCCTGAGTGATCATTGGGTCAACAATGAAATCAAGACGAAAATTTAAAAGACTTTTGAACTGAATGATAATAGTGACACATCCTATCAAAACCTCTGGGATACTGCAAAGACAGTGATATGGTTTGGCTGTGTCTCCACTAAAATCTCATCTTGAATTTCTATGTGTTGTAGGAGGGACCCAGTGGGAGATAACTCACAGAATCATCGGGGCAGGTCTTTGCTGTGCTGTTCTCACGATAGTGAGTAAGTCTCACAAGGTCTGATGATTTTAAAAGGAGACTTTCGCTGCACAAGCTCTCTTCTCTCTTCTCTTGTCTGCCCTCATGTGAGATGTGCCTTTCACCTTCTCCCACGATTGTGAGGCCTTCCCATTCATGTGGAACTGTAAGTCCATTAAACCTCTTTCTTTTATAAATTTCACAGTCTCAGGTATGTCTTTATCAGCAGTGTGAAAATGGACTAATACAGATGGTGCTAAGAGGAAAGTTCATAGCATTGAATGCCTACATCAGAAAGTCTGAACGAGCACAAATAGACAATCTAAGGTCACACCTCATGGAACTGGAGAATCAAGATCAATCCAAAACCTAACCCAGGAGAAGAAAATAAATAACAAAGATTAGAGCACAACTAAATGAAATTGAAACAAACAAAAATACAAACAATAAATGAAACAAAAAGCAGTTCTTTGAAAACATAAATAAAATTGATAGACCATTAGGAAGATTAACCAAGAGAAGGAGAAGATCCAAATAAGCTCAATTAGAAATGAAATGAGAGCTATGACAACCAATATCACAGAAATACAAAAGATCATTCAAGGCTACTATGAACACCTTTATGTGTATAAACTAGAAAACCTAGAGGAGATGGATAAACTTCTGGAAATATACAACCCTCCTGGATTAAACCATGAAGAAATAGAAACTCTGAACAGACCAATAACAAGCAGTGAGACTGAAATAGTAATTTAAAAGTTAAGAAAAAAAAGTCCAGTGCCAGATGGAATCACAGCCAAATTCTATCAGACATTCAAAGAAGAATTGGTACCAATTCAATTGGCACTATTCCAAAAGACAGAGAAAGAGGGAATACTCCCTAAATCATTCTATGAAGCCAGTATCACCCTAATACCAAAACCAGAAATGGACATAGCACAAAAAAGAAAACTACAGACCAACATCCCTAATAAATATAGATGCAAAAATCCTTGACAAAATACTAGCTAACCAGATTCAACAGCATATCAAAAAGATAATCCACTATGATCAACTGGGTTTCATACTAGGGATGCAGGGATGGTTTAACATGCTCAAGTCAATAGATGTGATAAACCACACAAACTATTAAAAACAAAAATCACATGATCATCTCAATAGATGCATAAAAAGTATTTGACAAAATCCAGCATCACTTTATGATTAAAACCCTCTGCAAAACTGACATAGAAGAGACATACCTTAACATAATAAGAGCCATCTATGACAACATTATACTGAACGGGGAAAAGTTGAAAGCATTTCCTCTGAGAACTGGAACAAGACAAGGATGCCCACTTTCCCCACTTCTATTCAACATAGTGCTGAAGTGCTAGCCAGAGCAATCAGACAAGAGAAAGAAATAAAGGGCATCCAAACTGGTAAAGAGGAAGTCAAACTGTTACTGTTTGCTGATGACATGATCGTATACCTAGAAAACCCTAAAGACTCATCCAAAAACCTTCTAGAATTTGGTAAATGAATTCAGCAAAGTTTCAGATACAAAATTAATGTACGCATTAGTCCTGCTATCCACCAACAGTAGCCCTGCTATCCACCAACAGCAACCAAGCTAAGAATCAAATCAAGAACTCAACCCCTTTTACTACAGCTGAAAAAATAAAATAAAATAAAATAATAATATACCTAACCAAGAAGGTAAAAGACCTCTACAAGGAAAACTACAAAATGCTGCTGAAAGAAATCATAGACAACACAAACAAATGGAAATACATCCCATACTCATTGATGAGTAGAATCAATATTGTGAAAATGACCATACTGCCAAAAGCAATCTACACATTTAATGCAAAATTCCCATCAAAATACCACCATAATTCTTCACAGAACTAGAAAAACAATTCTACAATTCATATGGAATGAAAAAAGAGCCTGCACAGCCAAAGCAATACGAAGCAAAAAGAACAAATCTGGAGGCATTAGATTACCTGACTTCAAACAATACTGTACGGGCATAGTCACCAAAACAGCATGGTACTGGTCTAAAAACAGGCATATAGACCAGTGGAACAGAATAGGGAACCCAGATATAAAGCCAAATACCTACAGTCAACTGATCTTTGACAAAGCAAACAAAAGCATAAAGTGGGGAAAGGACACTAATTCAACAAATGGTGCTGGGATAATTGGCAAGTCACATGTAGGAGAATGAAACTGAATCCTCCTCTCTCACCTTATACAAAAATTAACTCAAGACGGATCAAAGGCTTAAACTTAAGACCTGAAACTGTAAAAATTCTAAAAAAGAACCTCGGAAAAATCCTTCTTGACAGTGGCTTAGGCAAAGACTGTGACCAAGAACCCAAAAGCAGATGCAACAAAGAGAAAGATAAATAGAATGGACTTAATTAAACTAAAAAGCTTCTGCATAGCAAAAGAAATAATCAGCAGAGTAAACAGATAACCCACAGAGTGGCAGAAAATCATCACAATCCATACATCTGACAAAAGACTTATATCCAGAATCTACAAGGGACTCAAATAAATCAGCAAGAAAAAAAAAAAACAAAAAGAAAAACATCAAAAAGTGGGCTAAGGACATGAATAGACAATTCTCAAAAGAAGATACATAAATAGCCAAAAAACATGAAAAAATGCTTAACATCGCTAATTATCAGAGAAATGCAAATTAAAACCACAATACTATCTTACTCCTGCCAGAATGGTCATAATACAAAAATCGAATATGATAGATGTTGGCATGGATGTGGTGAAAATGGAACATTTTTACACTGCTGGTGGGAATGAAAAATTGTAAAAACACTATGGAAAACAGTGTAGAGATTCCTTAAAAAACTAAAAGTAGATCTGCCATTTGATCCAGCAATCCCACTACTAGGTATCTTCCCAGAGGAAAGTAAGTCATTATATGAAAAAGATATTTGCATGTGCATATTTATAGCAGCACAATTCGCAATTGCAAAGATATGGAACCAGCCCAAATGCCCATCAATCAATTAGTGGATAAAGAAAATGTGGTATGTGGTGGCCAAGTGCGGTGGCTCACACCTGTAATCCCAGCACTTTGGGAGGCCGAGGAGGGCAGATCACGAGGTCAGGAGATCAAAACCATCCTGGCCAACATGGTGAAGTCCTGTCTCTACTAAAATAAAAAAAATTAGCTGGGTGTGTTGGCATGTGCCTGTAATCCCAGCTACTTGGGAGGCTGAGGCGGGAGAATTGCTTGAACCCTGGAGGCGGAGGTTGCAGTGAGCTGAGATCATGCCACTGCACTCCAGCTTGGCTACAGAGCAAGACTCCATCTCAAAAACAAACCAAAAAAATGTGGTATGTGATATACATATATATCTCATGAAATAACTACTCAGCCATAAAAAGAAAAGTAATTGGCCGGGCACGGTGGCTCATACCTGTAATCCCAGCACTGTGGGAGGCCGAGGCGGGCGGATCACGAGGTCAGGAGATCGAGACCATCCTGGCTGACACAGTGAAACCCCGTCTCTACTAAAAATAAAAATAAAAAAATTAGCCGGGCATTGTGGCGGGTACCTGTAGTCCCAGCTACTCGGGAGGCTGAGGCAGGAGAATGGCGTGAACCCGGGGGCGGAGTTTGCAGTGAGCCGAGATCGAGCCACTGCACTCCAGCCTGGGCGATAGAGTGAGACTGTCTCAAAAAAAGAAAAGTAATTATGGCATTTGCAGCAACCTGGATGGAACTGGAGACCATTATTCTAAGTGAAGTAACTCAGGAATGGAAAACTAAACATCATATGTTCTCACTCATAACTCAGAGCTAAGCTATGAGGACGCACAGGCATAAGAATAAAACAATGGACTTTGGGGACTCAGAGGAAAGGGTGGAAGCAGGGGTGAGGATAAAAGACTACACATTGGGTACAGTGTATACTGCTTGGGTGACGGATACACCAAACTCTCAGAAATCATCACTAAAGAACTGATTCATGTAACCAAACACCACCTGTTCCCCAAAACCTATTGATATTTTTAAAAAATGCCAATCAATTCAAATAAACCTCAAAAAAAAATTCCTTCTATGGTGAAGGATAAGTTGTTGCATTTGGCTCCACCTACAACCAAGAAAAGAGGTTTAATTGGCTCATGGTTCTGCAGGCCGTACAGAAAGCCTAACAGCCTCAGGAAACTTTCAATCATGGCAAAAGGCAAAGGGGAAGCAGGCAGGCCTTACATGGCCAGAGCAGGAGGAAGAGAGAGGGGGGAGGTGCTACACACTTTTAAACAACCACATCTCCCGATAACTCACTCGCTATATAGTACCAAGTGGGTATGGTGCTGAACCACTTATGAGAACTCTGCCCTCATGATCCAATCACCTTCCACCAGGCCCTATCTCCAACACTGAAAATTACAATTTGACATGAGATTTGGTCAGGGACACAAATCCAAACCATATCTTGGGTTCTCAAAGTTCAATGGCATGCCAAGATAATTCCCTGCTTCTGGGACTCCAGCTGGTGACATATTCAAACACTATGGGGATCAGTCAGTCTGTTTTTCTTAAAACTAAAATAAAAGATCATAGCTATAACATCATACAATCCAAATAGGACCCATAACTCAAACTGTATCTCAAGACTTTCAAAACACATTTAGGACTCAAAGATTACATCACTGCTAAATACTGTCTGAAAGCTAGCTGAGACTCTTTCTTCTCTGAACCCTTTCTACACCTTCTCACCCTCATCCCTCTCTAAGCTAAACTCTTTTTCCAAAACTCCTCAGCTATTCTGGCATTCTTACTATTTAGGTAAAGACACTTGAAACCCAGTAGATATAAAATAAAATCACTTTGACATTTGTGCTGTTTCTTAAAGGCAAAAGATGGAACTCTCATATAAAAGGCACCCTCCCTATACTGAAAGGAAAGGTAACACTCTTCAAAAATGAAGAATTGAGAGCAAGAAAATATGGTACAGACCTTGTTAGAATGATTCTTATCTTTTGAGCCTCCTCACATAATTCAGTCACATTTTCATAGTTAACGATGCATTGTCCAATCCAGTATATTAGTAACTGACTCAAATTTCTTCACCCAAAATTTGGTTCAAAGGCTTCATAAGATTACCTGTTAGAAGAAAAAAAATCTTAATATTTGTTTTATTTCATTTTGTCAGGTATATAATTTTGACTTGTGTTAGCATGTTCTTGCATTGTTATAAAGAAATACATGAGGCTGACGAATTTATAAGAAAAGAGGTTTAATTGGCAGATGGTTCTGCAGGCTGTACAGGTAGCATAGTGCTGGCAACTGCTTCTGGTAAGGCCTCAGGAAGCTTACAATCACAGCAGAAGGCGAAGTGTGGCAGGCATCTCACATGGCAAGAGTGGGAGCAAGGAGGGGGAGGCGGGGTATGTGCCACACTTTACAACAACCAGATCTCATGAGTAGTCACTCACTATTGCTAGGACAGCACCAAGCCATGAGGGACCTGCTCAAACACCTCCCACCAGGTCCCACCTCCAACACTGGGGATTACATTTCAACATGAGATTTGGTAGGGACACAGATCCAAACCATATCAGGATCCAACCATCTTCTTATAAACCAGTGCATTTATATTACTATGTTTTACTCGTGACTAAATTTTTAATACATATTATAAGGTCCTTATTTTCATTTTAATTATTATTATTATTATTATTATTATTATTATTATTATTATTTTGAGACGGAGTCTCGCTCTGTCCCCCAGGCTGGAGTGCAGTGGCGTGGTCTCTGCTCACTGCAAGCTGTGCCTCCCAGGTTCACACCATTCTCCTGCCTCAGCCTCCCCAGTAGCTGGGACTACAGGCGCCCGCCACCACTCCCGGCTAATTTTTTTGTATTTTTAGTAGAGACGGGGTTTCACCGTGTTAGCCAGGATGGTCTCGATCTCCTGACCTTGTGATCCTCCCACCTCAGCCTCCCAAAGTGCTGGGATTACAGGCATGAGCCACCACGCCTGGCCCTATTATTTTATTATTACTGCAACCTCCGCTTCCCGGGTTCAAGTGATTCTCCTGCCTCAGCCTCCTGAGTAGCTGGGACTACAGGCGCGTGCCACCAGCCCTGGCTAATATTTGTAGTTTTAGTAGGGACGGGGTTTCATCGTGTTAGCCAGGATGGTCTCTATCTCCTGACCTCGTGATCTGCCCACCTCGGCCTCCCAAAGTGTTGGGATTATAGGCGTGAGCCACCGTGCCCGGCCAGAATCAGGACATTCTAAGAAAATATTACCCAACAGGAAGAGCAAGGCCAGGAAATGTGGAAATACTGGACCCCAGGTCACGTGGTTATCAGATACCTGGGATAGGTATGGAAGTGGTAGTGCCCTGGGTATCGGGGGAATGAGATGATATGGAAGCACCTGCTGTAATTTGGAGAGAAACAATAAAAGGGATAAGGAGGGAGTGAGGAACGAAAGGCATGTAGGTTCACCAACATCACTAGTTGGCTTCCTGCTAAATAATAACTACCATTTATTAAGGATAATGCAGATGCTGGGCACTGTACTAAGTATGTTACATTGGCTCTCATGTCAATTTCTGCAATACTTCTATGAGTTACACTGTATTTTACCACTTTGTGGAAAACAAAACAACAAAACAGATTCTCAGAGAGGTTACATAATCTCCCTAAAGCTATTAATAGTGAGCCTGGGATGCCAACCAGCCCAATTAAATTCCAAAGTCCTTTTTTTCTCCTTAATATCTTTCATTAAAAAAAGGCAAATTAAATTTTGTGAAGAAGAAAAACTAGCAGAATCTAAGCACCGTTTGTTTTAACCATGGTGATTGAATTAACTCATCAACATTTGCTGAGAATTCATAAATTGTTAATAGAATTGTGGAAGTACTATCACCTTTGCTGATGCCTACTTGAATAGAGCTTCTTAATTTAACTCCAGGGTATTTAAATTGTTTGGCTTCTCAGAAGTTTCATTTAATAGGCCTTGACCTGGAAATTGGCCAAGAGCTCTTGATAATAGAGGTGGCAACTACTCCAAGAAATCTTATTTCTTGTTGTATTAAGAAGCAGAGCAAAAGGAAGACATCACTGAGTACATATTGGTCTATATTGATCCAGCCTATGTGTCTTGTAAATTATTAATGGTTGGTACATATTCCCAGAAAAGTGGAATGAAATACAAATAAACAAAAAAGCTCTTCTTATTTGAGAAGCAAAGTAGCTTTACAGACTGTACAAGATTATAGAAGTCAGATGCTCTGATTTTTTCCTCTATGGTGGCCCATTCTTTTAAAACACTAATGGAACTGAACAGCTCAAGGGCATTATAAGAAAGCAAATGAGGCTCATACTCTAATTAGAAGCAATTTGAACTAAACTACTTACACTGTGCCGAGACTACTTTATAAAATTGAATTTAAAAATGTAAGAAAAAATAATGACTAGTATAAAAAGTACACATGAATATTTACCAGGGATACTAGTCATGCAGGAATTAGGTGAAGTTGTATTTTTATTATCCCAGACAATACATGAATAAATAAGAAAAATAAGAAAAAAAGGGGAAAGTATAAAAACAAGGATCTATTAATATTTCATACCTATTCTTCCCTGGGCAAAATAAATTTATTGTGCTGAACAAAGAATAAAAAGAGATCTTATTTTAGTTTTTAAAAAATAATCCTAAATGTTATATATATATATATATACACACACACATACATACACACACACATATATACACACACACATATATACACATATATATACATATGTGTGTGTGTATATATATGTGTGTGTGTATGTATGTGTGTATATATATGTATATATATTATATATATATTTTTTGAGACAGAGTCTTGCTCTGTTGCCCAGGCTGGAGTACAATGGTGCAACCTCAGCCCACTGCAACCTCCGCCTCCTGGGCTCAAGCAATTCTCCTGCCTCAGCCTCCCAAGTAGCTGGGATTACAGGCACGAGCCACCGAGCCCAGCTGATTTTTTTATTTTTAGCAGAGATGGGGTTTCACCATGTTGGCCAGGCTGGTCTTGAACTCCTGACCTCAGGTGATCCACCTGCCTTGGCCTCCCAAAGTGCTGGGATTACAGGGGTGAGCCACCGCACCTGGCCCTAAATGTTATATATTAATCTTCCTCACATAATCATGATAACTCACAGGTAGTGCTGTTTTTCTTTGATAATATGCACTAGTAGACATGTAAATCAGATGGAATTCTAATGAATTCCTAGACTTTTATAATCAACATTTTAGATATTTAAATGACCTCACAGATTGTCTAATCCAGTGTTTCTCCCTTGTTTTAAAAAAAAAATTATTTTTTATTTTTAAAAATAGAGATGAGGTCTCGCTATATTGCTTAGGCTGGTCTTGAACTCCTGGGTTCAAGTGATCCTCCCACCTTGATCTCCCAAAGTAGTAGAATTATAGGTGTGAGCCACCACACTTGGCCTCAGTGTTTCTCAAAGTGTAGTCCAAAGATTGAGTCAGAATCAGTTGGAATGACTGATAAAAATGCATATTCCCAGAAGTCACACCAAATGAACTAAATGAAAAATCTGTCATTGAAATGTATCACAGCAGCCTGCTAACTTTGAAAGCATACAACATTTTCTGTACTTTCAGACATCAAAGAAAACTCAGAGGAATACGCATGGCCCTCCTTCTCTCATCCTTTGCCCAAGTTCTGAGGATTGGGTTTAAATACCCACTGCATGGACTGCATGCTTGTGTCTCCCTCAGATTCATTCATATGTTGAAGCTGTAACCCCCAATTGATAGTATTACGAGGTGGAGGCTTTGGGAGGTAATTAGGTTTAGATGAGATCATGCAGGTAATGCCACCATGATATGATTAGTTCCCTTAAAGGAAGAGGAAGAGACACTAGAGCATCCTCTCTCCATCCTGCAAAGATATAGCAAAAGGCAGGCTGTCTGCAAGCCAGGAGGAGGGCCTTCATCAGAACCAGGCCATTCTGGCATCCTGATCTTGAACTTCCCAACTTCCAGAACTGTGAGAAATAAATTTCTATTGTTTAGGCCACCTAGTCTGTGGTATTTTGTTATGGCAGCATGAGCTGTCTAAGACATACATCCTGGGTTTGCCTTCAGTATCATTTTCTACAACATGTTTTTGCCTTTCTTTTTATATCTGGTATCCATAAAATGATTATTATAAAATGAATTTTTATTGCACCTATTCCTATATCTTATCAGTGGGAGAATGTTAACATTTTGTAGGAATCAGACATATAGGCATTTGGGATTTGTAAGGCCCATGCCTGTCAGATTTTAAGTTTTATGAAGTTCATACGTATCTCTGAAAGTTAATCATGTGTCATCTTTTAAACCCAGCAAGGGGCACAACCAAAATTTAAACTCGGTCCTGGCTCAGTGCCTTTTCTTTTTATTTATGTAATGCCATCTCTAGCAACAGTGAAAATATTATACAACTTATGTCACATAAACAGTCTTAATGATATTTGAATTAAAAAACAACCACAGCTATGAAGGTCTACAGAGTTATTTTTGTTGTTTTAAATTCAAGTGAATAAATCAGAAAAAAAGATGTTAATGCTTTCATAGAGAAAGACTAGAAAGGATCTTAAAACTAATAAAATTTGACCTCCATATTTTACAAATGAGAAAACTGAGGCTTACGTGTATTAAGTTACTTCTCCAAGATAATACAATGTACAATCGCAGAATCATATCCAGACATAAGACTGTTGACTCATGGCCTTCTGCTCTTTTCTCTGACCCTGTTATTCAGGAGTATTGTCCATGGACTAGTAGTATAACATAATCTAGGAGCTAGACCAATACTTCTCAAACGTCAATGTACATGATGAATCTACTGGCATTAAAATAAAAAAGTTGATTCTGATCTAGTAGGGCTGGAGTGAGGTCTGGGGTGCTACATTTTTATTAAGCTTCCAGTTGCTGTGTAGTGAATTCTTATAGTTTTATGTTGCCTCAGTATCTGTTTTGAGTATAAGTTGGACTTTCTCATACCAAAAGCAGGACTTGGTCACCCTTGATCCAGTTTCTAGTTTTCTTCTTTTTCCCACTTCCTCAGATTGATGGATCCAGATGTCTGCCTTTTGTAACCACCTCCTGGTGACCATGTCTTTGTGGTACAGCTAGATACAACTGACTTTACTTGCCCCACAGACTTCACACCCTGCGTGGACTGTGCATATATGCCACAGTGACCACCTCTCAGTCACAGTGTGACTCCATGGAGCCAATGCCTGCTTGCTTTAAATTCACCAATTAGAATTCCCCTTGAGCAACCAGCTTGGGTAGAACCTTAGACTCCAATACAGGCTTTGGGCCACAGGCCCTTATCTCTCTCCTGCTCCCTACCTGTTTTCTGTTGGCCCAGGGAGGCATGTTATCTTCTTCTCCTGGATCTGTGAGTAATATTCTGCTTCTGTTGTCTTGTGTGTTCTATTGTGCTGCCTCCTCTGTATCTTACTTGATGAGCATATCCAGGCCCAACTCTCTTAGAGGGTGGCTATCTTGATTAGAATAAACTGGACACAGATCAGACAAGAGTCACAAGGGTGTCTGCCAGTATAAACAAGTTCCTGTGAAAGGGGTACTTGGTTACATGTTGGACATTTGGACATTAGGCCATTCACTAGGACAAAGAAGTATCCTGTGGGCCTGGTGTGGTGGCTCATGCCTCTAATGCCAGCACTTTGGGAGGCCGAGGTGGTTGGATCACAAGGTCAGGAGATCGAGACAATCCTGGCCAACATGATGAAACCCCGTCTGTATTAAAAATACAAAAATTAGCTGGGTGTGGTGGTGCGTGCCTGTAGTCTCAGCTACTCAGGAGGCTGAAGGAGGAGAACCGCTTGAACCCAAGAGGCAGAGGTTGCAGTGAGCCGAGATCACACCACTGCACTCCAGCCTGGGGACAGAGTGAGACTCTGTCTCAGAAAAAAAAAAAAAAAAAAAAAAAAAAAAGGCATTCTGTGAAAGGTTCACTGTAAAGATCAACCCATGCTGTCCGGGCAGGGCTACAATTTATAGCCATTCTCCAGAGACAGAGTTCAAGACCAAATTAAATGAAAAAAATCACAACATGTTGTCCATGCTGCTGATCCTCAGGACACAATGAGTGATAACAACATGTTGATGGGTGAATGGAGACCCCTTTCTCCTGGAGGATCACTTTCCTCCAGCAATAGGAAAAGGAACGGCTCTGGTTGCAACTGAGGCTTAGGTCTAAATGTTGTTCAAGAGATGGCTTCTCTAAGCTTACATTCTTCAGTCAGCTTCATCAA
Source organism: Homo sapiens (assembly GCF_000001405.40). Taxonomy (NCBI): domain Eukaryota; kingdom Metazoa; phylum Chordata; class Mammalia; order Primates; family Hominidae; genus Homo; species Homo sapiens. The sequence goes on along the minus strand of NC_000007.14, from coordinate 94,859,622 downwards.
TTTAGACATACTTGAGAACTAAAAGATTAATAATTTGATTCTTAATTGTGAAAGGTATTTACTCCCTAGTTGCCATAAATGGCTAATGAAAAATATAGGTGGATTGATAATTATTTACATTTGATGAATAAAATATATTAAAAGGCTTTTAATAAAAAAGAGTTAACACCCCACTTTACCACCAAAGATATGTGTGACTCCTAAATTGAAAATACATCTCAGGGCTAACTTAGTGTTTTTTACAAAGAAGGCCTAGGAATAAAGAACACAGATGATCATTTAAGGAGGAAAACCCTTGCATTCATGGTCATAATTTTTAAAAAGTCATGAGTAGGTGGGTTTGAACACCATGTACTCCTTATTAACAAAGATCAGACATTTATTCAGCAAACATTTATTTGATGCCTACCATGAATCAGAATGTACAAAAGTACCTACAATTCAAATAGGAGCCAGATCCTAACGTCTAGAAACATACCAGAAAAAAGATAAACAATCCTATATAAAATGTAAATATTTCTTGAAGAATATTGAGTGGGACAGCAGTAATAATTAGTAATTAAAAAGTATGTTACCTTTTCAAGATGATTTGCACATTAGTTCATTAACCCCATTGTGAGAAAAATAAATCTTGAATTTCTTTTAATAGCAAGAAAAATGAGGTCAAGCAATTGTGTGATTTACTCATAGCAACCAAGAGGGTAAACTAGTGTTAAAAAAATTATCCAAAACTTGGAAATCGGGATGAAACAGTATGACTATCCAATATAATATAGAATGTTGTATATAAGGCCCACCCAGGGATTATTTTATAAAGTGAATGTACCTGTGACTAACTTTGCTATATTACTATCTGATTAGAGTCCAGGTACTGTGAATAACATGCTAACTTATAGATTTTTATTTGATAGAAATGGCATCTACAAAGGATATGGTTTAACTGTCCTGTAGGACATTGAGCAGTTTGTATTTAACATCCCACTTAACCACCCCTGGCCTCCAAAATGCCTGAAAGTAAACAGTTTCTCAAAATGGTCTTTGAAGGAGCTTTATCATCTTACTGGCTCCCTTGTTAATGACAATATATCTATGACAAATATCTATATTTGTGTGAAAATTACTTTAACATTTTTTGAAAATTATACTTCAATACTAGGCCAATGACTCAGAAATTTATTGAACTTAATAATTATGACAATTATCCTTGGTCAGATAGTGGAAGGTGAAAAAGAGTTATGTTTTTATAATTAAAAAAATTAAAAAATAATGACAATTAAAATGATATTATTAGTCTGAAGTTCAATAAGAAAAATAAAGTTTCTTGATTAATTGAGCAACCACTGATTACCCTTTGTATTCTTATAGCATTGTCTGCAACCCTAATTGTTTATTTAATATAGATTAGTGACTTTTTATTATATAATCTCTCTTCCTAACCACATTTTAAAATATCATACTTGTAGGCCAGGCACGGTGGCTCACGCCTGTGATCCCAGCACTCTGGGAGGCCAAAGCAGGTGGATCACCTGAGGTCAGTTCGAGACCTGCCAACATGGCAAAACCCTGTCTCTACCAGAAATACAAAAATGAGCTGCTCATGTTGGCACTTGCCTGGTCCCAGCTATTTGACTTGGGAGGCTAAGGCATGAGAATCGCTTGAACTCGGGAAGCGGGGGTTGCAGTGAGCCGAAATCGCTCCACTGCACTGCAGCCTGGGTGACAGAGTGAGACTCCATCTCAAAAGAAAAGAAAAAATTATACTTGTTTCCATCCTTCAGGATGCTAAATGAGTAAGCATGGTAGATTCTCAATATTTATTTTGTAAAGAAACTGAATGAAATATATAAGGCATTAATGTGCACAAAGCCAATATGCCCAAATTGGTATTTACTGAGTAAGTTTTAGAAAATTCTAACAAAATATAACTGGCTGTAAGGGAACCGGAAAAGAGAAATGGTAAGATTCTCATGCTTCATACACATGTAAGTTTATATGCCCCATCTTGTTTTAAGAATAATTTAAGCTTTCAAGAACAAACAAACAAACAAAAACTTAAAAATATATGTTGCATGGTAGCATATATCAATTAAAAGCCAAGTGAAAGAACAAAGAAAAGAAAGTGATTGGCTCAACATGATACAAGTAACCAGGGTTCCAAATGAAAAATTGATCACAGTGAGGGTAATAGACTTCCTAGGTTTACTGTGGCTATGTACATAATGATAAGGAAAAGCTAAAAAAAAAAAAAAAAGCAGCAGAATAATTATTTCTTGACTTTCGAAATCATCATATTGCTGTTAGAACAGAAACATTCTATATAACTTTTTTCTCTGTCCTTCTAAGCCCTATATCAGTATATACAGTAAATTACATTCAATATATATTATTAAGTTACTAGGCTTTTGTGATCCCACAGTTTGTGGAGGTCCCATTTATTCCTTTAAAATAGTTTAGGAGATAAAGGTGACTGGACAGAAGAACATTTGTCAAATGGTCTCACAGTACTCACAATAAAATCAATCATTCATAAGCAGTCAAAATACTCTTCCAAGCCTTATTTTCAGAAGAGCTTAACATGCTGTACATAGCTATCAAATATGAAACATTCACAGCCCTAAAAAAAAGATGATAGGCAACCCAAGATATCAAGCATATTTAATTAAACAGACTTCATGAAAAATTCAAGTAAACAATTGTGTTAGAGCTAGCAGATAACCTTGTATAGTCTTACTCATTTGATGTTCATTTGTTCACAAAGACATGGTTTTTCTTGTGGTTTGTTATAATGCCAAGTTGCATGCAGGGAACAATCATAACAGTTTTGCAATTTAGCTAAATATTTGTACAGCTTTATTATAATGTTGGTTTTTGTGAATCTATTGATTAAATACCTCTCTTGCAGCATTTGCTTAGTTTTTCTCCTTTTATGTCACAAATGGAGTCAGCTCATTATTCTCACAAATGCTAAAGAAAAATAACGCTGGTATCTCAAAACAAAAGAGACTTCAGGAATGATTCAGGATTCAGGGTATCATTTACTATCATACTGTTATACTTCAACCCAAAGCAGACACTTAACCCCCATCTTTACCCAGTCTTAATGCTCTCCTGATTTTGCCCTACAGGACCATGTTGGGGAACTGTTTGAAAAATGATGAAATGGAGAAGATAATTTGTGCATCCAGTTGAAAGGTAGGCAGATGAGAAGTAGTGTATGTATGTGTGTGTATTCATATATATTTATGTTACATTTGCCTGGAATGTGAAGAACCAAGTTGATATCATAGTGGATATAAAAGAATGTTATTTCCTGACCGGGAACAGTGGCTTACGCCTGTAATCCCAGCACTTTGGGAGGCCAAGGCGGGTGGATCACTTGAGGTCGGGAGTTCGAGACCAGCCTGGCCAACATGGTGAAAACCTGTCTCTAATAAAAATACAAAAAATTAGCCGGATGTGGTGGAGGGTGCCTGTAATCCCAACTTGGGAGGCTGAGGCAGGAGAATTGCTTGAACTCGGGAGACAGAGGTTGCAGTGAGCCGAGATCACACCATTGCACTCCAGCCTGGGCAACAAGAGTGAAACTCTGACACAAACAAACAAACAGAGTGTAATAGTGTAGATTCTGGTTAGAAAGATAAGATACAAATAAGAAAAATTATCAACCATGATATGGTTTGGATTTGTGTCCCCACCCAAATCTCATGTCAAATTGTACTTCCCAATGTTGGAGGAGGGGCCTAATTGGAGGTGATTGGATCATGGGGGCAGACCTCTCCATCGCTGTTCTCATGTTAGTGAGTGAGTTCTCACAAGATCTGGTTGTTTAAAAGTGTGTGGCAAATTTCCCCTCTCTCTCTTCCTCCTTCTCCAGCCATGTAAAACGTACCTGCTTCCCCTTTGCCTTCTGCTATGATTGTCAGTTTCCTGAGGCCTCCCCAGCCATGCTTCCTGTGCAACCCATGGAACTGTGAGTTAATTAAACCTCTTTTCTTTATAAATTACCCACTCTCAGGTAGTTCTTTATAGTAATGTGAGAATGAACTAATATAAACCATTTGATAAATTAAAGTCAATCATTTGATTTGAAATCCATGGAGAACCTTAGAAAAATCACCTTGCTATCAGTGTTTGTGTTGATAGAAACGTTCTGTTATTAATGACCTGTCTTGCAAAAACATTGCTTACAAAGTTTGAGTGAAGTTTTATTAAAAGTTAGAAAGATTCATGGCCTGGGCAATATGGCAAAATCCCATGTCTTTACAAAAAATACAAATACAAAAATACAAAAAAATGCCAGGAATGCTGGCTTGCACCTGTAATCCCAGCTACTTGTGAGGCTGAGGTGGGAGGAGCACCTGAGCTTGGGAGGTCAAGGCTGCAGTGAGCCGAGATCACACCACTGTACTCTAGGCTGGGAGACAGAGTGAGACTCTGTCTCAAAAAAAAATTTGGAAATGTTCATTAGATATAATAACAACAGTCTATTTTTTCAATATTTCATTCACAGGATAAAAAATCTTCAGCATGTTCCAGAGTAGTACTCAGTTAGCCAGCTGCACTGACCTCTGCCACCCAGGTCCCTTTGCTCTTATGGCAATATCCCATCTCTACCATCTCATCTCATCTCCTGGTGACAGTCATTGTAGAGTCCCTGTTGACTACACTATCCTCTGCTGGTGTAGCCCAATATTTCCTTGTCATGCCTTTCTTTTAGGCATCTAGCTCATCAACAGTCCTTGGGGATTTATTTAACATTTAGTGAGCATCAATATTGCCAGGCACTGGTGATAGCCACTTAGCCACTTTAGATCTTTTTAAGAGAAACATTTAAGATTTCTTTTACTCCAGTTGATGTTCTCAGCAATTCAGTGTACCTTGCAGTTTTAGTGCTTGAGGTGCTAAAGGAAGAACTTTCACGAAATCTTGCCACTTGGGTGCCTGATCTATTGGGAGCTCCTTCTGGGACTAACCCCTTGTTTTATAATTCAACCCCATCTACAAACATTGTATTCAATAGTGTGGTCACTGTAACTCCAAACACCACTCATCCTAAATCTTACTATGGTGCAGGGTTCCAGATTAAAAACCCAGAGGAGAGGGCCATATGGCAAGTAATAATAAGGGTACAGTTTGAAAAGTACTAGCTCCTAAAAGATGGGCCTTGAGAAAAAAGCAAAAGGGGCAATAGGTAAGAAATATAAAAAGGGCAATGCATCTCGGTAAGAAATATTAAGAAACATTAAGAGAATGATGTTTCATTTCATCTAGAAGACAAACTCGGCAAGATTTCATGAAAGTTCTTCCTTCTCTTTCTATTTATTTAAGAATTATACTTCAGAAATGGTTGTCACCGAGACCCGCAGTAACATGTATATTAGATTTTTTTTTTTTTTGAGACAGTCTCGCTCTGTCACCCAGGCTGGAGTCCAGTGGCACGATCTCGGATATATTTGAATGTTTTAAGAATTTTTTTTTTTCTGATTTGGCTTATAATAATGGGGACTGTTTTTGCCAATTAGGTAATATGTAAGATACTTACAAATAGAATGAATTAAATATGAAGCTCTGAGGTTTCAACAAAAGTATATTTATGGAGAACAGTATGGAGGTTTCTCAAAAAACTACAAATAGAACTACCATATGATCCAGGAATCTTACTACTGGGCATTAATCCAAATGAAAGGAAATCAATATATCAAAGAGACATCTGCACCTCCATGTTTACTGTAACACAATTCATAATAGCCAAGATATGAAATCAACCTAGTTGTCTAACAACAGATGAATAGATGAAGATATGCTGTAAAAACACCATGGAACATTATTCTGCCATGAAAAAGAATGAACTCCTGTCATTGGCAACAACACAGATGGAACTGGAGGATATTAAGTAAAATGAGTCAGGAACAGAAAAGTAAACACCTTATGTTCTCAATCCTATATGGAAACTAAAAAAAGTTGATTTCATGAAAGTAAAAAGTAAAACAGAGGATATTAGAGTCTAGGAAGGGCAGGGAGAAGAGAAGGATGGGGGAGACATTAGAGGATACAAAATTAAAGATAGGAGAAATAAGACTAGTGTTCTATAACACTGTAGGAAAATTATAGTTAATATAAAGTTTCAAATAGCTAGAAGGAATGTGTTAGCCCATTTTGCATTGCTATAAAGAAATACCCAAGGCTGCGTAATCTATAAAGGAAAGTGGTTTATTTGGCTCACAGTTCCGCAGGCTGTACAAGCATGACACCAGCATCTGCTTGGCTTCTGGTGAGGCCTCGGGGAGCTTACAATGATGGCAACAGCATATCACATGGCGAGAGAGGGAACAAGAGAGGGGGAGCAAGAGAGGTAGTGGTGGGGGTCCCAGACCTTTTTTAACAACCAGATCTTGTGGCAACTCATTACCATGGGCAGGGTACCAAGTCATTCACGAAGGATCCTCCCCCACGACCCAAACACTTCCTACCAGACCCCCACCCAACACTGGGGGTCACATTTTAACATAAGATTTGGAGAGGACAAATATCCAAACTATATCAAGGAGGATACTGAATGTCTCCAACACAAAGAAATGATACATGTTTGAAATGATGGAGATGCTAATTACCATCATCTGATCACTATACATTACATGTATGGAAAAATTACTGTATACGCCATAAATATGTACAATTATTACGTGTCAGTTTAAAAACTTTTTTAAAAATTTATAAAATACAGCAACGTTGATGGAAAAAATCACGCATAGTCTTACAAACACTAAAATATTCTGATATTTAGAAAAAAATTCTAACATTTTAAAATTTAGTCTTTTTGATTTAATAGTTATTTGAAATGTATATGCTCCATAAGCCAATTTTAGTAAAAATCTTCAATAAGCTAGGTTATAAACTATATTATATATAATATGTGTTTGTTTGTGTGTGTATGGCATGTATACTATAAACGATATACTGAAAATGTATCCTTTACAGTATACATGTATACTCTAAAGGATACACTGAAAATGTATCCTTTATAGTATACATGCTTAAAATTTTTTATACAATTTAAGGCATCATTTAAAAATATTCAAGAGAGTATATCATTTTAAAACATTCTTTTAGAGAGCACATTAATAAAAATATTTGAAGACTACTGTCCTAAAAGGCCTCTCTCCTCTCAATTTCCACTTCAGTTTTAGGCTTTGGAAGTGAATTGCTATAGAGGCTCTACTCTCTGAGGAGTGAGTGACCAACTATGGTTTTTCTGACTTGTTACCAAGAGGCTAGGCAATCTTTTCCCCAAGAAGCTACTTTCTATTTCCCCTGGAGAATGAGGCATATAACCCCTATTTTTACTTAGGCCTAGAACTGGAGGCTATTCTTACTAACATAAAGCTGGTTTTCCATACCTAAGTTTCCTAAGCTGCATAGAAGTTGGCAAAGTCAGGGCTCAGAATGATTCTTTTAGTCAAGCAAATATTGCATTGGATATATTTATATAAAAGATGTTGTTTATCTGAAATGCACTTTAAACTGAGCATCATATATTTTTATTTGCTTAATCTGACAACCCTACAAACAGATCTGCTAAATATCAATATTATATTTACTGGTTGCCTGACGGCTGTATGCTATTGAAAGGCAGGATATTTTGTTACTATGGTTGTAGTTTTACTAGAATATCCAAAGGGACATTTCAACAATGTTTTTTTTTTAGGGAAAAGTAAATAAAGACAAATGTTATAAGCTCCAAATAATGCTTGTGTTGGGGGAAGGAAAAGCAGTGATTTTGTTCTTTCACAGCAAACTCTTTGCCTTTCCATGAAGAAGGAAGTTGAAAGGAAGTTCCCTGCTAAGCTGTTCAACTGTTGATCATGTTCCCCCACATTTGCCACCATATAAGAGGTTCTACAAAGCTCCTTGAGAGCTTTCAGCCACCTCCTAAGTCCCTGATAAATTGGTGAAAACAGCCAGCCTTCTAATTTAATTGCCTTGTTAGTTTGCGTTTCTCAGATGTCAAAGCAATCAATCTGATACCAATGCTTTGAGGCCCTAAGCTACAGTTATAGATAGCTAGGTTTATACGCCAGGTCTGGGCTGTGCAGTTTCCACGTGGAATATCTCTCGATTTTTTTTTTTTTTTTTTAGACGGAGTCTCACACTATTGCCCAGGCTGGAGTGCAATGGTGCGATTTCAGCTCACTGCAACCTCTGCCTCCTCGGTTCAAACGATTCTCCTGCCTCAGCCTCCCGAGTAGCTGGGATTATAGGCACATGCCACCATGCCTGGCTAATTTTTGTATTTTTAGAAGAGACAGGGTTTCACCATGTTGTCAAGGCTGGTCTCAAACTCCTGACCTCAGGTGACCCACCTGCCTCGGCCTCCCAAAGTGCTGGGATTACAGGCATGAGCCACCGTGCCCAGCCACTCTCTTGGTCTTTCTAAACAGAAGACAAATTCAGCAGGAATCTGTTTGGGCATGATGATTGTGATACACACTTTTTGTTACCCCTCTTATCTAATACTTACAAATGGGCAAATGATAAGCTGAGCTCTTGTAAGTCTCAGTATGTTAGTTTTCTAAGCATATGGGGTTTGCTTATTAATGTGTCTTTTTTTTTTTTTTTTTTTTTTTTTTTTTGAGACAGGGTCTCACTCTGTGGCCCAGGCTTGAGTGCAGTGGCGCAATCACAGCTCACTGCAGCCTCAAACTCCTGGGCTCAAGTGATCCTCCCACCTCATCCTCCCGAGAAACTGGGACTACAGGCGCACGGCCCCATGCGTGGCTAATTTTTGTATTTTTTGTAAAGACAGGATTTCGTCATGTTGCCCAGGCTGGTGTTGAACTCCTGGAATTAAGTGATCCTCCAGCCTCAACCTCCCAAAGGGCTGGAATTACAGGCGTGAGCCATTGCACTCAGCCTATTAATGTATTTTTAAAACTGGGCCTTAGGAGAACATCAACTACATTGATAATCATTGATTTCATGAGACACTAGCATCACTGGGCTAGCCTTCTTTGATTGATTTATTTCCATTTAATTAATTAATTAGTTCATTTACAGATTTAGAGCAAGTCTCAGAGATATGTACTTATTCTCAAATTTATTTCATCCAGCCCAATGGTAGTCTATTTTCTCCAATTTTTGAAGGATTTAAAAAACAAAATATTGCATTCAGGTTTTAGCTAAGGTTGCCTTTTAAATTAATTTTATTATTTTATTTTGGCTCTCATAAGAAAGGAATGAGACTGTCCAAATACTTTGCTTTTATTTTGTACCTAGTATAGGTAGATTGCAATGAATACATTTGCTTCTTCTTTTATTTCTTTATTTTAGGACAGGGAATATATTTTTAGTTCTGATTTGGGACAAAAAGACTTGTTTCTGGATTTCAGGGTGTTTGTGGACATTAACAGATGGTTTTAGCAGTTCTCATCCTCATTTTCCTGGCCCTAGATAATTGACTAGTCCACTAAATAGTCTATTTTGCTGAAAATAAACTGAACAAATAGTTCCATATAAAAATACCTTTGGCCCGGCCGCCCCATGGTCTGGGAAGTGAGCAGTGCCTCTGCCCGGCCACCCCACCGTCTTGGAAGTGAGGAGCACCTCCACCGGTGGCCGCACCGTCTGGGAAGTGAGGAGTGCCTCTCCCAGCGGCCCAACCGTCTGGGAAGTGAGGAGGCTTCTACCAGCCGCCACACTGTCCGGGAAGTGAGGAGCGCCTCTGCCTGGCCGCCCCACCGTCCGGGAAGTGAGGAGCGCCTCTGCCTGGCCGCCCCACCCTCTGGGAAGTGAGGAGCGCCTCTGCCCACCGCCACACTGTCTGGGAAGTGAGGGGTGCCTCTGCCTGGCTGCCCCACTGGGGAGTGAGGAGGGCCTCTCTCAGGCTGCAGCACCTTCTGCGAAGTGAGGAGCGCCTCTGCCCAGCTACCCCACCATCTTGGAAGTGAGGAGCACCTGAGCTTGCAGTGAGCTGAGATCGTGCCACTGCACTCCAGCCTGGGCAACAGAGCAAGACTCCGTGTCAAAAACAAACAAACAAAAAAGGAAGTGAGGAGTACCTCTGCCCCGCCGCCCCACCGTCTGGGAAGTGAGGAGCGCCTCTGCCCTGCCGCCGCACTCTCCGGGAAGTGAGGAGCGCCTCCGCCCGGCCGCCGCACTCTCCGGGAACTGAGGAGCGCCTCCGCCCTGCCGCCGCACTCTCTGGGAAGTGAGGAGCACCTTGCCCTGCCGCGGCACTCTCCGGGAAGTGAGGAGCACCTCTGCAGGGCCGCCCCACCATCTTGGAAGTGAGGAGCATCTCTGCCTAGCCACCCCACCGTCTGTGAAGTGCGGAGCACCTTTGCCTGGCCGCCACACCCTCTGGAAAGTGAAGAGCGCCTCTGCCCGGCCGCCCCACCATCTCCGAAGTGAGGAGGGCCTCTGCCCCACCGCCACACCGTCTGGGAAGTAGGAGCCCCTCTGCCCCGCGGCTCCACTGTCTGGGAAGTGCAGAGCGGCTCTGCCTTGCAGCTGCACCATCTGGGAAGTGAAGAGTGCCTCTGTCCTGCTGCCATGTCACCCTCCAGGTGTGAAGTGGCAGCCTTGTGTGTGATCTTTCTGCCCTCCCCAAGTTTGCATCTTCAACAGTGAAGTTTACTTTTAAATGGAAAAAGATTGAAAAAAAAAATTGGAAACCGTTGTGATTTTTTGATTTTATAAAGCAAAGTCTTTGAAAATGCATCATTCAATTGGCTGTAGGTAAATCACGAAGACCATTTAACACCGTGATTACAAGGAAAATAGCATTATATGACTGCATACTTCATTTGTGTCATCATGCTAAATGAAATAGTTGTGCTATAACCTTGACAAACTAATTCACATAATTCAAAAGAACAAGATGCTACACTTTTGCTGGATAGTTGCTAAAAAGATGATTAATAGCCATGGGTCTTGTGAGATAGCTATCTAATGTGGTTTCTTCTATGTTGATATGTTGAAATTAAGAGTGATTTGATATTAAAACAGACCATGTTTGTATCTTCAACCAGATAATGGTTGAAAATGATCCTTAATTATCTCCCATAAGCTTAAACTTAACCTTTCTTTATGCCCTTCTGTTAAAAGTCTGTGCTGATCTATCTGGTAAAGTCTGTGTAGTAGTTTACTTCAAAATATTTTGGTATGTGATGCATTTGTATGTGATGTTTGTGAGGGTTTTAAACTTAATCTACAACCTGGGAGCCTTTGGGTAAATTTAAGGAACCCTATGTAGTGATCCACATTTCAGTGGTAGCAATATTAAAAGCAAATTTTCATTGGCAAACTGAGTTATGTTTAAGACTTATGGTTTTGATAGAGTTAGAAGATAACTTTTTAAAAGGTAAAATTATACTTCTCATACAAATATAAAATGAACACATGCAAATACATTTTAATACATTAATTAATGTAAGAGACAGTAAAATGTCACAACCAGTTCAAAAGAGAATTTATAGAAAATACATATATAAATACAATACAATCAGAAATACAGATTTTTTTTTTTTTTTTTTTTTGAGATGCAGTCTTGCTCTTGTCACCCAGGCTGGAATGCAGTGGCACGACCTTGGTTCACTGCAACCTCCACCTCCCGGGTTCAAGCGATTCTCCTGCCTCAGCCTCCAAAGTAACTGGGATTTTTTTTTTTTTTTTTTTTTTTGTATTTTTAGTAGAGACAGGGTTTCACCACATTGGCCAGGCTGGTCTCGAATTCCTGACCTCATGTCATCTGCCTGCCTCAGCCTCCCAAAGTGCTGGGGATTACAGGCGTAAGCCACTGCACCCAGCCAGAGATGTTTTAAATAAATGCAGAAATAGCCAATATCCATGGAATAATAAATTATTGAATTCTTCCCCACGAAATCTGTTTGCATTGTTATGGAGTCATTGGCATTACTGTCTGATTTCTACAATTTAGTTATAAAATAGTTCAAAACATAATGAAAGATACAGACAGCTAACTAGGCAGAGTCCACTAGACAGAGGGTTCAGCAATCTTTTTTTGCCCATTTCAAAGAATTTCACCATTTCTCCAGCATGAATACAATTTCAGTACTATAATACCCTTCATATGAACCAGGAATAAGAATACAGCAGGCATTCTTATTTCAGTAATGAGAGTAAATTTTATTGAACTCATACTCATTAGATAAAATTATAAACTCTAGAAAAAAAATTGTAAAACAATGATTTGAAGTCATTGGAGAGGAAATGGGAGGGGAGAAGTAGGCAGAAACTGAAGGGGATTTGGCTCTTTAAAGAACAGAAATGTGTTGAGTAAGAAATTTATTTATAGGAGTTTTCCCCCAGGGCACTTCCAAGACCTCTAGCTAAGGTGGCTAAAAAATTAAGCAGTCTTATTGGTTTTCAGGATCAAAGCATGAAGTTCCAGGTTGTAGAGTAGCTGGAAACTGAGAGATGATATTTCAGAAAAGAAAGAGGCATAGAGGAGACACCCCCAAATATGCACACACATTTCCCAAAGGGTCCACTCTTAAGTGGCACAAACCAGGGGCTTGACTACAAAGAACCTGATGAAAAGAAACACCTTAACGACTAAAAATGATGAATAGAAATTTTAACTTCTACTCAGTCCATGGGAAACAGAGTTTTGAGTTTGAACTATGCAAAGTTCAAAGTTAGAGGAGATTAGTAAGCACATTTTGTTTTCCACTGAAATGGCCACTTCTTAGGAGTAACGACTATGTCCCTGGACTATGAATTTTTCATAAACCTAAGAACAAACTCAAAGTAAACCACCCTAACAAAGTAAAAAATCAAACTTCCACAAGTTCATTAGACTATTTGTGAGAACAAAATCAAGGCTCTTCAAAATAAGAAAACCTAGAGTCTCTACAACACATCTCCAAAACACCTAAGACATAATAAAAATTAATAGAAATGAGAAGAAACATGAAAATATAACCACTGACAAGAGAAAAAGTAGATAATAAAAAGTTATCAAGATGAGCTACCTGTTAAAATTAGCAATGATGTTATTACATAAATGTATATGTATAATATTGTTATGTTACATATACATTACATGAATATGCTTAAGAGCATAAAGATAGTCACAAAGAATAAATAAATGGGAACTATCAACAGAGAAGTAGAAACTATAAAGACAAACCAAGTAGAATTCTAGAAATGTAAAGGCTAATAACTAAAATTTAAAAAAAACTGTGAGTTTAGTAGCAGTTGGAAGATGAAAAATTATTGGATTAGTAAAATTGAAGACACATCAGTAGAAATTATCCAACTGATAAACAGAATAAAATATTTTTAAACTAGATTATGGTAAGAATTGTACAACTTAGAAGTTTCCTAAAGAATTATACACTTAAGAGGATAATTTTTATAATATGCAAATTGTACTTCAATAAAGTTACTTTTAAAATAACAGAATACAAAGGAAAGTCTACAATATTTGGGAACTAAAAATATACTTAAAAATAACATGAATCAAAAAAGAAAGCACTAGAGAAATTTAAAAATGTTTCAAACTAAATGATAATTGAAAGAAAACATATGAAAATATTCAGAATGCAGACAAAACAGAATTTAGAGAAAAATTTATAGCTTTAAGTAATTGTATCAGAAAACAAGGAAAGTTTACAATCAATGCTTCAAGCAGCTACTATTCAAAAACTGAAGAAGAAAAAATTAAACCTGAAATATGTAGAAGAAAGGAATAATAAAGATCAGAGCAGAATCAATGCAATAGATAACAGGAATATTAACAAAACCAAAAGTTGAAAGATTAGTAAATTACCTCTAGCTAGACAAAAAAGAGAAGATGCTAATTGCCAGTATTAGTTATAAAAGTACTCTTACAGATGCTACAGACATCAAAAAAGGTAAAAAAGAGACTATAAATAACAACTTGAATGAATACATTAAACAAATGAAATGGAAGAATTTCTTGTAAAACACAACTTTGCAAAACTGACTTGTTTTAGTCTGTTTTCATGCTGCTGATCAAGACATACCTAAAACTGGGCAATTTACAAAAGAAAGAGGATTAACGGACTTAACAGTTCCATGTGGCTGGGGAGGCCTCACAATGATGATTGAAGGCAGAGAGGAACAAGTCATGTTCTACATGGATGGCAACAAAGAGAGAGAGCTTTTTCAGGGAAACTCCTGTTTTTAAGACCATCAGATCTCACTACCATGAGAATAGCATGGGAAAGACCTGCCACCATTATGTAATTATCTCCCACCAGGTCCCTTGCACAACACGTGGGAATTATGGGAGCTACAAGATGAGTTTTGGGTGCAGACACAAAGCCAAACCATATAATTCTGCCCCCGGCCTGTCCCAAATTTGATGTCTTCACATTTCTAAACCAATCATGCCTTCCCAACAGTCCCCCAAAGTCTTAACTCATTTCAGTATTAACTCCAAAGTCCACAGTCCAAAGTCTCATCTGAGACAAGAAAAGTCCCTTCCACTTATGAGCCTGTAAAATCAAAAGTGAGTTAGTTACTTCCTAGATACAATGAGGGTACAGGCATTGGGTCAATACAGCTATTTCAAATGGGAGAAATTGGCCAAAACAAAGGGGCTACAGGCACCATGCAAATCTGAAATCCAGCTGGGCAGACAAATCTTAAAGCTCCAAAATGATATCCTTTGACTCCATGTCTCAAACTCAGGTCACACTGATGCAAGAGGTAGATTCCCATGGTCTTGGGCAGCTCTGTCTCTGTGGCTTTGCAGAGTAGAGCCTCCCTTCCAGCTGCCTTCACAGTCTTGTGTTGAGTGTCTGCAGCTTTTCCAGTTGCACAGTGCAAATTGTCAGTGGATCTTCCATTCTGGGGTCTGGAGGATGGGGCCCTCTTCTGACAGCTCCACTAGGCAGTGCCCCAGCAGGGACTCTGTGTGGGGGCTCCAATATTTCCCTTCTGCACTGCTCTAGCAGAGGTTCTCCATGAGTGCCCCACCCCTGCAGCAAACTTCTGCCTGGACATTCAGGGGTTTCCATACATCTTCTAAAACCTAGGCAGAGGTTCCCAAACCCCAATTTTTGACTTCTGTCCACCCACAGGCTCAACACTCTGTGGAAGCTGCCAATGCTTGAGGCTGGCACCCTCTGAAGCCATGGCCCAAGATGTAGCTTGGACCCTTTTAGTCATGGCTGGAGCAGCTGGGACACAGGCCACCAAGTCCCTAGACTGTACACAGCAGAGGGACCCTGGGCCCAACCAATGAAACCATTTTTTCCTCCTAGGTTTTGGGCCTGTGATGAAATGGGCTACTGCAAAGGTCTCTGACATGCCCTGGAGACATTTTCCCCATTGTCTTGATGATTAACATTTGGCTCCTTGTTACTTACGCAAATATCTGCAGGCAGCTTTAATGTTTCCTTAGAAAATGGGATTTTCTTTCTTATCGCATTGTCAGGCTGCACATTTCCAAACTTTTATGCTCTTTTTCCCTTTTAAAACTGAATGCCTTTAACAGCACCCAAGTCACATGTTGAATTCTTTACTGCTTACAAATTTCTTCTGCCAGATACCTTAAATCATCTCTCTCAAGTTCAAAGTTCCACAGATCTCTAGGGCAGGGGTAAAATGCTGCCATTCTCTTTGCTAAAACATAACCAAGGGTCACCTTTGCTCCAGTTCCCAACAAGTTTTTCATCTCCATCTGAGGGCACCTCAGACTGGATTTCATTGTCCATATCATAGCATTTTGGTCAACACCATTCAACAAGTCTCTAGGGAGTTCCAAACTTTCCCACATTTTCCTGTCCTCTTACAAGCCCTCCAAACTGTTCCAGCCTCTGCCTGTTACCCGGTTCCAAAGTTGCTTCCATATTTTAAAGTATCTTTTCAGCAACACCCCACTCCTGGTACCAATTTACTGTGTTAGTCCATCTTCATGCTGCTGATAAAGAGATACCCAAAACTGGGCAATTTACAAAAGAAGGAATTTTAATGGGCTTACAGTTCCATGTGGCTGGGGAGGCCTCACAATCCTGGTGGAAGGCAAGGAGGAACAAGTCACACCTTACATGGATGGCAGCAGGCAAAGAGAGAGCACTTGTGCAGGGAAACTCCTGTTTTTAAAACCATCAGATCTCATGCGACTTATTGACTATCACAAGAGTAACATGGGAAAGACCCACTCCCATGATTCAATTATCTCCCACTGGGTCCCTTGCACACACATGGGAATTATGAGAGTATAAGGTGAGATTGGGGGGTGCGGGATACAAAGCCAAACCAAAGAGAAAAGCAAAATCTGATCATTCTTATAATGTATTTAAAATTATAATGTATAATTTGAAACCTTCCCATACACAAAAGTGCTATATCAGATTGATTCACTGGTGACTTCGTTAAAAACATCTAAATAAAATAAAATACCAATTTTCACAAACTTTTTTTCTCACAAAGATGTTATATTAAAAAGTTGAAGAGATATACCATGTTTATGGATAGGAATACTCAATATTGATAAAATATAAAATCTTTCCAAATTAATCTGTAGATTTAATATAATTCCCAATTATAATCTTAAGCACATTAACAAAAGACATTTTTATAGAAACTGATAAGTTGATTCTTTTTTTCTTTTTTTTGAGATGGAGTCTTGCTCTGTCACCCAGGCTGCAGTGCAGTGGCGTGATCTCAGCTCACTGCAACTTCCACCTCCCTGGTTCAATCAATTCTCTTGCCTCAGCCTCCTGAGTGGCTGGGACTACGGGTGCTTGCCACAACGTCCAGCTAATTTTTTGTATTTTTTAGTAGAAACAGGGTTTCACCATGTTTGCCAGGCTGGTCTTGAACTCCTGACCTCAGGTGATCCACCCGCCTTGGCCTCCCAAAGTGCTGGGATTACAGGTATGAGCCACTGTGCCACGCCCTGACAAGTTGATTCTAAAATTCAAAGGAAAAGGAAAAGCTACTTAAATAGACAAAATTGTATTGAAAAGAGAACCAAAGACTTACACTACTTGATTTTTAAGACTTAATATATAATGAAATATCTCAACCTTAGCACAGATATTTTGGCCAGATAATTTTGTGCATGTGTGTGTCAGAGCTGTCCTCTGTATTACATGATGTTTAACAACATCCCTGGCCTTTACATACAGGTGCCAAAAGCACCCCCCACTCAGTTCAACAACCAAAAATGTCTGCAGTCATTGCCTAATGTACAGGGAGGGCAAAATTACTCTGCAGTTGAGAAATAATGTTACACAGCTACGGTCATGGGGACAGTGTGATATTGGCATAATGGAAGACAAGAAGAATAATGGCATAGAATACAGAGTCCAGAAATAGATCCACACATGCACGGTCAATTTATGCATTTGACAACTAATCAAGGCCAGCACTGGAAAGTAAAATATATTTCAAATAAATGGTTCTAGAATAACTAGAAATCAATATATAAAGTAAATTTTGCTGCCTAGCTCACTCTGCATATAAAATTAATTTATAAAGGGTAATGTCAGCAAGATGGTGGACTGGGAAGCTGTAGATCTTGTTTTTCCTATGGAAACATCAAATAAACAAGGACATACTTACTAAAATGTCTTTACTGGCCTTCAGGAAACCAAAGATCATAGAAACAAAGTGATATCCAATCAAGAAAAAACCACATTCAAAACACTAGCAAATTTCATGGCATTTTTTACTTGCTCTAGCCCCAATATCTCCCTGGTGTCACCTGGACCAATTCCTTGTTCCTTCCCTCAAAATGGAAGGAGCATAACAAAACTTCTTTGTAACATTCTGGTCTTTGAGCTGCTCCAGGTGCTGGTTTTGGTCTCACCTGACTCAATGCTCAGGTGGAGTAAAACAGCATAGGTTGTTTCTAAGGATGAAAGCCATGAAAGGAAGTGGTGGGTGCTATAGTGCAAGAAAAATGCAGGGAGATTGCAGACCAATGGACACCTGGGGACAAGAGATTACCGGCAGAGGAATACAATAGAAATCTAAGCCTCTGAGAAAAAGCTGTGATGAGATACCTATATGATTTGAATGTTTGTTCCCTCTGAAACTCATATTGAAATTTAATTTGCATTGTAACAGTATTAAGAGGGTAGGGCCTTTAAGAGGTGATTAGCTGCAGGGCTCTGCCCTCAAGGGTGGCATGGGGGCCCTTATGAAAGGGTAAGTTCATCCTCCTTTTGCTCTCTCACCCTCTTGCCTTCTGTCATGTGATGACTCAGCTGGAAAGCCCTCACCAGATGCTAGCAATTTTGATAATGGACTTCACAGCTTCTGGAACTGTGAGCCAATGCATTTCTGTTCATGATAAAGTACCCAGTCTCAGCTATTCTGTTATGAGCATAAGGGACAATGGGAAACCATCAAGTGAAACAATATAAATATAAAGGGGGCCAAAAATACCAATTTTCACAATTTTTTTTTCTCACAAAGACAGAAAAAGAAGAGAGAAGAGAGCAGAGAGATTATCTGAAGAAGTAATAGCTAAAAGTGTCCCAAATACGAGGAAAGACATGGATATATACATCCAAGAAGCTCAAAAATCTCTAAAGAAAATAAATCCAAAGAGACACATTATAATAAAACTGTCAAAAGTCAGGACACATTATAATCAAATTTGAAAAGTCAAAGACAAGAGAGGATTCTTGAAGATGGTGAAGTAGTAAGCTCCAGGAATCTGTCTCCGGGTCCAGACAAAAGTTGACTGCCATAATCTGTCTGTTGTAACTATTTTGGAACTCTGGATTCTATTAAAGGTTTGCAACTTCTAGAGGAAGGGTGGATGGTAAATTACATTAATTTCAATCACATTCAGCTCTTAGCACAGCAGCAATTAGCATCCTCTACACATAGCCCGTAGCAGGCAGTTGTGCATGTTTCCCTGGAGCAACTTGCATACAGTTTATAGGAGGCAAGGTTGGCAAAAATAACTCTGTCCCCCAGATATCAGTGATCTGTGTTCTGATTATTGATGGATGCTTCTGAGCTTAGAGGTGCAAAGAGTTAGGCAGCCATTGCTGTTACACCTTCCCTAATTGTTGCCAGCCCTTCCTCTCCAACTGAAGTGACTTCCAGGGGATATTAAGGGCCAGTGACATTTTTCTTTTTTCATCAAAGTTTTCTCATTTTCCCCTTTTGGAAGCCAGACTTTAAAAACTAGGACACACAGAAACAACTGCACATATGGGGAAAATTAAAAGGTGATCATATATGCCCAGGGAAAGACACAGGATCAGAAAAGTTGTGAGAAGACCTTAAGTTTATACCTTAGGCTGATCCTTGGCACAGAGACAGCCTATTACAATTAAAAAGAAAACCACAACAAGCAAATACAATTAAAAAAAAAAACCAGCAAAACCTGGCTAAGGGGGAGAATCTGATTTCTAGATTTACAACAATATTAGATTCAAATGTCTAGTTTTTGACAAAAACAAACAAACACATGACATACGAATAAACAGGAAGGTATGACTCATACAAAGGAAAAAAAATGACTGAGAAATTAAACAAAAGTTGGGGGAGTTCATTACCACTAGACCTTTCCTACAGGTAATGCTTAAAAGTGTCCTGCAGGGTAAAATTAGCTGGGTGTGATGATGTTTGTCTGTAGTCCCCACTACTTGGGAGGCTGAGGTGAGAAGATTGCTTGAACCCAGGAGGTTGTGGCTGCAGTAAATCATGATTATATCTCTGTACTCCAGCCTGGGTGACAGAGCAAGACCTTATGTGTCTGTACTCCAGCCTGGGTGACAGAGCAAGACACACACACACACACACACACACACACACACATATAAATATATATTATGTATAAGAGACAAAGAAGGATATATATAAATCCTATATATAATATATGGATCATATATATATCCTATATATAATATATGGATCATATATATATCCTATATATAATATATGGATCATATATATATCCTATATATAATATATGGATCATATATATATCCTATATATAATATATGGATCATATATATATCCTATATATAATATATGGATCATATATATATCCTATATATATTCTTTGGATTTATAGATCCTTCTTTGTCTCTTATAACCTTTTTAAATTTTTTACTTAAAGTCTATTTTTTCTGATATTAGAATATAATTACAATTGAAAACAGGTTCTTAAAGAGATGTTTGTACACTCATGTTCATAGCAGCATTATTCACAATAGCTAAAACATGGAAACAACTCAAGAGTCCATTGCCAGATGAATAAATAAGCAAAATGTATATATACACACACCAGAATACTATGTACTCTTCAAAGAGAAGGAATTGCTGACACATGCTACAACATGGATGAATCTTGAAGACATTATTCTAAGTGAAATAAACCAATCACAAAAAGACAAATACTGTATGAGTCCACTTATATGAGTTACTTAAAGTAGTCAATATTATATAGATAGAAAGTATAATGGTTGTTGTCAGGGATTTAAGGGAGAGGGGAATGTGGAGTTATTGTTTAATAGTATGAATATTAGTTTTACAAGATGAAAAGAGTTACAGAGATGAATGGTGGTGACGGTTGCGCAGCATTATGAATATATTTAATACCAGTGAACTGTACACTTCAAATGATTAAGATGTTATGTGTATTTTACCACACACACACACACAAAAGTGAAAGACAAGGAAATAATCCTGAAAGGAGCAGGAAAAAAGTGACTTATCACATACAAGGGGTCTCTAATAAGACAATCAGTAGATTTCTTAGCAGAACTCTCGCAGGCTAGAGTGTGGTAGGGTAGTATTTTTAAAGTCCTGAAAGAAAAAAAATTGTCAGTCAAGAATTTTATATCTTGCAAAAATGAGGGAGAAATTAGGATATATTCAGACAATCAAAAGGTACTGGAGCTCATTATCACTAGACCTACCATACAAGGAATGCTAAAGAGGGTACTTCAAGTGGAAATTAAAGGACACTAGATGGTAATTTAAAGCCATATATAAATATAAAGTTTTCTGGTAAAGGTACATACATGGACAAAGATAAAAAACAGTATTATTGTAATTTTGTATTGTAATCCACTTTTATTCTATAAGATTTAAAAGATAAGTGCACATACCTATGACTCTCTGATCTTCAACAAAGCTGACAGAAACAAACAAGGGGGAAAACACTCCTTACTCAATAAATGGTGTTGGGATAACTGGCTAGCCATATGCAGCAGATTGATGCTGGACACCTTCCTTACAACATATACAAAAATTTAACTCAAGATGGATTAAATATTTAAATGTAAAACCCAAAACTATAAGAACCCTGGAAAACAACCTAGGCAGTACCATTCTGGACAGAGGAATGGGCAAAGATTTCATGACAAAGATACCAAAAGCAATTGCAACAAAAGCAAAAATTGACAAGTGGGCTCTAACTAAACTTAAGAGCTTCTGCACAGCAAAATAAACTATCAACAGAATAAACAGACAACGTACAGAGTGGGAGAAAAATTTGCAAACTATGCATCTGAAAAAGGTCTAATGTCAAGCATCTATAAGGAACTTAAATTTACAAGAGAAAAACAACCCCATTAAAAAGTGGGCAAAGGACATGAACACTTTTCAAAAGTAGACATACATGCAGCCAACAAGCAAATGAAAAAAGCTCAGTATCACTGATCATTAGAGAAATGCAAACGAAAACTCCAATGAGATACCATCTCACACCAGTCAGAATGGCTATTATTAAAGAGTCTAAAAGTAACTGATGATGCTGATGAGGCTGGAGAGAAAGGGAACACTTATCCACTGTTGGTGTGAATGTAAATTAATTCAACCATTGTGGAAAGCAGTAAGGTGATTCCTCAGAGAGCTAAAGGCAGAACTACTATTCGACCCAGTGACCCAGATGAATATAAATCATTCTACCATAAAGGCACATGCACATGAATGGTCATTGTAGCTCTACTCACAATAGCAAACGCATGGAATCAACCTATATGCCCATCAATGGTAGACTGAATAAAGAAAATGTGGTATGTATACACCATGGAATACTATGCAGCCATGGAAAAGAACAAGATCGTGTCTTTTGAGAGAATATGGATGGAGCTGGAGGCTATTATCCTCAGCAAACTAATACATCAACAGAAAACGAAATACCATGTGTTCTCACTTATGCATGGCAGCTAAATGATGAGAACATATGGACACAGAGGGGAACAACACACACTGGGGCTTATTATGGGGTGGAGGGTGGGAGGAGGGAGACAATCAGGAAAAATAACTAATGGGTACTAGACTTAATACCTGTGTGATGAAATAAGCTGTACAATAAATCCCCATAATACAAGTTTACCTATGTAACAAACCTTCACATGTACCCTGAACTTAAAAAAAAGAGAAGTGCATAAAACATAATTATAAAATCTATTTTAATGGGTATACAAAATACAAAGATAAAATTTTTGATAGTAATAACATAAGTAGAGGGGACAGAGCTATAAATAACACAGTTTTTTCGATTAAAATAAATTTGGTATCAATTTAAGATAGATTTTCATAATTTAGGATGTTATATGTAATCCTCATGGTAATTACAAAGAAAATATTCATAGAGTACACAGAAAAAGAAATGAGAATGAAGTTGAAACATGTCATTACAAATCAATTAAATATAAAGGAAGGCAGTAAGAGAGGAAATGAGTTATGAAAATGTATAAAACATACAGAAAACAAATAACAAAATGATAAAAGTAGGTGCCTGTCAGTAATCACTTTAAATGTAAATAGATTAAATTCTTCAATCAAAAGATAGTGGCAGAACGGATTTTAAAAAACAGGATCAAATTCTGTGCTGTTTATAAGAGACTCATTTTAGACCAAAAGACATGGATAGGCTAAAATTGAAAGGATGGAAAAGATATTATAGTCACCAAAAAGGAGTAGAGGTTGTTATATTAATATTAGGTAAAATAGACTTTAAGTCAGAAATTCTTCAGACAAAAATGGTCATTTCATAATGATAGAAGTTTCAATACAGTAAGAAGATGTAACAATAAAATAAACATATATTCACCCAACATCAGTGTTCCAAAATATATGAAGCATGCATTGACTGAACTGAAGGGAAAAATAGCTCTTGAATAGTAGGAGATTTTAATATCTCACTTTCAATAGTAGATAGAACAACCAGATAGAAGATCTATAAGGAAATACAAGAATTGAACAACCCTATAGTCTAATGGGACCAAAAACAGCACAAAATAATTTTGCCAAGTACACATGGAACATTCTAAAGGATAAATCATATGTTAGGCCAAAAACCAAATCTTTATACACTTTCTAAAATTGATTGATTTATTTTTAATAGTTAAGAGGTTTTATTCTAATATCAATAATTACAATGCTTGTTTGTCTAAATGAAAACTGAAAACAAGTATACAAAACAGTTGATTCCTAATTGTGTACTGAAAACAGTAAAAGGTTCCACAACACCAGATAGACCAGTTCTGAGATTTTCCCCAAGACAAATTTCACAGCTCCAGCTTCTTTAGTGTTTATCAAAATACAAAATAAAAAAATCGAGGTCATCTTTTTTTCTTTTTCTTTTTCTTTTTTTTTGAGATAGAGTCTCAGTCACTCACTCTGTCACCCAGGCTGGAGTGCAGTGGCACGATCTCAGCTCACTGCAACCTCCGCCTCCTGGGTTCAAGAGATTTTCATGCCTCAGCCTCCTGAGAGCTGGGATTACAGGGACCCGCCACCACTCCTGGCTAATTTTCGTATTTTTGTAATTTTGTATTGTATTTTGCCATGTTGGTCAGGCTGGTCTTGAACTCCTGACCTCAGGTGATCCACCCACCTTGGCCTCCCAAAGTGCTGGGATTACAGGCATGAGCCCCCACACCCGGTCAAGGCTATCTTTTTTTTTTTGAGAGAGTCTCGCTCTGTCGCCCAGTCTGGAGTGTAGTGGTGTGATCTCACCTCACTGCAACCTCCACCTCCCAGGTTCAAGCAATTCTCTGCCTCAGCCCCCGAGGAGCTGGGATTACAGGCACCTGACACCATGCCCAGCTAATTTTTTTGTATTTTTTAGTAGAGACAGGGTTTCACCATGTTGGCCAGGCTGGTCTTGAACTCCTGACCTTGTGATCTGCCCGCCTCAGCCTCCTGAAGTGTTGGGATTACAGGCATGAGCCACCGCGCCCAGCGCAAGGCCGTCTTTTTTTATGGCAACTTGGATGCTTGCAGTCTGAGTGAGAGACAGGTAAGACATATATGGAGATGGGGTGCTCCTGAGGGGCTGTGGGTGTAGGTGCACAGTCCACTTGCCTTGCTCTCATTAACACTGATGAGGCCCCAGATATCCTACCAATGTGCCTCAACGAGCACAAGAGCTGAAGACCATGGGCCTGCTCTGGCCACATGCTGACCAAGGGATAGTAGGGCCCTACATCCTCTGAGGAGGCTGAGGCAGGCAGGTGGGTAGGGAGGTGGCCTGGGGGAGAATGAGACAGCCATGGGCTCTAAGACTAGCCCTCAAGAACCATGGGAGCACAGGGACAAGCACAAGGCTATGAGATGCAGGGTGATCTAAGGACAAGTGTGTCACAGACATCTCTATTGTGACCATGCAGAATTGATGGCAGTCTTGCTGTGCCACCACCTGATGTTCCTGAGGGGAATAGCCAAGCCGGTGACTAGCATCCAGGCCATAACTGCAAACCCATGCTAAGCAAAGTCTCTCTTTTGTGTGTTCAAGTGTTCTTGACGTTGATTCTAAACTATTTTTAAAAATGCACCGCGTTTGGGTTAAAAACCAACCACCAAAATGGGTATCAACACAGCTCTGAAGTTAGAGGCATCCCCAGCTCTCCCAAATTGGTGACTCTCAGAGGCCAGGTACCCATGAGCCTATGTCCCCTCTCAGCACTGAAGAATGAGTTGATTTTTCTTTTTACGGTAAAACAAACAAACAAAAAACCTGAGTAATATTGCATAGGAGTAGCAGAAACTGCCTCACTGGAAACAAGAACTATTTACATTAAATAAAAAGTCTGGCCACAGGCTATGTCTGTCACATTTACAGCACAGTATGATGCACATGGTGACCAAACCAGGGAAGCAGGTTCTGGCACTCACACCACAGAGCTGCACATTTGCCACATGAGGATAAAGTGAAGGGGAAGAGGAGCAATGAGAGCGAGAGGGTGTTGCATTCACTTCTGGTTCCAGAGTTGATTGGACAGCCAGTCCAGTCCTTCACAGAGCCTGTCTCCACTAATGGCATAGGTGGCCTAAATGCACCAGTTCCTGTGGCACAGGTAATGCAGCCCCAGCTTGTCTGTGATCTTGGCTGCATTCCTGGCATTGGGGAGGCCCTGCTTGTTGGCAAACACCAGGAGGACTGCACCCAGAGCTCATCCTCAGCCAGCATCCTAAAGAGCTCCTCCCAGGCCTCCTTTCCACACTTTCTATCATTGCTGTCCACTACGAAGATCAGTCCTTGTGTATTCTGGAAGTAGTGGTGCCACAGAGGCCAGATGTTTTCTTGGCTGCCCATGTTCCACATGGTTAAGCTGATGTTCCTGTACTCCATGGTTTCCACATTGAAGCCTATGGTAGGGATGGTGGTCATGATGTCACTCAGCTTCAGCTTATATAGGATTGTTGTTTTCCCTGCAGCACTGAGGACCACGATGAGGATGTGCATTTCTTTTTTGCCAAAAATGCTTTCGAAGAGGTTGACAAAGATGCTCCCCATGCTTGTGGACAGGTGGAAGGATGCTGGCCAGGGACATTTCGGTGACTGCTGCTCTGAGTTACATGTTGATTTTGCTCCCTAATACATTTTAAACATGAAAATCATGCAAAGTACCTTTTTCTATCACAATGGAATGAAGCAAGAGATCAATAGCAGAGGGAAAACTGGAAAATTCACGAATATGTGGAAATTATAAAACACTCTAAAATAACCAATGCATCAAAAAATTAATAGGCAGGGAAATCAGAAAATATTTTGTGACAAGTGAAAGTGAAAACATAGCACACCATAATTTATAGAATGCAGTGAAAGCAGCGCTGAGAGAAATATATAGTTACAAATGTTTACATTAAAAATGTCTCAAATCGACAATCTAGCTTTACACCCTTAAGAAACTAGGAAAAATTTTCAAATTAAATCCAAAGCTAGCAGAAAGAAGAAAATAATAGAGTAGAAATAGATAAAATAGAAAATAAGAAACAAAATTAATAAAACCAAGAGCTGGTTCTTTAAAAATATAAACAAAATTAAGAAACCTTTAGCTAGACTGACTACGAAAAAAACACGAGAAGACTAAAATTAGAAATGCGAGAGGGAATATTACTACTGAATTTACAGAATCAAAAAGAATTATAAAAATGTACTATGAACAAAAGTACTATGAATTTGTGTGCCAACACATTGGATAACCTACCCACTCCATATTCTTAGCACAATAGATTATAATTTATTTCCCCAAATATAAATAATGTCTTTTATGTTCTTTCTATATATATATGCTGTTCTTTTTCTTCGATCACCCTTTTGTTGCCTTCCTCATTCACAGAAGACCAACTAATTCTTCATATTTCAGCTAATATGGTGTTTTTCCCTGACAAATCCAAGTAGAATGAGTAATGAGGGAGAGAATGAAGATATACCATGGAGAAAATGGCCTGTAACTGAAGAAGGAAAGGCAAGGGTGTATGTAAATTTGAGCATGAATGGAGGTTGCCCATGAAGTCTTAGAAAAGTTAATTAGTTTTAACAGGGGAGAAAGATAGAAAAAGAAAATGGATGGAAATATAGAAATGGACGGATGAGGAACTTTTTCTTTGATACTTTGATTTTTTCAACATCGTCAATTTTTAAAAATTAGGCATGTGTTGGCATGGTGGGACATGCCTGTAGTCCCAGCTACTTGGGAGGCTGAGGTGGGAGGATTGCTTGAGTCCAGAAGGTCAAGGCTGCACTGAGCCCTGATGGTGCCACTGCTCTCCAGCCTGGGTGACAGAGAGAGATCTTGTCTCAAAAAACAAAAAATAAAAAAATAGGCATGTGGAATGGCACTTCTTTCAGATATATGTGCCCAAATGTCTAGAAACAACTGAGTCTCACAAAGTCCGGAGTTGCTTGTGGGTCTCTACCTCCACAACTTTTCACCATACGCTTGATAATAAGATATAAGAAAATGAGCAGTAAAACAATACCTTCATGTTAGTAATTCAGGGACGATGAAAAGGAAGAAATAAAATCTGGACTTTCGACATCTTCTTGACATTTAGGACAGACGTACTAGTAGAATTTTTCCTCTTTGGAGGGATGAAACAAAAACTTAGTCATGCTGAGTGAGTTCAAGCTTCTTGAATTGGGGGAGAAAAGCAAAAACAATGAAGCTGATACATCATCCCCTTGAATTTCTTTTATTAAAGTTTAGAGAATGCCTGTGACTAATTTCCTGGTCTTCACAGACTTAGCGCTGTCTACAGATCAAGCAGCAGAAATGAGGAAAGAGGTACAGGTGGTAAGTCTTGGAAGACAATGAGAAGGTAAATATTGTAGCTTCAAAGGAACTGCCTGTGTTCACAGTGGTGATAAAGCTCAGGGATGACTTCTCCCTACCCTGAGTTAAATGAGATGTGAGAGGAGAAAAAAAAGTCTCTACTTGGTAGAACAGTGGATGAAGCTAGAGAGAACTAGGTTTTAGTTAAGGCAGAGAAGTGAAGTGTACCTTTTAGAAAAATATTGATTCATTTTCAAATATTTATTAACATCTATTCTATTTGAGACCCTGATCTAGATAAATGGGTGATATATTTCTTCTCCTCTACAAACTTGCTACTGGAAAATGCATCACAATGAAAGTAAGTCTCAGACAAAATCCCAACAAACTTAAAAACATTTATTAACAAGCAGACACAAAAACAGTCATGTAACCTATTTGTGTAAGCTGGAGAGAAGTCCATATTCTTTGTTCTCAGGGTCTCTGATATGCAGATGCAATGATATCTGACAGTAGGAACTAGTTGGATCTGGAAATAATTGCCTATGGGGAGTAGAAAAGCAGGATTTCTCAAACTATTTGTTGTAATGATCAGGATTTTTAAAATTTCTACCCAATCATAGACCAATACTTTTGTAAAACATAATAGAAATAAAGTACTAGAAGTTTTTGACCTCTAGTAATGGTAAGGTGGCTATAGTGGACTAGTCTTCCTGATTACAACAAGTATAAACTTCGGACTAAATGTAAAAAGCAATTTTTGAATGCATTGGTGAGTGACCATTGAAAGAAGGGAGGCATACTAAGTGAAAACCACATTTGTTCTACTATTCTGCTGACCATAACTCCTAGTCTGTCTTGCACATGGGCAATGGAGCTTAAGCAGAAAGTTGCAGTTTTATTGAGCTGATGAGTTAAAAGTCAGGATTTGGGGGTGGCAGAAAAGCTGGAAATTGAATGGGATAGCTCAGAGAAGAACAGGGGACCTCCAAATTTGCATACAGTTTCAAATCCTTGGATGAAACCTGAAATTTGTACGGTCATAACAACACTTCTGGAGTGATACTTCCAATAGAAATAAAAAAATGGAAGCCTGAAAGAGCTGGTCAGAGATTTTGGAAATTTCCCAGTGCTGGAGAGACAGAGTTTGGAATTGTTCTATCATGTTAGAAGGATTCGGAAAACACCTTGATTTTTCCATTGAAACCACAGTCACCCTTAGGAATAAGGACCACATTCTAAACATAAGGTTTATACATTAGCACTAAGGGAAAAATGGAAACAGACCCTCCCTAACAAAGTCTAAAATCAAACTTCAACAGAATTAAGATGATCAGTCTTAATATAACTGCACGCGAGAATAGACCCCAGAACTTTTCAGAGGAAGATAAAATCTAGAATATCTATAGCATGTTCTATAATGTATACTTCAGAATTTAAAACTTACTAGTCTTTGGACACATAGTGAGAAGAAAAAATAATAGTCAATAGAAACAGACCCACAGAGGACCCAGATATTGAAACTAACAGAAGATTTTAAAGTAGGAATGTTACAGTTGTTTTAACAAATTTGCAGAGAAGGTGGATATAATAGACGAGGATACAGGATATCTTTGGAAATATATAAAATTCAAAAAGAATCAAGTGGAAATTAAAAATATAGTATCTGAAATAAAAACATAGCTGAATAAAACCAACCTTTTAAAAAATTCAAAGAAAAAAATCCATTTCCATAAAGATAGGTCAATAGAATTTTTCAAAGTGAAACAAAAAAGAAAAAAAAGAGAAAATTAAAGATCCTCAGTGACCCGTACTACCATATTACATAATAAACACATATAGTTTAAGTCCCAGAAAGAAAAAAGACAGAAAATAGAAACAAAAAGTTTCAAAGAGTAACTAACGTAACGTTTTTCCAATTAGTTTAAAACATCAACTCACAGATGCAAAAAGCTGACTAAGCATTAAACAGAATGAATGCAAAGAATGCTATACCTGGACACACCAAGAGTTAGAAAGTTTAAAGGCAGCCAAAGAAAAAGAGATACATTACATACACATTACAGTGATAGGAAATGGTTGGTTGGCTTCTCAAAAAAATGGAGACAAGAAGATAATGGAATGACGTCTTTAAAGAGCTAAAATAAATTTCAACATTTTGATATTTCTGATAATATTCTCTGTTATGAGGTCTATTTTGCCTGAAATTGCCATAACTACTCTAGATTTCTGATGTTTATTCTTTGCATGTTCTATCTTATGCCAACCTTTGGCTTTTAAATTACTTGGGTGTTCATAAGTAAAGCAAATTTAATATAGCATATACCATGTAATAATGGTAAGTGAGCAAATTCACCAAGAAGACATAAGAATATTAAATGTATATGCAATGAATATCAAAGTTTCAAAACATAAGAAGTAAAGAAATGACAACATTGAAAGGCAGAATACAGAAATCTATAATTTTGTTAGAAGTTTTAATACTCTCATTAACTGACTGAACAAGTAAATAGACAATCAAAGAGGATATAGAAGACAAACAATACTGTCAAACTTATTAGCATTCTCCCAAACAACGGCAGAACATATACTCTTCTTCATATACACATAGAAAATTCACCATGTGCTGGGCCACAAAACTTGAAGTTTCAGTGGATTTCTAAAGAAAGAAATCACACAGAGCATGTCTTCTGATCATAACAGAATTAAATTGAAAATCAGTAACAGAAAGATACATGGATAATTCCTAAATATGTGGAAATCAATACTCTTCAAAATGATTCATGAGTCAAAAAGGAAATCATAGGGTAATATTTTCAACTAAATGAAAATTTAAATATAACGTATTAAAAATTGGGAGGTACGATTAAAGTAGCATTTCTAAGTGATAGGTTTAATGTCAAGAAACTTATATTTCTTACCTTATGAAACCAGAAAAAGACAAGCAAATTAGTCATAATATGTAGACAAAAGGCAATAGTAGGCCAGACACAGTGGCTCACACCTGTAATCCCAGCACTTTGGGAGGCTTAGGCAGGCAGGTCACTTGAGGTCAGGAGTTCGAGACCAGCATGGCTAACATAGTGAAACCTCATCTCTACTAAAAACACAAAAATTAGTCAGGTGTGGTTGCGGGTGCCTGTAATCCCAGCTACTCAGGAGGCTGAGGCAGGTAAGTCACTTGAACCAGGGAGACAGAGGTTGTAGCGAGCCAAGATTGCGCCACTGCACTCCAGCCTGGGTGACAGAGGGACACTCTGTCTCAAAAAAAAAAAAAAAATACAATAGTAAAGCTCACAGCAGAAATCCATGAAATACAACACAGACAAATAATAGAGAAAGTAAAAGCAAAAGGTCTTTTTGAAAAGAACAATAAAATTGATAGAATTCTATTCATACTGATCTGAAAAAACAGAAAAAATTACCAATATTAGGAATGAAAGAGGGGACATTACCTGAATATATTACAGATATTTGAAGAATAATAAGGGAATAATACAAACAACTTTATGCCAATAAATTCATCAACTTAAATGGGTAAGTGCGTTGAAATACATAAAATATCAAATCTGACTTGAGAAGAAATAGACAATCTGATTGTCCTTGTACCTTCTAAATAAATTGAATTTGTGATAAGACCCTTCCCACAAAGAAAACGCCAGGCTCAGAGGGCTTCAATGGCAAATATAATTAATATTTAATGGAACAATAACTCTAATCCTAGAAATCTCTTTCAGAAAATAGAGGAGGGAGCTCTCATCAACTCATTTTATGAGGCTAGCATTGTTCTTGTACCAAAACCAGACAAAAACATTACAGGCAAACTACAGATCAATATTCTTCATAAACATAGTCACATATCCTTAATCCTTAACAAAAAAGCCCATTTTTGGTTGGATGGGATATTGGTTTGTCCAGTGATTATGTGTAGAACTCATATATGTCATCTCCCTATTGAGGCATTTATTGTTGATTTAAAGCTCTTTAAAACTGTAAGGGACATTATTCTTGAACTTGAGAATTGGTGAAAGATTCGTGTCCAATAGCCTGCTAGTTATACTCAATCCTCACTATTCATGGATTTTGTATTTGCAAATTTGCCTATTCAATAAAATTTATTTTTAACACTAAAATCAATACTTGTGGCATTTTCAGGATTATTCACAGACATACATGGAATGGTGAAAAATTTGAGTTGCCTGACATTCATGTTCAGAGCTGAGATCAAACAAGGTGAGGCTTTGCTTTCTTGTTTGGGCTCTCACACTGTCCTTTTCATTTAGTGCCATAGTTTTTGCTTTTTTATGATGTTTATTGGCGATTCTGCTGTTCAGAATCGCCCCTAAATGGCATAGTGTTGAAGTGCTGTCTACTATTCCTAAGCACAAGAAGGCTGTGATGTGCCTCGCGGAGAAAATGTACCATCAGATAAGCTTTGTTCAGGCATGAGTTATACTGTTATTAGCTGTGAGTTTAATGTTAATGTATCAACAACATACAAGAACGCATGAAACAAGATGATGTGATCTGAGAGACCACAATAGGTACCCCCTTATCAACTAAGATAAACCCTAAAGTTAAGGTTATGAAAACAAAGTTACTTATGAGTCAAGGATTCAGGGCCCAGCTGGAATGGCAAATTTCTAAATTCCTATGGCTCTAAATTCCCTACAGTAGGACCTGTTGGACCCCTTCTAACTCTGCTTTGCAACCCAGACCACTACAACTCTGGTTGGACAGACGACCAACCTTACAAACATTCTTTTCTAATAAGCAATTGCAGATCTCAAGCCAGTTTTAGCCAGCTTATAGCAGCTGTGCACAAACTGTCTTTGTATCCTATAGTTCATTTTTGATGTAAAGAGCCAACTTCCATCTCATTTTAATGCTAAAATCCTGCCCCCAAATGAACATGGGATGTATGTTACACATATGTTTACCCATTGCACATGCACTTGACTCCCCTCATAAATACCTATAGCTTTACCCTAAAATCTGCTTACTATATATGACTCTAGTGTGTGAAACAGGCCCTGTGAGGAATAAAACCTAGCCTTTTCCCCCGTCTTTGTAGAGAGAGCACTTTCTGCACACACCAGTGATGATCTCTTCCTGGTTTGCAAACTGATACTTCCAATAATACTCTCCTTTCTATTATTTAGTCATTCTGGTGGTCTTTTGGATGACAGTTGGGTATTAATCAGTTGACAAAAATGTTGTGACCAGATGCTAGCAGGAACCTAAACTTGTGTTTCCCCTAGGAACAATTGTTCAGTATTTGCTAATGTGGTAATTCACAGTGGCTTTATAGAACATGAATACTGTAAATAATGAGAATCAAATTTATTTCTTCTGAGAATCCTTTCATGTCTCACACAAAACATGCTTGGGAAAAAAAAGCTAACACACTTCTCAGCTGATAAAAATACTCCTCATTTTTTTACATTGGACTTGTTTCTTATATTCAATAAGGTTGTCAACAAAAAGAGTCAAGCTCTGTAAAATTTTTGAAGACATTTATTTTGAGCCTACTGTGAGTGACTAATGGCCCATGACACAGCCCCACATCCTGAGAACATGTACCCAAGGTGGTTGGTTTTGTACATTTTAGGGAGACATAAGACATCAATCAATACATGTAAGATGAACATTGGTTTGGTCCAGAAAGGCAGAGAAACTCGAAGCAAGTACTTCCAGGTCATAGGTAGGCTGAAAGATTTTTTGATTGGCAGTTGGTTGAAAGAGTTTATCTAATGACCAGGAATGAATGGAAGGGAGTGTCTGGGTTAAGACAAGGGGTTGTGGAGACCAAGGTCCTTATTACGCAGATGAAGCCTCCAGGTAGCAGGCTTCAGAGAGAAGATTGTAAATGTTTCTTATCAGACATAAAAAGATGCCAAACAGTTAATTCTCTAAGGGAAGGGGATTCTCTACAGAATATAGATTTTCCCCACAAGAGACAACTTTGTGGGGCCATTTCAAAATATGTCAAATAAATATATTTTGGGATGAAATATTTCAATTTCTTTCAGAGCTTGCTATCTGTCATTGTTGATATCTTCTTGCTACAAAGAATCTGATTTGTTAGTCTTAAGGTCTGTTTGAATGTTAATGCTGATCAGCCATGCCTGAAATCCAAAGGAGGAAGGTAAAATGAGGCATATCTGACACTCCCTTTCCCATCAGGGCCTGAATAGTGTTTCAAGTTTACTTTAGAATGCCTTTGGCTGAGAAGAGGGGTCCATTCAGTTGATTGAGGGGGTTAGAATTTTATTTTCATTTACAGGTGCATAAAATAATCTTAAATGAAGAGTTAATTGATTTTATTAATACATGTATACACTTGTGAAACTACCAACTAGATGAAGACATAGAAAATTCCATAATTTTTTCTCATATCCCTTCCTAGATAATATCCTCACCTTGATAAGCATTTTTCTGACATATATCACCATCTATCCATTTTATAAGTTTTTTGAACTGCGTGCAAATGGAATCACACTGCATGTAGCCTTTTGTGTCTGGCATCTTTTCTTCGATATGATATCTGTATAACAATAGTTTATTCTTTATATATCATTATGTAATATTTTACCATATAAATTTTTCACAATATATTTACTCACTGATAGACATTTGTGTTACTTCCAGTTTTAGTTTATTATAAACAAAATTGCTTCAGACATTCTTGTGCATGAATTTTCATGGACATATGCAGTTATTTTTCATGAGTAAATATCTGTGGCTAGAACTGTTAGACGATAGGATAGATAGAGTTTTATTTTTATAAGACATTGCCAGTTTTCTTAAATGGTTATAGCAGCTTGCCTCTCATCAGCAATGTATGAGTCCAGTGCTCCACATCTCACCAACATTTGGTATAGTCTTTTTATATTTTAGCCATTCTATTGAGTGTGAAATGTTATGTTGTGGTTTTAATTTGCATTTCCTTGATGACTAATAATATTGGCTATTTAATGATACTGATAAATTAATTTCCTGTTTTCTTGTGCTTTGTTTAAGAAATATTTGCTTACCCCAATGTTATGAAGGTATTCTCCCATGATATAGTCCAAAAACTTTATCTTTTAAATTTAGGTCCATGGTCCTATAGGGGATCAGAATATGCCATCATAAAATATGCCTCTTTGGCATAAAAATTTTTTTGAGCTAAATATTTTCAGAAACTATAGTCACAGTACAAACTCTGAAAACAGAGTAGATGTTATCCTTTTGTAAGGGAAATTAACATCTATAAAGGAAATGAAGATTTCTTTGTAAGAGTGTCTCCTCTCTGTATGAGGAAGAGAAAAATGACTGCATCACTAGAGACTTATTAATAAAGAAAGTACTCACTTAAATCTGCATAACAAACCTTACCTTGCTTACCAAGCTTTTATTGAATACCTTTCCATAACTGGCCTTCCCCCACAAGCTTCTTGCTTTATTTCAGTGAGGATGGTATTTAAGTCTGAATTCCAAGCCACTTCTTTGAGACTTACAGTAGTCCCCCTATCCATGGGGGATACATTCCAAGACCCCCAGTGGATGTCTGAAACCATGGGTAATACCGAAGACCATATACACTGTTTCTTCCTATACATACATATCCATGATAAAGTTTAACTCATAAATGAGGCAATAAAATATTAGCAGCAATGACTAATGAAACAGAACAATTATAACAAGATACTGTTCACAATTTTACAGACAGAAGATTCATTCTTACTGTAGATCTTAGCAACTTCAGCATACAATTTTTTTTCTTTCATTAAGTCAATAACTTTCACCTTTTCACTTATACAAGGCACTTTATGGCTTTCCTGTGGCATATCTGAATTGCCAGCATCACTACTCTTGCAATTTGGGGTTATGATTGAGTGAAATAAGGGTCACTTGAGCACAAGCACTGTGAAACCATGACAGTTGATCTGATAACCAAGATGGTGCTACTAAGAGACTAATGTGTGGATAGTGAAGGCCATTTGGATATGGGAGACAAAGGGATGACTCACTTCCCAGGCATGCTGGAGGAGGATGTCTGGCAATTTCATCACACTACTTAGAAAGGTGTGCAACTTGAAACTTATGAATTGTTTCATTTCTGGAAATTTCCATTTAATATTTTCAGACCATGGTAGACTATGGCTAATTGAAACTTCAGAAAGGGAAACCACAGATAAAGGAGGACAACTGTATTCATTTGTCTGGGTATCTCCAACATATACATAAGGTTTATGTGTTATTAAACTTCTGCTTGTTTTTCTCTTGTTAATCTGTCTTTTGTTAAAGGAGTCTGTCAGACCAAAAACTACCATGAAGTGTAGAGACAAAATTATTTTTCCTTTCTTACCATCCATTCTAAATTATATTTTAAGTATGCTATCAGCAGGGTTAATTCCTTCCTTTCTCCATATGGCTATCCAATTGGTCCAGCAATATTATTGGAAAGACAATTTATTTGCTTTTGAAATTGAAGTGAAATTAATTAGTCTTAATTTGTCATACATACATGCTTTTATCCTATACTTTTCTGTTCCATTGAACTCTTTGTCTATTCTTTGCACTAAAACTATACTGCTTAATTCTTACAGCTTTATAGTAAGTCTTAAAATCTGTACTATATGTCCTATACATTTGTCATTTTCAAAATTTTCTTGAATATCCTAGATCTTTGTGGTTCTGTATACATTTAAATCAACTTTCTAATTCCCTCTGTGAATTTTCTTCTGGCATTTGGATTGCAACTGTGTTAAATATGTAGGTAATTTTTCTAATAACTACGATCTTTAAAAAGTCTAAATAAATATCTGTGAATATTTATTTAGATATTAAAAAAATCTAGATAGTATTTATGGAGCTATAGAGAAATTTTAAAATGTTTTTGTATTTTAGGGATTTGTATGGTTAGGGCTTTCTGAAGCAAAGAAAACAAAACCTGAGCTAAAAAACAAGCCTTGTCAGTTAAATAATAATTGAATCAATAATGAGAATTCAAGAGACTTACCTTCACAGAGGTATGTATTTTCATTTCAAGGGATTGAGTCCTGGGCCATGGAGATAAAACCCCTGGTTATAAATACATAGATGCTCGTTTTATCTTCCCCCAAAGACATTTATTTACATTTCAAAAGGTAAAAGCTCAGGATCTTTCCCTTTCTCTTTTTGAGGAATATTGACATTAAGGAGCAAAGGCTTTCATTCCCACCCTAAATAGGAAAAGCTGGACAGCTGTCCCTGTCCTGTATAAGCTACGGAATTTTTAAAGCTTATAGCCAATAATATAGACTCTAATACTGATTTGCTTTACTCTTTTCACATCTTCCTCGAAGAAAAAGTAATTGGGACAAATGGGTTCATGTGGTTATTGCTATGAGCAGAAAGAGTACACCCTCTGTATCCAAGAGTTCCAAATCTATGTATTCAGCCAATGGCAGATCAAAAATATTTTTTAAAAAAGCATCTTTATTGAACATGCACAGAATTGTTTCTTGTCATTATTACCTAATAGTATAATAACTATTTATATAGCATTTACATTTTAGTAGGTATTATAAGTAATCTATTAATGACTTATATGGGAGGATGTGCATGGGTGATAAGCAAATACTATACTATTTTATGGGCATCTATGAATTTTTATTTCCACAAGTAGTCCTGGAACCAGTAGTCTATGCATATCAAAAAATGACTGTAATAATCAGTTCCTGCCCTAGAAAGCCCATGCCTAATTTCAGGCAAAATGAATAAATATAGATCCTTATAAGTATTTTATATTTTTTAGTAAAGAGAATTTGCACATCTTTCAATAAATTATATCTGAGTTTTAAAAATTCTAATATATTATTTGTAAATTTATTTTTCCAATAGTTTTTTGCTATTTTATAAGAAGGAATATATTTTCTATTTTGCTATTAAAGTATGTAGAAATACAGTTGATTTTTGTACTTTAACTTGTATCCATCAATCTTACCAAATTCAGTATCTAATTCAATGGTTTCTTTGTAGATTATTTGAGAGCTTTCTATGTACAAAAACATATGGTTCAATCTCTTTTTCTTTTTTTTATTGACTAATTCTAACACCCTATCAGTTAGAATTATGTTGATATTAAGTTGATCTTTTTCTAGGTTTTAGGGAGAAAACATTCAAAATTCCTCATTAAGTATAATGATAGAAATCGTTTTTTTGTAAATACACTTTGTCAAATTATGGAAGTGCTATTGTATTCGTGCACTGTATTCCTCGCTTACTGAGAAATTGATTTTTTTAAACATAAATGCAAATTTAATTATTTAAAATGCTATTCATTCCATCTATTGAAATGATCATTTAAAAATTTATTCTGTTAATGTGGTAAATTACATTGTTTTTATTCTCACATGTTAAACTAATCTTACATTCATAAAATTTAAAAAATATATTGTATATATGTTAATATATGTGATTTTATATAAATAGGTTAATATTTGTGGTTATATATGATTCACTTCATTAATAATATATATGTAGCTAATGTTTAGGGAAAATATTGCTTATAATATTATTTTCTTAAGGTTCTTGTTAGAATATGGTAATTTGATATCAGAGTTATGTTGGATGCACAGAACAGATTGGGAGGCTTTCCTTTTGCTCTTTTGTGTTAAAGAGTTTGGATAAGGATTTCCCGGGCGAGATGGCTGAATAGGAACAGCTCCAGTCTGCAGCTCCCAGCAAGACCAATGCAGGAGGTGGGTGATTTCTTCATTTCCAACTGAGGATCACAACTCCTCGCCAGCAAGGGAACAAAATTGGATGGAGAATGAGTTTGACAAATTGACAGAAGTAGGCTTCAGAAGGTGGGTAATAACAAACTCCTCCGAGTTAAAGGAGCATGTTCTTATCCAATGCAAAGAAGCTAAGAACCTTGATAAAAGGTTAGAGGAATTTCTAACTAGAATAACCAGTTTAGAGAAGAATGTAAATGACTTGATGAAGCTGAAAAATACAGCATGAGAACTTCGTGATGCATACACAAGTATCAATAGCCAAATCAATCAAGCAGAAGAAAGGATATCAGAGACTGAAGATCAACTTAATGAAATAAAGCACGAAGACAAGATTAGAGAAAAAAGAATGCAAAGGAACTAACAAAGCCTCCAAGAAATATGGGACTATGTGAAAAGACCAAACTTATGTTTGACTGGTGTACCTGAAAGTGACAGGGAGAATGGAACCAAGTTGGAAAACACACTTCAGGGTATTATCCAGGACAACTTCCCCAACCTAGCAATACAGGCCAACATTCAAAT
This sequence comes from Homo sapiens, assembly GCF_000001405.40. Taxonomy (NCBI): domain Eukaryota; kingdom Metazoa; phylum Chordata; class Mammalia; order Primates; family Hominidae; genus Homo; species Homo sapiens. The sequence continues at coordinate 94,820,852 of NC_000007.14, read as the reverse complement.
TCAGGAAATACAGAGAACACCACAAAGATACTCCTCGAGAAGGGCAACCCCAAGACTCATAATCATCAGATTCACCAAGGTTGAAGTAAAGGAAAACATTTTGAGGGCAGCCAGAGAGAAAGGTCTAGTTACCCACATAGGAAAGACCATCAGACAAACAGTGGATCTCTCAGCAGAAACCCTACAAGCCAAAAGGTAGTGGGGGCCAATATTCAACATTCTTAAAGAAAAGAATTTTCAACCCAGAGTTTCATATCCAGCCAAGCTAAACTTCGTAAGTGAAGGAGAAATAAAACGCTTCATAGACAAGCAAATGCTGAGAGATTTTGTCACCACCAGGCCTGCCTTACAAGAGCTCCTGCACTAACTAGGGAAAAGAAAAACCAGTACCAGCATCTGGAAAAACAAACCAAAATGTAAAGACCATCGACACTATGAAGAAACTACATCAACTAATGGGCGAAATAACCAGCTAGCATCATAATGACAGGATTAAATTCACACATAATAATATTAACCTTAATTGTAAATGGGCTAAAGGCCCCAATTAAAAGGCACAGGCTGGCAAATTGGATAAAGAGTCAAGATTCATCAGTGTCCTGTATTCAGGGGACCCATCTCACGTGCAAAGACACACATAGGCTCAAAATAAAGGGAGGTAGGAATATTTACCAAGCAAATGGAAAGCAAAGAAACAAAAAAAAAGAGCAGGAATTGCAATCCTAGTCTCCAATAAAACAAACTTCAAAGCAACAAAGATCAAAAAAGACAAAGAAGGCCATTACATAATGGTAAAGGGATCAATGCAACAAGAAGAGCTAACTATCCTAAATATATATGCACCCAACACAGGAGCACCCAGATTCATAAAGCAAGTTCTTAGAAACCCACAAAGAGACTTAGACTCCCACACAATAATAATGGGAGACTTTAACACCCCACTGTCAATATTAGATGAACAAGACAGAAAATTAACAAGGATATTCAGGATTTGAACTCAGCTCTGGACAAAGCCGACCTAATAGATATCTGTAGAAGATCGGTCAGGGTGGTGGGAAAAATTATAAGGAAAGACACAAACCTTCTTGGAAGGCCAGGAGATTTTGCAAAAGCTTTGGGAGAGAAGCTGAAGGCAGCTGATTCTGTTATCTGGAAGCTGAGAGCAAAGGGTAGATAACAAGGGAATGTAAAGGAACTTATGTAGATAAATTGGTTTAGTTATGTCTCCAGAAACCAACCTTTGATCATGCACGCACAGGGCTGCTCTCTATTCGGGGGGGGGGGGGCGGTCAACAATGTTAATTAACCACAAATTGTGTTTCCTCCAAGCCTTTGTCATTAAATCTGGACTAAATAAATGCAAGTGTTGCCAGCTTATCGAGGCTGCACTCTTGTCAGTGGTGCTAAGCCATGCGGTCCCCTAGCCACACTGTCAGGCACAATACCCATGTCACTGTCAGCAGACTTCTGTCATTGTTTGCTCTGGCAGAGTCTGCCGGACAGACTCAGCAGACATCTACAGAAATCTCCACCCCAAATCAACAGAATATACATTCTTCTCAGCACCACATTGCACTTATTCTAAAATCGACCACATAATTGGAAGTAAAACACTCCTCAGCAAATGCAAAAGGAAGGCAATTATAACAGTCTCTCAGACCACAGTGCAATCAAATTAGAGCTCAGGATTAAGAAACTTACTCAAAACTGCACAACTACATGAAAACTGAACAACCTACTCCTTAATTACTACTGGGTAAATAATGAAATTCAGGCAGAAATAAATAAGTTCTTTGAAACCAGTGAGAACAAAGACACAACATACCAGAATCTCTGGGGCACAGTTAAAGCAGTGTTTAGAGGGAAATTCATAGCACTAAATGCCCACAGGAGAAAGTGGGAAATAACTAAAATCAACACCCTAACATCACAATTAAAAGAACTAGAGAAGCAAGAGCAAACAAATTGAAAAGCTGGCAGAAGACAAGAAATAACTAAGATCAGAGCAGAGTTGAAGGAGATAGAGACACAAAAAACCCTTCAAAAAAATCAATGAATCCAAGAGCTGGTTTTTTAAAAAAGATTAGCAAGATAGATAGACCGCTAGCCAGACTAATAAAGAAGAAAAGAGAAGAATCAAATAGACACAATAAAAAATGATAAAGGGGAGATCACCACTGATCCCACAGAAATACAAACTACCCACAGAGAATACTATAAACACCTCTATGCAAATAAACTAGAAAATTTAGAAGAATTGGATAAATTCCTGAACACATACACCCTCCCAAGACTAACCCAAGAAAGAAGTCCAATTCCTGAATAGACCAATAACAAGTCTGAAATTGAGGCGGTACTTAATAGCCTACCAAATAAATAAAGTCCAGAACCAGACGGATTCAGAGCTGAATTCTACCAGAGGTACAAAGAGGAGCTGGTACCATTCCTTCCAAAACTATTCCAAACAATAGAAAAAGAGGGACTCCTCCCAAACTCATTTTATGAGGCCAGCATCATCCTGATACCAAAGCCTGGCAGAGACACAACAAAAAAAGAAAATTTCAGGCCAATATTCCTGATGAACATTGATGCAAAAAATCCTCAATAAAATACTGGCAAACCAAATCCAGCAGCACATCAAAAAGCTTATCTACCATGATCAAGTCGGCTTCACCTCTGGGATGCAAGGCTAGTTCAACATATTCAAATCAATAAATGTAATCCATCACATAAACAGAACCAATGACAAAAACCACATGATAATCTCAATAGACGCAAAAAAGGCCTTCGATAAAATTCAACACACCTTCATTCTAAAATCTCTCAATAAGCTAGGTATTGATGGAACTTATCTCAAAATAACAAGAGCTATTTATGACAAAACCACAGCCAGTATCATACTGAATGAGCAAAAGCTGGAAGCATTCCCTTAGAAAACTGACACAAGACAAGGATGCCCTCTCTCATCACTCCTATTCAACACAGTATTGGAAGTTCTGGCCAGGGCAATCAGGCAAGAGAAAGAAATAAAGCATATTCAGATAGGAAGAGAGGAAGTCAAATTGTCTCTGTTTGCAGATGACATGGTTGTATATTTAGAAAACCCCATCGTCTCAGCCTAAAAACTCCTTAAGCTGATAAGCAACTTCAGCAAAGTCTCAGGATAAAAATATCAATGTGCAAAAATGACAAGCATTCCTATACACCAATAATAGACAAACAGAGAACTAAATCATGACCAAATTCCCATTCCCATTTGCTACAAAGAGAATAAAATACCTAGGAACACAACTTACAAGGGATGTGAAGGACCTCTTCAAGGAGAACTACAAACCACTGCTCAACGAAATAAAAGAAGACACAAACAAATGGAAGAACATTCCATGCTCGTAGATAGGAAGAATCAAGACTGTGAAAATGGCCATACTACCCAAAGTAATCTATAGATTCAATGCTATTCTCCTCAAGCTCCCACTGACATTCTTCGCAGAATTAGAAAAAAACTACTTTAAATTTCATATGGAACCAAAAAGAGCCTATATAGGCAAGACAATCCTAAGCAAAAAGAACAAAGCTGGAGGCATCATGCTACCTGACTTCAAACTATATGACAAAGCTACAGTAACCAAAATAGCATGGTACCAAAACCATGCTACCAAAACTGGTACCAAAACAGATATATAGACCAATGGAACAGAACAGAGGCCTCAGAAATAACACCACACATCTACAATCATCTGTTTTTTGACAAGCCTGATGAAAACAAGCAATGGAGAAAGGATTCCCTATTTAATAAATGGTGCTGGGAAAACTCACTAGCCACATGCAGAAAACTGAAACTGAACCCCTTACTTACACCTTATACAAAAATTAACTCAAGATGGATTAAAGATTTAAATGTAAGACCTAAAACCATAAAAATCCTAGAAGAAAACCTAGGCAATACCATTCAGGACATAGGCAAGGGAAAAGACTTCATGACTGAAACACCAAAAGCAATGGCAACAAAAGCCAAAATTGACAAATGGGATCTAATTAAACTAAAGAGCTTCTGCACAGCAAAAGAAACTATAATCAGAGTGAACAGGCAGCCTACAGCATGGGAGAAAATTTTTGCAATCTATCCATCTGACAAAGGGCTAATATCCAGAATCCACAAAGAACTTAAACAGATTTACAAGAAAAAAACAAACAACCCCATCAAGAAATGGGCAAAGGATATGAACAGACACTTTTTGAAAGAAGACATTTATGTGGGCAAGAAACATGAAAAAAGCTCATCATCACTGGTCATTAGAGAAATGCAAATCAAAACCACAATGAGATACCATCTCATGCCAGTTAGAGTGGTGATCATTAAAAAGTCAGGAAACAACAGATATTGGAGAGGCTGTGGAGAAATACAAACACTTTTACACTGTTGGTTGGAGTGTAAATTCGTTCAACCATTGTGGAAGACAGTGTGGTGATTCCTCAAGGATGTAGAACTAGAAATACCATTTAACCCAGCAATCCCATTACTGGATATATTCCCAAAGGATTATAAATAATTCTACTATAAAGACACATGCACATGTTTGTTTATTATGGCACTATTCACAATAGCAAAGACTTGGAACCAACCCAAATGCCCATCAGTGTTAGACTGGATAAAGAAAATGTGGCACATATACACCATGGAATACTATGCAGCCATAAAAAAGCTGAGTTCATGTTCTTTGCAGGGACATGAATGAAACTGGAAACCATCATTCTCAGCAAACTAACACAGGGACAGAAAACCAAACACCACATGCTCTCATTGGTAAGTGGGAGTTGAACAATGGGAACATATGGGCACAGGGAGGGAAACATCACACACTGGGGCCTCTCAGGGGGTGGGTGGAAAGGGGAGGTGTAGCATGAGGAGAAATACCTAATGTAGATGACGGGTTGATGGGTGCAGCAAACCACCATGGCACATGTATACCTATGTAACAAACTTACACATTCTGCACATGTATCCCAGAATGTAAAGTATAATAAAAAGAAAAAAGAAAAAAGAAGAGTTTGGATAAGACTCGTATGATTTCTTCCTTAAATGTTTGAAAAAATTTGCTTGTCAAGTCACCATGGCCTGAAGTTTTCATTGTGGAAAGAATTATATTACACTTACAGAAAAAGGATGATTCATATTTTCTATTTCTTTTGGTATTCGTTAAGTTTTTAAAGGAATTTTGTTACTTTATGCAATCCACTAAATTTATAATTATTCTATAATTTTCTAATAAATGCATTTAGAATGGTTCCCTTTTAATTGTGATTGCATTTTTTCCATTTTTGATAGTGTAACCTGTATTTTATCATTTTTAACAATTTCTAGATCAGTCTTAGAAGGGGTTATCAATTTTAAAACATTTCCCAAGAACTAACTTTATTTCTATGGATTACTTCTATTGTACGCCTGCTTTTTAATTTACTTTTATTCTTGTCTTCATTATTTTCTTTTTTTTAAAGTTTTTTTTCGGTTTAATTTGCTCTTCTTTTTCTGTTTTCTTGAGAATGGAAACAGTTTTTTCCACTTTTCATTTTTCTAATATATGAATATAAAGTAAACAATTTCCCTTTCAGTACTTAATTGTATTCCTCAAATTTTGACACCTAGTATATTTTTTCCCAAGTAAAATGCCAGAATGTAGACACATCATAGTTTTTATTGAGTTTGAGGTGTTTTCTAATTTTCATTGTGATTACTTTCTTACTTATTGAGTTGCTTAGAAATGTGTTGTTTAATATCCATATATTTAGGGAATTTTCTATTTCTGCTGTAGATTTTTAATTTAATACTGTATAATTTCTTTTTTTGTAATTTATGAAGACATGCATGGTCCAATGTATGATCTATTTTCAGTAACATTTCTTGTGCACTTGAAAATTATGTATTCTGTATTTGTTGGATGTAGTAATCCCAACATGTCATTTAGGTCACATTGGTTAATAGTATTATTCAAATCTTCTACATTCTTACTGATTTTTTTTGGTCTGTTTGTTGTAATAATTGCTGAAAGAGTTGTGTTAGTATCTTTTACTGTGATCCACAAAGGTTTACCTATTATTTCTCTCTTGATTTTGTCCATTTTTATTTTGTATGTTTTGAAACTGTGGTTAGGTGGAAATAAAATTACAATTTTTTTTGCTTCCTGGTGAATTGGTTCTTTAATAATGAGATGTACATCTTTAACTCTAGAAATGCTATCTACATCATAGTTTACTTTGCCTTATACTGAATTAATATAGTTATACCAGGTTTCTCTTGGTTAATATTTGCATGGTATATATTTTTGTACTCTTATACTTTCAGCATATCAATTTTTATACTTTTAAGTGTGTTTATTGTGAATAGAATATATTTGGGCCATTTAAAAAAATCTGTCTTACTGTCTTCTTTTGATTGTAGTGCTTACATGCAATGTAGTTACTGGTGTAGTTGGATTAAATCTACCATGTCAGCTTGGTAAGGCTACTGTAACAAAATATTTAGACTGGGTAATTTATATAAAACAGAAATTTGTTTTTTATATTAGTTATTTATTTATACTAGTTACTGAGGCCAGAAAGTCCATGATCAAGGTTCCAGCAGATTTGGTGTCTGGTGCTCTTTACTCTTTGTTTTATAGATGTCACCTCTTGCTATGTCCTCACATGATTGAAGGGCCAAGCACACTACCTCAAGCCCTTTATAACGGTATAAATGCCATTCACGAGAGTGGAACTCTCATTAAATTACATCCTAGGCCAGGCACAGTGACTCATGCCTGTAATCCCAACACTTTGAGAGGCCGAGGCAGATAGATCACCTGAGGTCAGCCTGCCCAACATGGTGAAACCCAATCTCTACTAAATACAAAAAATTAGCCAGGCATGGTGACCAGTGCCTGTAATCCCAGCTACTCAGGAGGCTGAGGGAGGAGAGCCTCTTGAACCTGGGAGGTGGAGGTTGCAGCGAGCCAAGATTGCACCATTGCACACTAGCCTGTGCGACAGAGCAAGACTCCGTAAAGGTCCACCTTTTGATATACTGCTTTGAGGATTAAGGTTCAGCATAAATTTTGGATGAACAGAAACATTCAAACCATCTTATTGCTTGTTTTTAATATTTGTTTCATTTATTATTGTTCCAATTTTTTCCTGCCTTTCTGTTGGATTAAACAAGTTGTTGTTGTTGTTGTTGTTGTTTGAGACAGAGTCTCTGTTGCCCAGGCTGGAGTGCAGTGGCACCATCTCGGTTCACTGCAACCTCCACCTCCCAGGTTCAAGCGATTCTCCTGCCTCAGCCTCCCAAGTAGCTGGGACTACAAGTGCCTGCCACCATGCCCTACTAATTTTTGTATTTTTAGTAGAGACAGCATTTCGCCAAGTTGGCCAGGCTGGCCTCAAACTCCTGACATCAGGTGATCTGCCCACCTCAGCTTCCCAAAGTGCTGGGATTACAGGTGTGAGCCACCGTACCTGGCCAGATTAAACAAGTATTTTAAAAATTACTGTTTTGTCTTTTGTAGCTTTTTAGATATATTCTTTGTATTATTCTTTGAGGGATTATGTTATCGGGTATAGTAATCTTTGACTTATTCCAGACTACATTGTTAATAATTTTACCATTTTATGAGCAATTTAGAAACCTTTTGTAACTTATTTTTGTAAAGAAAAAAGAAAAGGGGGGAAAAAACCTTTCCACAGCTTAACTACATTTACCAATCTCCTGCCCTTCATGCTATTACCATTGTATATTTCACTTCTACATTTGTTATAAACTCTGTAAGACATTGATGTTGTTCCTGATTTAAATACTTTTTAAAAATTCATATTTACCCACATACTTACCTTTTCTTCATTTCTTTCTGCACTTCTATGCTTCCATCTGGTATCAGTTTATTTTAGCCTGGATAATTTATTTTAGTATTTCTTTTTAAAAGATTTGTAAAAATATTATGGGGCATACATGAATTTTTTTACATGTATATTATTCAGAGTGATCAAGTCAGGGTTTCTAGGGTGTCTATCACCCGAGTACAATACATTTTTGTTAATACAGGCGTCCTGTTATCAAACATTGAATATAAGCCTCTGTTAACAAACATTGAATTTATTCCTTCTATCTTACTGTATGTTCATACACTCTAACCCACTTCTCTTCATTCTCTCCTCCTCCCTCAAATCATCCTTCCCAGTCCCTGTTATCTACCTTTTCATTCTCTACCTCCATGTGATAAAATTTGTTACTTCTCACATATAAGTGAGAACACATGATATTTGTCTTGTTTTGCTTGGCCTGTTTCATTTAAGATAATGAACTCCAGTTCCATCCAGGTCGGTGCAAATGAAATGAAGTCATTCTTTTTTATGGCCAAATAGTATTACATTGTGTATATATACCACATTTTCTTTATCCGTTCATCAGTTGATGGACATTTTGGTTGATTCCATATCTTTGCTATTGTGAATAGTGCTGTAATAAACATGTCACTGTAGGTATCACCTTGCAATATTGACTTCTTTTCCTTTGGGTAAATACCCAGTAGTGGGATTGCTGGATTGATAATTCTATTTTTAGTTTTTTGAGAAACTCCCACACTATTTTCCATAGTGACCATACTACTTTACATTCCCAACAACAGTGTATAAGAGTTTCTTTTTCTCCACATCCTCAGCAACATCTGTTAAGTCTTTTTAATAATAGCTATTCTCACTGAGTAAGAGGATATCTCATCATGGTTTTGATTTGCATTTCTTTGATGATTAGTGATGTTGGGCATTTTTTCATATACTTATTGGCCATTTGCATGTATTCTTTTGAGAAATGTCTATTCATGTCCTTTGCCTACTTTTTAATAGGATTATTTGTTTTTTCCTGTTGAGTTGCTTGAGTTCCTTGTATAATCTGGATATAGCCCTCTGTTGGATGAGTAATATGCAAATATTTTCTCCCATTCAATAGGCTGTCTCTTCACTCTGTTGACTATTTCTTTCATTGTGCATGAGCTTTTTAGTTTAATATAGTCCCATTTATCTATTTCTAGTTGTGTTGCTTTTACTTTTGGGTCTTAGTCATACATTTTTTGCCTAGACCAATGTCCTGGAATGTTTTTTGTAGGTTTTCTTTTAGTACTTTCATGGCTTTGGGCCCTACATTTAAGTCTTTAACCCACCTTTAGTTGAATTTTGTATATGGTGAGAGATAGGGGTCCAACTTCATTCTTATGCATGTGGCTATCTAATTTTCCCAGCAGCATTTGTTGAAGAGGGTGTCCTTTCTTCAATGTAGGTTTTTGTCAGCTTTGTCAAAGATCAGTTGTGTTAAATATGTGACTTTATTTCTGGGTTCTCTAAGCTGTTGCATTGGTCTATGTGGTCTATCTTTGTACTAAGACTGTGATGTTTTGGTTACTATGGCCTTGTAATATATTCTGAAGCTAAGTAATGTAATGCTTTCAGCTTTCCCCCCTGCCCTGCCTCCCCAGGATTGCTTTGGATATTCAGGCTCTTTTTTGGTTCCATATGATAAATTTTTTCTAATTTATTACTTATTTAAAAAGAATTGCTTTTCCCTAAATATTCAAATAATGACATTAGTATTTCAGTAGGGATTGCACTGAATCTGTAGGTTGCTGTAGGCATTATGGTCATTTAAACAATATTGATTCTTCCAATCCATGAGCATAGAATGTTTTTCCATTTGTTTGTGTCCTCTTCAATTTTTTTCATTAGAGTTTTGTAGTTTTCCTTGTAGAGATCTTTCACCTTCTTGGTTAAATTCATTCCCATGTATTTTATTTTTTAGGTAGTTATTGTAAATGGGATTGCCTTTTGATTTGATTATCTATTTGATTGTTATTGGTGTATAGAAACACTACTGATTTTTGTACACTGATTGTCCTGCATCTTTACTAAATTCATTTATCAAATGTGAGAGTTTTTGGGTGGACTCTTTAGGTTTTCCAAATCATCAACAAAGAGGGACAATTTGACTTCCTCTTTTCCAGTTTGGATGCCTTTTATTTCATTCTTTTGCTTGATTTCTCTGGCTAGGACTTCCAGTACTATGTTGAATAGGAGTGGGGAAAGTGGGCGTCTTGTCTTGTTCCAGTTTTTAGAGGAAGGAATTTCAACTTTCCCACATTCACTATGATGTCAGCTGCGGGTTTGTCATATAAAGGCTTTATTATTTTGAGGTATGTTCGTTCTCTGTCTAGTTTAGTGAGAAGTTTTTTTTTTAATCATGAAGGAATGTTGATGTGACAGTTAGTATTAAGTGTCAACTTAATTGGACTGAAGGATGCCTAGATGTTTGGTAAAGTAATGTTTCTGAGTGTGTGTCTGTGAGGGTGTTTCCAGAGGAGACTGACACTTGAGTCAGTGGACTGGGAGAGGAAGCCCCACTCTCAATTTGGGTGAGCATCATCCAATTGGCTGCCAAGGTGGCAAGAACAAAACAGGTGGAAAAAGGTGGGATAATCTTGTTTGCTGAATTTTTTGTTTCTTGTTTAGCTTCATTCTTTTTCCCATGCTGGATGCTTCCTTTCACTCCTCCTTCCCTTGAACATCAAACCTCAGATTCTTTGGCCTTTGCGCTCTAGGACTTGCACCAGTGGCTCGCTGGGGAGTCTTGGGCTTTTGTCCGCAGACTGAAGGCCACACTGTCAGCTTTCCTGGTTTTGAGGCTTTCAGACTCGTACTGAACCATTACCTGCTTCTCTCTTCCCCAGCTTGCAGATGACCTACTGTGAGATTTCACCTTGTAATCATGTGAGACAATTATCCCTAATAAACTCCCTTTCATGTATACATATATCCTACTAGTTCTGTCCCTGATTAATATAGTTTAATTTTTTCAAATGCTTTTTCTGCATCTACTGAGATAATCATATGGCTTTTGTCCTTTCTTCTGTTGATGTGATGTTTCATGTTTAGTGATTTGTGTATGTTGAATCACCCTTGCATTCTTGGTATAAATCACACTTGATTATGATGCATTACCTTTTTGATGTGCTGTTGAATTTGGTTTGCGAGTATTTTGTTATGGATTTTTGCATCTATGCTCATCAGGGATACTGGCTTGAAGTTTTCATTTTTTGTTGTGCGCTTGTCTGGTTTTAAAATCAGAGTGATGCTGGCCTCATAGAATGAGTTGGGGAGAACTCTCTCCTCTTTGATTTTCTGGAATAGTTCCAAGAAGATTGGTATTACTTCTTTGTATGTTTTGTAGAATTTGGCTATGAATCTAACCAGCCCTGGGCATTTCTTTATTGGGAGACTTTTAAAATTTTTTAAATTTAATTTTTAAAATTTGTTTGTTGTTACATTTTTTAAAAATAATAATATTTTTTAAGTTCTGGGGCACATGTGCAGATATGCAGGTTTGTTACATAGGCAAACGTGTGCCATGGTGGTTTGCTGCACCTACCAACCTATCACCCAGGTATTAAGCCCAGCATGCATTAGCTCTTTTCCCTAATGCTCTCCCCACACACCCTCTCCTGTCAGGCCCCAGAAAGTGTTGTTTCCCTTCCTGTGTCCATGTGTTCTTGTTGCTCAGCTCCCACTTATAAATGAAAACATGTTGTGTTTGGTTTTCTGTTCCTGAATTAGTTTGCTGAGGATGATGGCTTCCAGCTTTATCCATGTTCCTGAAAAGGACATGATCCCATTCCTTTTTATGGCTGCATAGTATTCCATGGTGTATGTGTATCACATTTTCTTTATTCAGTCTATCATTGATGGGCATTTGGGTTGATCCCATGTCCTTGCTATTGTGAATAGTGGTGCAATGAACATATGCATGTATGTATCTCTATAATAGAATGATTTATATTCCTTTGGGTATATAACCAGTAATGGGATTGCTGGGTCAAATGGTATTTCCGGTTCCAAATCTTTGATGACTCACCACACTATCTTCCACAATGGTTGAATTAATTTACATTCCAACCAACAGTGTAAAAGCATTCCTATTTCTCTGCAACCTCATCAGCATTTGTTGTTTCCTGACTTTTTAAGAATTGCCATTCTGACTGGCATGAGATGGTATTTCACTGTGGTTTTGATTGCATTTCTCTAATGATCAGTGATGTTGAGCTGTTTTTCATATGTTTGTTTGCCACATGTATGTCCTTTTTTGAGAAGCATCTGTTCATATCCTTTGACCACTTTTTAATGGGGTTTTCTTGTAAATTTGCTTAAGTTTATTGGGAGACTTACTACTGATTCAATCTGACTACTTGTTATCAGTCTGTTAAGGTTCCGTGTTTCCTCTGGATTCAATCTTGGTAGGTTGTATATTTCTAGGAATTTATCCATTTCCTCTAGGTTTTCCAGTTTATCTGTACATAGCTGATCATAATATTCTCTGATGACCTTTCATATTTCTGTGGTACCCATTGTAATGTCTCCCTTTTCTGATTTATTTGGGTGTTCTCTTTTTATTTCTTGGTTAGTCTAGCTAGAAGTTTATCAATTTTGTTTATCTTTTCTAAGAACCAACTTTTTGTTTCCTTGATCCTTCGTATATTTTTAAGTCTGTATTTTGTTTAGTTTTGCTCTTTATTATTTCTTCTGCTAAATCTGGCTTTGGTTTTTTCATGTTTTTCTAATTTCTTAAGGGGCTTCATTAGATTGTTCATTTGTAATCTTTCTACTTTCTCGAGGTAAGCATTTGTTACTATGAAATTCCCTCATTACACTGTTTTTGCTGTATTCCACAAGTTTTGGTGGATTGTATTTCCATTTTCATTTGTTTCAAGAAATTTTTTTAAATGTCCACCTTAATTTCTTCATTCACTCAGGGGTCATTCAGGAGCATGTTTTTACATTTCCATTTAGTTGTATTGTTTTCAATGTTCATCTTGATGTTGATTTCTGTTGTGGGAAGTCAGGGACCCCAAACGGAGGGACCGGCTGAAGCCATGGCAGAAGAACGTGGATTGTGAAGATTTCATGGACATTTATTAGTTCCAAATTAATACTTTTATCATTTCTTATGTCTGTCTTTATTGCAATCTCTAAACATAAATTGTAAAGATTTCATGGACACTTATCACTTCCCCAATCAATACCCTTGTGATTTCCTATGCCTGTCTTTACTTTAATCTCTTAATCCTGTCAGCTGAGGAGGATGTATATCGCCTCAGGACCCTGTAATAATTGCATTAACTGCACAAATTGTACAGCATGTGGGTTTGAGCAATATGAAATCTGGGCACCTTGAAAAAAAGAACAGGATAACAGCAATGTTTAGGAAACAAGAGAGATAACCTTAAACTCTTACCGCTGGTGACCCGGGCGGAACACAGCCATATTTCTCTTCTTTCAAAAGCAAATGGGAGAAATATCGCTGAATTCTTTTTCTCAGCAAGGAACATCCCTGAGAAAGAGAATGCGCACCTGGGGGTGGGTCTCTGAACTGGATCCCCTGGGCATGGCCATCTCCTGTGGTCGAGACTGCAGGGGTGAAATAGACCCCAGTCTCCCATAGTGCTCCCAGGCTTATTAGGAAGAGGAAATTCCCGCCTAATAAATTTTGGTCAGACTGGTTGATCTCAAAACCCTGTCTCCTGATAAGATGTCAATGACAATGGTGCCCAAAACTTCATTAGCAATTTTAATTTCGCCCCGGTCCTATAGTCCTGTGATCTCGCCCTGCCTCCACTTGCCTTGTGATATTCTATTACCTTGTAAAGTACTTGATGTCTGTGACCCACACCTATTCGCACACTCCCTCTCCTTTTGAAACTCCCTAATAAAAACTTGCTGGTTTTTGCGGTTTGTGGGGCATCACGGAACCTACCGACATGTGATGTCTCCCCTGGATGCCCAGCTTTAAAATTTCTCTCTTTTGTACTTTGTCCCTTTATTTCTCAAGCTGGCCGATGCTTAAGGAAAATAGAAAAGAACCTACGTGAGTATCGGGGCAGATTCCCTGATAGATTTCTAGTTTTATTCTATTGCGGTCTGAGAAGATACTTGATATAATTTTGATCCAAAATTTTTTAGACTTGTTTTGTGTCCTAACATATTGTCTACCCTGATGAATGTTTCATGTGCTAGTGAAAAGAATGTATGCAGACAGTTAGATAAAATGTTCTGTAAACCTCTATAACATCCATTTGGTCTGAAGTCCAGTTTAAACCCAGTGTTTCTTAGTTGAATTTCTGTCTAGCTAATCTGTCTTATGCTGAGAATGGGGTCTATTATTGTATTGTAGTTTATCTTTCTCTTTAGATCTAGTAATATTTGCTTTATGAATCTGTGTGCTCCCTGCTTCTCTCTCTTGCAATTATATATATATATATCTCTCTCTCGCAACTATATATGTGTATATAATATATATACACACATATATGTATATAATATATACACACATATATACATATATAATATACACATATATATGTGTATATTATATATGTATATACACATATATAGTTGCGAGAGAGAGAAGCAGCTCTCGCAACTTCTTTGTACAATAATCAGGAAAAAATTGGCCTTATACAATTATTTTATTCTTAATTATTGTGAGTCATATGGTTTGAAAGCTGAGTTCTGTAAGCAAAGCCAAAAGTCATTTTTCTATTTTTTAATTTGTTTATAGATTGTAAATAAAACAATTTTTAAAATGTGAAGGTAAGCACAATTAAAGGTGTTCATTATTAGATATAGTTTAGTCACTCTAACCAAACATATTTACTAACATATTATGCAAATTAACACATTTATTTAGCACAATAATTATTATTCAGAAGGATTGAGGGATTTTTTTTTTTTAAAAGCATGGGGCCTTTGCTAACAAAGCCTCAGAAGTCATGTAGCATCTCTACTGGCACATTCTATTCATTGATGAGTCCTCCCTGGTTCAAGTGGAGGGATTGTGGACTCCTCTTTATGAGAGGAGCATCAACAAATTTGTGTAAGTGATTTAAAACTACCACAATGACTGCCTGTTTCTGTCTAAAATCCAGATAAGTCTTTTTGGTAGATTGCATTATTGGCCCAATTATTCAACTACCTCTGTATGACAATCTGTTTTAGTCTAGTTTGGATGAGATAACAAAATACCATAGACTGGGCAGCTTAAACAATAGAAATTTATTCTATCATAGTTATGAAGGCTGAGAAATCCAAGATCAAGGTGCCAACAGATTTGATTCTTGGTGAGAGCCTGCTTCCTTGCTTAAAGATAGCCAACTTCTCGCTCTGTCCTCACATAGTGGAAAGAGGAAGCTGTTGCCTTCCTCTTACAAGAGCACTAATCTCATCATGGGGGCTTTACCCTCATGACTTTATCTAAACCTAATTATCTTTCAAAGAATCTACCTCTTAATATCATCATATTGGGAGTTAGGGCTTTGACTTATACATTTAGGGGAAACACAAATGTTCAGTCCATAACACAACACTTCCATGTAACTTTGCAGTCTCTTGTATGCCTTCATAGGAAAGGTAATTTTTTTTTCTGCCCATTGACTTTAGCCATGAACATGTGGAATTGCTTTGGTCAATAATATATTAGCAGAAGTAACGCAGCAGAATTTGAAATGCTCTTGGGTCATAGGGATGCCCTCTTGAGCTTTGTCACTGCCATTAGAACTTTATCTAGCTTTATTTTAGGTCCCAGAAGGAAGATGAAAGAGTTAGAAAGCAGATCCATCCCAGCTACCACAATCTGAAAAGGAAGCACCCCAGCAAACCTACAGAATTATAGGAAAAAGCAGACGTGCCCAGCCAAATTCCTCCCAGGCCAGCTAAACTCCAGGAAAGCCACAGATAAATAAATATTTTAAGCTACTTAGTTTTGGGGTTGTTTGCAATGCAGCAATAGTCAACCAAACTAGTTTTATATTATTCAAGTATACCCTGATTTAACTTTCCACAGTGGAATTACAAAATATTTCTATATATGTCATTTATATTTCCTTTCAAGTGTATGCTTAAGTGTTTTTGCTTTTGTGTTGTTACTTGAACGAGTGTTGTTGCATTACATTTTTGAATTGTAGACAGCAAGGCAATTAAGATTTGATTATGAATTTTGCTTCCAACTACTTTATGTCTTATTATCACTAATACCTTTATAATAGTAATTGTAAAAACTTGATTTTATTTTGTATAGATACCATATGGTTTGATTATATTTAAATCTATGTTTCACTGTATTTAAAGTTTAACACTACATTTTTTTTCATTCAGAATCTTACCAGGGAGTTTATTATTTCAAGTCATCTTTTATGTAACTGGACAATATCCTTAAATGATTTTTTAATCGACTCAATATAGACATAATTTACATGCAACAAAATATGCATATTTTAAGTGTATAGTTTAATGAGTTTTGACAAACATATACAACTACGTAACCACCACTATAATCAAGATTCAGAATGTTTCAATTACTCTAAAAGGATCTGTTGAGCCCCTCTGAAGTCAAACTCTATCCTGAACTGCAAAGTATCCCAGATCTCCTTTCTGTCAAAATAATTCTCTTCAAGAATTTGGTAAAACTGTAATCATACAGTATATATTCCCTTGTATCTGGCTTCTGTGGTTTAACACAATATTTTTGCAATTTATTCATGTATCAGAATTATTGCTGAATTAAAAATTTTTTAAATTACCAAATAGTATTTTGGTATATGAATTTATCAAAATTTACTCATTTGCTAATCAATAGACATTTGGGATGTTTCCAGATTTGGGTTGGTATGTTAATCACTCACATTCTTATTTAAGTACTATTCTTTTGTGAGTCTTTTATTAGATATGTCATTTCTCTTAAATATATACCTAACAATAGAATTGCTGAGTCATGAGGTAGATGTATTTTTATTGTTATTAGAAATTGCCAAAAAGGTGGCCAGGCATGGCGGCTCACACCTGTAATCCTAGCACTTTAGAAAGTTGAGGCAGGCAGATCACCTGAGGTCAGGAGTTCAAGACCAGCCTGGCCAACATGGCGAAAACCCATCTTTACTAAAAATACAAAGAAAAAAAAAATTAGCCAGGTATGGTGGTGGGTGCCTGTAATCATGGCTACTCGGGAGGCTGAGGTAGGATAATTGCTTAAACCAGGGGGCCAGATTTGCAGTGAGCTGAGATTACACCACTGCACTCTAGCCTGGGCAACAGAGTGAGACTCCATCTCAAAAAAAAAAAAAAATTGCCAGAAAGGCTTACAAAATGGTTTTACTATTATAAACTTCTACCAACAATCTATGAATGTTCCAGTTGCTCCACATTCTTATCAATATTTGGTAATATTAGGTGGGTGCAAAAGTAATCCTGGTTTTTGCCATTACTTTTAATGTTTTATATTAAGGTTTTCAATTTTAGCCATTCTAGTGGATAGGTAGTGTTATCAAATTGTGGTCTTAATTTGCATTTCTATAATGAATAAGGATGTTGTGGAACATCTTTTCATTTATAGTCATGTATCACTTAACAACAGGGATGTTTCCTGAGAAGTGTGTTATTAGGTGATTTTGTTGTTGTGCGAATATCATAGACTGTACTTACACAAACCTAGATATTATAGCCTACTACACACTAGGCTGTGTGGTATAGCCTATTGCTCCTAGGCTACAAACCTGTAGAGCATGTTAAAGTGTTGAACACTGTAGGGAACTGTAATACAATGGTAGGTATTTGTGTATCTAAACATAGAAAAAGTATAGTAAAAATATTATACAAAAATACAAAATGGTCCACCTGTATAGGGTACTTACCATAAATGGAGCTTCCCAGACTGGAATTTGCTCTGGGGAGTCTGTAAGTGAGTGGTGAGTGAATGGAAATGCCTAGACATTATTGTACACTACTGTAGACTTTAGAAACACTGTATATGTAAGCTACACTTAATCTATTGAAAAATATTTCTCTTTCATCAGTAATAAATTAACCTTAGCTTATTGTAATTTTTTTACTTTATAAACATTTAAATTTTGTAACTTTTCAACTTTCTTATAATAACACTTAGCTTAAAACACAAACACACTGTATAGCTATACAAAAATATTTTTTCTTTCTACCCTTATTCTATAACATTTTCTGTTCAAAAATTTTCATAAATTTTTTCACTGTTTAAACTTTTCTGTTAAAAACTAAGAAACAAACACACACATTATCCTAGTCCTACATAGGGAGGGGATTATCACTGTCACTGTCTTTTACCTCCACATCTTGTCCCATTGGAATGTCTTCAGGGCAGTAACACGTGGAGCTGGCATCCTCTGTGATAGTAATGCCTTCTTGTGGAATATCTTCTGAAGGACCTGTCTGAGGCTGTTTTACAATCAATTTTTTTAAAAAATAAGTAGAGTACATTCTAAAAAAAATAGGGGCAAGGTGCAATGGCTCATACCTGTAATCCCAGTGTGTTGGGAAGCTGAGGTGGGAAGATCTCTTGAGGATAGGATTTTAAGACCAGTCTGGGCAACATAGCGAGACCCCATCTCTAAATAAATATAGTTGGGCATGGTGGCATGCATCTGTAGTCCTAGCTACTCAGGAGGCTGGCTTCCAGGAGTTTGAGGCTGCAATGAGTTATGTACGATAGTGCCGCTGCACTCCAGCCTAGGCAACAGAGCAAGATCTTGTCTTTAAATAAATCAATAAAATGACAACTACAGTAAAATAAATACATAAACCAACAATATGGTTGTTTATTATTATTATCAAGTATTATACATAGTTACATATACATACATAATTGTATGTGCTATACAAGTAGGTTTGTTTACACCAGCAACACCAAAAACACATGAGCAATACTTTGTGCTAGGAAGGCTATGATGTCATCAGGCAATAGGAATTTTTCAGTTTCATTATAATCTTATGGGACCACCATCATATATGTGGTACATTGTTGGCCAAAATGTCATTATGCAGCTCACAACAGTATTTCATGTCCATTCAAATATCTTCTTTTGTGAAATGTCTATTTAAATCTTTTGCGTATTTTTAAATTGGGTTGCTTGTATTTTGATTGATTAGGAAAAGTTATTTCTATATTCTGTGTCATATACTTGTGTTGAAATATATATATTTTTTGTCTGTGCCTTTTTATTTGCTCAGGGTCTTTGGACCTTGTTTGGAGGTTCTGGCAGGGGAACACAGCTACTCATTTATTCTTGATGGAAGGAAGGTCCTCCTCTGTGAGAGAAGCTCATGCTCTTCAACCCAAGCTTGCAGCTTCAGGAGGGAGGCACATGGAGCCATAAAGGAAGAAGGGGACACCCGCCTTTCCAGCCAGATCAGCCAAATCAACACTGGCAATCAATGAGGTGACAGATGTTGCAGCTAGATCACCCTCACATCCAATTTGGTTAGGGTCTTTGGAAGAACAGTTTTAGGAGGCAATTCTTCATGGGCCTGTTATGTTTCTTCATTTATTTTAAGCAAGACACTATTGTGAGCTTTTCTCTGGAATATCATTTAAAGGATGTTTGCATAGCAAGCAGCCATAGAAGAAAAACAAGGTGTCTTCCTTCATAGCAAAGCACGGCATGCTGACTGCCAGTATAATAAAGAGCATGTCTCCTTCCGAACTGAAGGGCAGCTATGCTTACTGCACATAGTAAAAGATTTGAGTTCCCTAAGCTCAGGGGTCCTCTTCAATAATGCAACTCACTGCATGTTTGGGCATTCAGCTGGGCCCATCTGCTTCGCTTCTGCAGGATTTGGGGGCAAAAGGAACTGATAAATGCTAATGGTCATGCTGCTTGCTGTGCCATGAGTGATGACTCAGGAGTCTGGGTGACAGTGTTCACGGGACAGAGGTAACTTCCTAGTTTGTAAGTTGGATAAAGTCAAGTATCTCAATACTTCAGTTCTTGACAAGTAGACATGTTGAATATTGATGCAGTATATTTGGTCAATTTTTGATCTTCTACTTTGTGCTTTTTTGTGTTTTTTAAAGGAAAATATTTTAAGGTCACTAGGATTTTCTTCTAAAATTTTATAGTTTTGCTTTTATGTTTAAGTCTGTGATCCTTTCCAATTTAATTTATGTGTGTGTTTTAAAGTACGGGTCAAGTTGCATTTTTAAAAAATATTAATATCTATTTGTTCTAGCACCATTTATTGTAGAACTATTGTTATCCTCACTGAATTATCTGGGCACCTTCATAGTCAAAGGACCATAGATGCATGGGTTTAGTTTCAGACTCTCTTTTAGTTTTAATAGCCTAACTTTTTTTTTTTTTTTGAGACAGCATCTTGCTCTGTTGCCCAGGCTGAAGTGCAGGCATGATCACAGCTTATCGCAACCTTAACCTTTCACCATGTTGTCCAGGCCAGTCTTTTTTTTTTTTTTTTTAATTATACTTTCAGTTCTAGGGTACATGGGCCCAACGTGCAGGTTTGCTACATAGGTATACATGTGCCATTTTGATTTGCTGCACGCATCAAGTCGTCACTTACATTAGGTATTTCTCCTAATGCTATCCCTACCCATCACCCCACTCCCCAACAGGCCTCAGTGTGTGATGTTCCCCTCCCTGTGTTCATGTGTTCTCATTGTTCAACTGCCACTTATGAGTGAGAACATGTGGTATTTGGTTTTCTGTCCTTGTGATATTTTGCTGAGAATGATGGTTTCCAGCTTCATCCATGTCCCTGAAAAGGACATGAACTCATCCTTTTTTATGGCTGCATAGCATTCCATGGTATATATGTGCCTCATTTTCTTTATCCAGTCTATTATTTATGGACATTTGGGTTGGTTCCAAGTCTTTGCTATTGTAAATAGTGCCACAATAAACATACATGTGCATGTGTCTTTATAGTAGCAAGATTTATAATCCTTTGGGTATATACCCAGTAATGGGATTGCTGGATAAAATGGTATTTCTAGTTCTAGATCCTTGAGGAATCACCACACTGTCTTCCACAATGTTTGAACTAATTTATACTCCCACCAACAGTGTAAAAGCGTTCCTATTTCTCCACATCTTCTCCAGCATCTGTTGTTTCCTGACTTTTTAATGACCACCATTCTAACTGGCGTGAGATGGTATCCCATTGTGCTTTGATTTGCGTTTCTGTGATGACCAGTGATGATGAGCTTTTTTTTGTATGTCTGTTGGCTGCATAAATATCTTTTGAGAAGTGTCTGTTCATATCCTTTGGCCACTTTTTGATGGGGTTGTTTTTTTCTTGTAAATTTGTTTAAGTTCTTTGTAGATTCTGGATATTAGCCCTTTGTCAGATGGATAGATTGCAAAATTTTTCTCCCATTCTGTAGGCTGCCTGTACTCTCTGCTGATAGTTTCTCTTGCTGTGCAGAAGCTCTTTAGTTTAATTAGATCCAATTTGTCAATTTTGGCTTTTGTTGCCATTGCTTTTGGTGTTTTAGTCATGAAGTCTTTGCCCATGCCTATGTCCTGAATGGTATTGCCTAGGTTTTGTTCTAGGATTTTTATGGTTTTAGGTCTTACATTTAAGTCTTTAATCCATCTTGAGTTAATTTTTGTGTAAGGTGTAAGGAAGGGATCCAGTTTCAGCTTTCTACATATGGCTAGTGAGTTTTCCCAGCACCATTTATTAAACAGGGAATCCCTTCCCCATTGCTTGTTTTTGTCAGGTTTGTCAAAGATCAGATGGTTGTATGTAAGGCATTATTTCTGAGGCCTCTGTTCTGTTCCGTTGGTCTATATGTCTGTTTTGGTACAAGTTCTATGCTGTTTTAGTTACTGTAGCCCTGTAGTATAGTTTGAAGTCAGGTAGCATGATGCCTCCAGCTTTGTTCTTTTCGCTTAGGATTGTCTTGGCTATGCGGGCTATTTTTTGGTTCCATTTCAAATTTAAAGTAGTTTTTTCCAATTCTATGAAGAAAGTCAATGGTAGCTTACTAGGGATAGCATTGAATCTATAAATTACTTTGGGAAGTATGGCCATTTTCATGATATTGATTCTTCCTGTCCATGAGCATGGAATGTTCTTCCATTTGTTTGTGTCCTCTTTTATTTCGTTGAGCAGTGGTTTGTAGTTCTCCTTGAAGAGGTCCTTCACATCCCTTATAAGTTGTATTCCTAGGTATTTCATTCTCTTTGTAGCTTGTGAATGGGAGTTGACTCATGATTTGGCTCTCTGTTTGTCTGTTATTGGTGTATAGGAATGCTTGTGATTTTTGCATGTTGATTTTGTATCCTGAGAGTTTGCTGAAGTTGCTTATCAGCTTAAGGAGATTTTGGGCTGAGATCATGGGGTTTTCTAAATATACAATCATGTCATCTGCAATCAGAGATAATTTGACTTCCTTTTTTTCCTGATTGAATACCCTTTATTTCTTTCTCTTGCCTGATTGCCCTGGCCAGAACTTCCAATACTATGTTGAATAGGAGTGGCGAGAGAGGGCATCCCTCTCTTGTGCTGGTTATCAAAGGGAATGCTTCCAGTTTTTGCCCATTCAGTATGATATTGGCTGTGGGTTTGTCGTAAATAGCTCTTATTATTTTTGAGATACATTCCATCAATACCTAGTGTTTTGAGAGTTTTTAGCATGAAAGGCTGCTGAATATTGTCAAAGGCCTTTTCTGAATCTATTGAGATAATCATGTGGTTTTTGTCATTGGTTCTGTTTATGTGATGAATTACATTTATTGGTTTGCATACGTTGAACCAGACTTGCATCCCAGGTAAGAAGCCGACTTGAAAGTGTTGGATAAGCTTTTTGATGTGCTGCTGGATTGGGTTTGCCAGTATTTTGTTGAGGATTTTTGCATCGAAGTTCATCAGGGATATTGGCCTAAAATTATCTTTTTTTGTTGTGTCTCTGGCAGGTTTTGGTATCAGGATGATGCTGGGCTCATAAAATGAGTTAGTGAGGAGTCCCTCTTTTTCTATTGATTAGAATAGTTTCAGAAGGAATGGTAATGATTCCTCTTTGTACCTCTGGTAGAATTCGGCTGTGAATCTGTCTGGTCCTGGACTTTTTTTGGTTGGTAGGCTATTAATTATTGCCTCAATTTCAGAACCTGTTATTGGTCTATTCAGAAATTCAACTTCTTCCTGGTTTATTCTTGGGAGTGTGTATGTGTCCAGGAATTTATCCGTTTCTTCTAGATTTTCTAATTTATTTGCGTAGAGGTGTTTATAGTATTCTCTGATGGTAGTTCGTATTTCTGTGGGATCGGTGGTGATATCCCCTTTATCATTTTTATTGTGTCTATTTTATTCTTCTCTCTTTTCTTCTTTATTAGTCTTGGTAGTGGTCTATCTATTTTGCTGATCCTTCAAAAAACCAGCTCCTGGATTCATTGATTTTTTGAAGGGTTTTTTGTGTCTCTATCTCCTTCAGTTCTGCTCTGATCTTAGTTATTTCTTGTCTTCTGCTAGCTGTTGAATTTGTTTGCGCTTGCTTCTCTAGTTCTTTTAATTGTGATGTTAGGGTGTCGATTTTAGATCTTACTGCTTTCTCTTGTGGGCATTTAGTGCTATAAATTTCCCTCTACACACTGCTTTAAATGTGTCCCAGAGATTCTGTTATGTTGTGTCTGTTCTCATTGGTTTCAAAGAACATCTTTATTTCTGCCTTCATTTTGTTATTTACCCAGTAGTCATTCAGGAGCAGGTTGTTCTGTTTCCATGTAGTTGTACGGTTTTGAATGAGTTTCTTAATCCTGAATTCTAATTTGATTGGACTGTGGTCTGAGAGATAGTTTGTTGTGATTTCTGTTCTTTTACATTTGCTGAACAGTGTTTTACTTCCAATTATGTGGTCAGTTTTAGAATACGTGCAATGTGGTGCTGAAAATAATGTATATTCTGTTGATTTGGGGTGGAGAGTTCTGTAGATGTCTATTAGGTCTGCTTGGTCCAGAGCTCAGTTCACATCCTGGATTTCCTTGTTAATTTTCTGTCTTGATGATCGGTCTAATATTGACAGTGGGGTGTTAAAGTCTCCCATTATTATTGTGTGGGAGTCTAAGTCTCTTTGTACGTCTCTAAGAACTTGCTTTATGAATCTGGGTGCTCCTGTATTAGGTGCATATATATTTAGGATAATTAGCTCTTCTTGTTGAATTGATCACTTTACCATTATGTAATGGACTTCTTTTCCATTTTGATCTTTGTTGGTTTAAAGTCTGTTTTATCAGAGATCAGGATTGCAACCCCTGCTTTTCTTTTTTGCTTTCCGTTTGCTTGGTAGATCTTCCTCCAACCCTTTATTTTGAGCCTATGTGTGTCGTTGCACATGAGATGGGTCTCCTGAATACAGCACACTGATGGGTCTTGACTGTATCCAATTTGCCAATCTGTGTCTTTTAATTGAGGCATTTAGCCCAATTACATTTAAGGTTAATATTGTTATGTGTGAATTTGATCCTGTCATTATGATGTTAGCTGGTTATTTTGCCTGTTAATTGATGCAGTTTCTTCATAGCGTCGATGGTCTTTACAATTTGGTGTATATTTGCAGTGGCTGATGTCGGTTGTTCCTTTCCATGTTTAGTGCTTCCTTCAGGAGCTCTTGTAAGGCGGGCCTGGTGGTGACAAAATCTCTCAGCATTTGCTTGTCTGTAAAGGATTTTATTTCTCCTTCACTTATGAAGTTTTGTTTGGCTGGATATGAAATTCTGGTTTGAAAATTCTTTTCTTTAAGAATGTTAAATATTGGTCCCCACTCTCTTCTGGCTTGTAAGTTTCTATCGAGAGATCCTCTGTTAGTCTGATGGGCTTCCCTTTGTAGGTAACCCGACCTTTCTCTCTGACTGCCCTTAACATTTTTTTCCTTCATTTCAACCTTGGTGAATATGTTGATTATGTGTCTTGGGGTTGCTCCTCTCGAGGAGTATCTTTGTGATGTTCTCTGCAGTTCCTGAATTTGAATGTTGGCCTGCCTTGCTAGGTTGGGGATGTTCTCCTGGATAATATCCTGAAGAGTGTTTTCTACCTTGGTTCCATTCTCCCCGTCACTTTCAGGTACACCAATCAAATGTAGGTTTGGTCTTTTCACATAGTCCCATATTTCTTGGAGGCTTTGTTCATTTCTTTTAACTCTTTTTTCTCTAATCTTGTCTTCTCGCTTCATTTCATTAATTTGGTCTTCAATCACTTATATCCTTTCTTCGGCTTCATCAAATCGGCTATTGAAGCTTGGGTATGCTTCATGAAGTTCTTGTACTGTGGTTTTCAGCTCCATCAGGGCACTTAAGCTCTTCTCTACACTGGTTATTCTAATTAGCCATTTGCCTAACCTTTTTTCAAGGTTTTTAGCTTCCTTGCGATGGATTAGAACATGCTCCTTTAGTTTGGAGAAGTTTGTTATTACCGACCTTCTGAAGCCTACTTCTGTCAACTCATCAAACTCATTCTCCATCCAGTTTTGTTTCCTTGCTGGCAAGGGGTTGTGTTCCCTTAGAGGAGAGGAGGCATTCTGGTTTTTGGAATTTTCAGCCTTTCTGCTCTGGTTTCTCCCCATCTTTGTAGTTTTATCTACTTTTTTTCTTTGATGTTGGTGACCTACAGATCGGTTTTTGGTGTGGATGTCCTTTTTGTTGATGTTGATGCTATTCCTTTCTGTTTGTTAGTTTTCCTTCTAACAGAGAGGCCCCTCAGCTGCAGGTCTGTTGGAGTTTGCTGGAGGTCCACTCCAGACCTTGTTTGCCTGGGTATCACCAGTGGAGCATGCAGAACAGTAAATATTGCTGCCTGATCCTTCCTCTGGAAGCTTCATCCCAGAGGGGCACCCACCTAAATGAGGTGTCTGTTGGCCCCTACTGGGAAGTGTCTCCCAGTCAGGCTACATGGGTGTCAGGGACCCACTTGATGAGGGAGTCTGTCTGTTAATGGGGCTTGAACACCATGCTGGGAGAACCACTGCTCTCTTCAGAGCCATCTGGCAGGGACCTTTAAGTCTGCAGAAGCTGTCTGCTGCCTTTTGTTCAGATATGCCCTGTTTCCAGAGGTGGAATCTAGAGAGGCAATAGGCCTTGCTGAGCTGCAGTGGGCTCTGCCCAGTTCTAAATTCCCTGCCACCTTGTTTACACTGTGAGCATAGAACCACCTACTCAAGCCTCAGCAATGGTGGACGCCCCTCCCCCCACCAAGTTCCAGCATCCCAGATGTATCTCAGATTGCTGCACTAGCAGTGAGCAAGGTTCTGTTGGTGTGGGACCTGCCAAGCCAGGCACCGGAGGGAATCTCCTGGTCTGCTGGTTGCGAAGACCATGGGAAAAGTGCAGTATTTGGGCAGGAGTGTACCATTCCTCCAAGTACAGTCACTCATGGCTTCCCTTGGCTAGGAAAGGGAAATATCCCAACCCCTTGTGCTTCCCATGTGAGGCAATGCCCTGACCCAGACCAGTGTTAGACTCCTAAGCTCAAGCGATCTGCCCACCTCAGCCTCCCAAAGTGTTGGGATTACTGGTGTGAGCCACCTGACCTGGCATGGTCTAACTTTTTATGCCTATGTACTGCAACGTTCAGATATGTCTTGGTATTAGGCAGTTTCATTTCTCCAACTCTGTAATTACAAAGTTATTCTGACTTTTATAGATCTTTTGCTTTTTCAGATATACTTCAAAGTCATTTTAGCAATTTCTACAGAAGACTGGTTTTGATTAGAATTACACTGAATCTATGTATAAATTTGCAGAGAACTGAATCTAAACATTTAATCTTGTTATCCATTAGCAAATATTTATTTATTTGATTTTTCTTAGCAACGTTTAGCACTTTTTAGCTATAATTCAGTTATTTTGTTAAATTTATTATTATTTCATGTTTTGGGATGACAATTATAAATAAATGGTATTGTTTTATAAATTTTATTTTATTTTTCATTGTTTATTGCTAGTATAGAGAAATATTGATTGTTGTTATCTTGATTTGGGTCCTACTACATTGCTAATTTTACTTATTAGCCCTAGCATCTCTTTATAGATTCCTTAAAATTTTCTGCATAGATGATCATGTTATCTATGAATGAAGAAAGATTTACTTCTTTGTGATCAATTTGTATGTTCTTATTTCTTTTTCTTGTCTTTTTGCACTGTGTATTTCTTTGTGAGAGAATATTTAATTAGAATCTTAATTTCTAAAATAAATATAGGGCTTTTTGGCTACTTGTCTTCATGAGTCTATTTGTAAATTTGTGCTTTTTAATAGAAAAGTCCTCAACCAATTTGGCTTTTCTATTTTTTTGGGGGGTGGGCTGTTTTGTGATTTGTGTGTTTCAAGGAACTTGTTCACTTCATCTAGGCTATCAAAATTATTGACATGCATTTGAAAATAATGTTTTATTCTTTTAATGACCAGTATCTTTAGCCATTTCTCTTATTTCTGATGTAATCTGACTCATCTTTTTTGTTACTCTTCAATCTAGCTAGCGTTTAAATATATTAATCTTTTCAGAGAACAGCCTTTTGTTTAATTTGCTCTATTTTTCTCAGTTTTAAAAAATTGATTTCTGCTGTTATGATTTTTCAATCATATTAGGTTTAATTTTCATTTTTATAGCTTGTTAATGGGGAATCTTAGACAGTAGATTTTAGAACTTTTTTTCTAAGTAACTGAGTTACATCTGACAAATTTTATTATGTTTTATTTCAATTTTCTTTTAATTCACATTTTATAATTTACATTGTGATTGTTTTGGATACAT
Source organism: Homo sapiens (assembly GCF_000001405.40). NCBI lineage: Eukaryota > Metazoa > Chordata > Mammalia > Primates > Hominidae > Homo > Homo sapiens. The sequence goes on along the minus strand of NC_000007.14, from coordinate 94,793,224 downwards.
GTTTATTTGGATCTATGTTATTTAATTTCCAAATATTTGGGCATATTCTTGTATTTTTCTATTATTGATTTCTAATTTAATTCTGTTGCAGTTAGAGGACATAATCTGTAATTTATAGGAACTACTTTTATAGGTATAGTAAATGCTTTGTCTTAATGAATGATTCATTTATGTTTGAAAAAGCAGGTATTCTGCTGTTGTTACATGGAGTGTTCTGTGTCAGGTCAAATTGGTTTATAATGTTTTGTTACTATATTCTATACCTTATTTTATTTTTAATTGTTCTACCAATTACTGAGAAGGGTATGTCAAAATCTCTATTATTATGCATTTGTTTATTTTACTTTATAGGCCTGTTATTTCTTTGTTTCATGTACTTGGGTTTACTATTTCTGGCACTCTTCATTTTTTTGTGTACACCCAAGGTCCATGTGGTAATATATTTTTTGTTTGAAATACTTTCCTTAACATTTCTTACACTGTACTTCTTCTGGTAACCAATTCTTATAGCTTTTTGTTTGTCTAGAAAAAGTTTTTAATAAATTTTTCTTCATTTTTGAAGATAATTTTGCTAGGTGGATAACTTCAGATTGACTGTATTTTTCTTTCAGTATTTTAAATACGTCACTTCATTTTTTTTCTGACTGACTTTATTTATGACCAGGAGTCTGTATTCATTCTTATTTTATATCCTTGAGAATAGAGAAACAAAGAAGGTAAACCTTACAGCTCACTGCCTGGGGAGAGTTTCCACTTTGCAGCATAGAGATGCTGATGCCAAACAGAGCCCAGTTGTGTTACTAAATTAAGGAGATAAAGTTGAAAGTTTGTGTTGGCTGCCACAGAAGCTATAATTCTCAGGACATAGTGTTAAAGAAAATAAGGCTGCCAAGGAAAAGAGTTCTGTAGAGGTGCGGGTGGGTTTTCTTAAGTCTTTGACTGAATAGTGATCTATGCATGCATGTGAGAAAACTACTAAAGCTGAGGAAGAACCACCATACAGGAGTGGGCACCGCAATCCTTAGAGCGCACATAGAGGTGGGAATTCTTTATGTTCTAATCACTGGAAGTAAAATGTCTTTCTAATAAATGGGCAGCAAATACGATTCTCAGAAGTGCATCGCTTCTGCACAAGGGCCAAATTAGCCTTCAACTAAAGGCTGTTCTGTATCCTTATTAATGAAGCATTAAAATTAAATCTTGAGAAGTTCAAACTAATTCCAAGTAATCTACCTGCCCCCAAATCTTTAAAGAAATATCTTAAAAATATAAAACATTGTAAAACATACAATTTCTGGCATTCAATAAGAATTATCAGACATGTAAAGAAGTAGGAAAAAAATAATTCATAATCAAGGGGAAAATCAATTAATAGCAAGTGATCAAGAAATGACAAAGATGATAAAATTAACAGAAAAAGATATTATACAGCCATTATAAATTCATTACATATATTACAAAAGTAATCTCTCATGCAAATAATAAGGGATTAATGAAATATTTTTTACAAAGGCCAGAGTGAACTTCTAGAAATGAAAATATGTGAGATGAAATATAAAGTGATGACAGTATTAGACAGATAATTGAGGCAGAAAATTAACAAAGGACCTGAACTCAACATTGGGCCAAATGGATCTGATAGACCTCTATAGAACCCTCCACCCAAAAACAACAGAACATACATTCTTTTCATCACCACATGGCACATATTCTAAAATTGACCACATAATTGGACATAAAACAATTCTCAGCCAATGCAAAAGAACAGAAATTTTACCAAACAAACTCTTGGGCCACAGTGCAATAAAAATAGAAATCAAGACTAAGAAATTTACTCAAAACCATACAATTATATGGAAATTAAACAACATGCTCCTGAGTGACTTTTGGGTAAATAATGAAATTAAGTGACAATAAAAATAGAAGTCAAGACAAAGAAAGTCACTCAAAACCATACAATTACATGGAAATTAAACAACGTGCTCCTGAATGACTTTTGGGTAAATAATAAAATTAAGGCAGAAATCAAAAAGTTTTTTGAAACTAATGGGAACAAAGATACACAATACCAGAATCTTTAGGACACAGCTAAGGCAGTGTTAAGAGGGAAATTCACAGCACAAAGTATCCACATCAAAAAGTTAGATCTCAGTTAACAACATAACGTCACAACTGAAAGAATTCAAGTAGCAAGAACAAATCAATCCCAAAACTAGCAGAAGACAATAAATAACCAAAATCAGAGCTGAACTGAATTGAGACCCCCAAAAAACCATTCAAAAGAGGTCCAGGAATTTGGTTTTTGAAAACATTAATAAGATAGATGGACCACTAGCTAGACTAATAAAGAAGAAAAGAGAGAAGATCCAAACAACCACAATTAGACATGACAAAGGGAATGTTACCACTGACCCCACAGAAATAAAAATAACCATCAGAAGCTACTATGATCACCTCTATGCAAACAAACTAGAAAACCTGGAAGAGATGGATAAATTCCTGAACACATACACCCTCCCAAGACTGAACCAGGAATAAATTGATTCAATGAACAGACCAATAACAGGCTCTGAAATTGAACCATTAATAAATAGCCTACCCACCAAAAAAAGTCCAAGACCTGATGGATTCACAGCCAAATTCTACCAGATGTACAGAGAAGAGCTGGTACCATTCCTACAGAAACTATTCAAAAAACAGAGGAGGGGGGGCACCTCCCCAACTCATTATATGAGGCCAGCATCATTCTGATACCAAAACCTGGCAGATACACAACAACAACAAAAAATTCAGGCCAATATCCTTGATGAACATCTATGCAAAAATCCTCAACAAAATACTTGCAAACAGAATCCAGCAGCACATTAAAAAGCTAAAAGCTAATCCACCATGATGAAGTAGGCTTCATCCCTGGAATGAAAGTTTGGTTCAACTTATGCAAATCAATAAATGTGATTCATTACATAAACAGAACTAAAGACAAAAACCACATGATTATCTCAATAGATGCAGAAAAGGCTTTCAATAAAATTCAACACTGTTTCATGTTTAAAACTCTCAATAAACTAGGTATTGAAGGAATATACCTCAAAATAATAAGAGCCATCTATGACAAACCTACAGCCAACATACTGAATGGCCAAAACTTGAAAACTGGCACAAGAAAAGGATGCCATCTCTTACCACTCCCATTCAAAATAGCATTGGAAATCATAGCCAGAGAAATCAAACAAGAGAAAGAAATAAAAGGCATCCAAATAGGAGGAGAGGAAGTCAAACTATCTCTGTTTGCAGATGACAAAATTCTATACCTAGAAAACCCCATAGTCTCATCCCAAAAGCTCCTTAAGCTGATAAACAACTTTAGCAAAGTTTCAGGATTCAAAATCAATATACAAAAGTCACTAGCATTCCTATACACCAACAGCAGCCAAGCTGGGAGCCAAGTCAGAAAGGCAATCCCATTCACAATTGCCACAAAAAGAATAAAATACCTAGGAATACACTTAATCAGGGAGGTGAAAGATATCTACAATGAGAATTACAAAATACTGCTCAAAAAAAAATCAGAAAAGACACAAACAAATTGAAACAATTTTATGCTTATGTATAGGAAGAAATAATATCATTAAAATGACCATACTGCCCAAGTATTTTACAGATTCAATGCTATTCCTATCAAAGTACCAAAGACATTCTCTGCAGAACTAGAAACCAAAAACAGCCCAAATAAACAAGGCAATTCTAAGCAAAAAGAACAAAGCTGGAGCCATCATGTTACTGTACTTCAAACTATACCACAGCGCTAAAGTAACCAAAACAACATGGTATTGGTACAAAAACAGGCACATAGACCAATGGAACCCAAAGTATAAAAACTCTGGAAGACAACCTAGGCAATACCATGTTAGACATAGGAACAGGCAAAGATTTCATGACAAAGACATCAATAGCAATCACAATGAAAGCAAAAATTGACAAGTGAAATCTAATTAAATTAAAGAGCTTCTGAACAGCAAAAGAAACTATCAACAGAGTAAACAGACAACCTACAGAATGGGAGAAAATTTTTGCAAACTGTACGTCTGACAAAGGTCTAACATCCAGCATCTATAAGGAACTTAAACAAATTTACAAGAGAAAAACAAACAACCCCATTAAAAAGTGAATGAAGGACATGAACAGATACTTTTCAAAAGAAGGTATCCATGCAGCCAACAAATATATGAAAAAAAGCTCAATATCACTGATAATTAGATAAACACCAATCAAAACCACAATGAGATGCCATTTCACACCAGTCAGAATGGCTACTACTAAAAATTAAAAAAATAACAGATGCTGGTGAGGTTGCAGAGAAAAGGGAACACTTATACACTGTTGGTAGGAATATAAATTAGTTCAACCATTGTGGAAGACAGTGTGGCAATTCCTCAAAGAACCAAGACAGAACTACCATTTGACCCAGCAATTCCATTATTGGGTATGGACTCAGAGGAATACAAATCATTCTATTATAAAGACACATGTATGTGTATGTTCACTGCAGCACTATTCACCATAGCAAAGACATGGAATCAGCCTAAATGCCCATCAATGACAGATCGGATAAAGAAAATGTGGTACACATACACCATGGAATACTATGTAGCCGTGAAAAAGAACAAGATCATGTCTTGTGGGAACATGGATGTCACTGGAGGCCATTATCTTTAGCAAACTAACACAGGAACAGAAAACTAGATACCTGGTGTTCTTACTTATAAGTGGGAGCTAAATGATAAGAACCTATGAACTCAAAGAAGGAAATAATAGGCACAATGGTGTACTTGACGGTAGAGAGTGAGAGGAGGGAGAGGAGCAGAAAAGATAACTATTGCAAACTGGGCTTTATCCCTGGATTACTAGATAATCAGTGCAACAAACCCCTGTGACATGAGTTTACCTATGTAACAAACCTTCTCATGCACCCCCGAACCTAAAATAAAAGTTAATAAAAAAGAGAAACAATATGAAATGATTAGGATTAAAGTGCAACAGAAGGGACTCGTGAATTTGAAGATACAGCAGTAAAAATATTCAAAATGAAACTGATAAAAAGATCAAAAAACAAATGAAGCTACATCAGTGATCTGTAGTACAGCATCATGCAGCCTAGCGGTGTACAATTAGAGAGGGTTTGACCAAAAACAAAAACAAAGTGAAGAAATAACTTAAACATTTTCCAAATATCAGGAAAACTATAAACCTATAGATCCAAAGAAAAACCTCCACAAAATACTCAACAAACTTCAAGCAGAAGAAACAAAGAAAACCTTAGGTAAATTGCCCATTGCAAGCAAAGTATAAAAATATCAGAATATTTCTCTTCAGGAGTACAAGGCAGATGATAATGGAGACTTCTTTTTACAGTAAGGAAAGAAAAAAGAAAAACCAGTCTAATATTATATACCCAGAAAAAAATATCTAGTTTAAATATCTAGTTAAAATAAAGACTGTTCTGGCATGTAAAGGTTGAGAGAATTAATCACCAAGCAACCAGCACTATATAAAATGATAAATGAAGTCCAAAAAATGTTGGTATTAGATAGAAATTGGAATTTCTATAAAAAATGAACATCTGAATGGTAAATATCTAGGCAAATATAATCAATCTTTTTTAATGTCAGAATACTTATCACATTCTTTGTTACTGAATGCTGGAATACATCTGTTCTAATGCTCAGCTAGTATTTTTTTGCTAAGTAATCATTTCTTTTATTATAACGTTTCAAGACTTCCAGGAATGTTCTCTTCTACTTTTTCTTAAATTGTTTTAAAATTACAGAAATATCAATAGATGGAATCACTGTTGTCTGATTTTTATGCCTAGCATCATCTTACTTTATATGTTAATTCTTTTCCTTTTCAGTTTATAAAATTTATGTGCAATTTTCAATTTTCTTCTGTTACTTCAGGAAAGTTTTCTGTAATTTTTTTAAAATTATACTTTAAGTTCTGGGATACATGTGCAGAACATGCAGGTTTGTTACATAGGTATACATGTGCCATGGTGGTTTGCTGCACCCATTAACCTGTCATCTACATTAGGTATTTCTCCTAATGCTATCCCTCTCTTAGACCCCAACCCTCAATAGGCCCCGGTGTGTGATGTTCCCCTCCCTGTGTCCATGTGTTCTCATTGTTCAACTCCCACCTATGAGTGAGAACATGCGGTGTTTGGTTTTCTGTTCCTGTATTAGTTTGCTGAGAATGATGGTTTCCAGCTTCATCCATGTCCCTGCAAAGGACATGAACTCATCCTTTTTTATGGCTGCATGGTATTCCATGGAGTATGTATGCCACATTTTCTTTATCCAGTCTAACATTGTTGGGCATTTGGGTTGGTTCCCAGTCTTTGCTATTGTGAACAGTGGTGCAATAAACATATGTGTGCATGTATCTTTATAGTAGAATGATTTATAATCCTTTGGGTATATACCCAGTAATGGGATTGCTGGGTCAAATGATATTTCTAGATCTTTGAGGGATCACCACACTATCTTCCACAATGGTTGAACTAATTTACACTTCCACCAACAGTGTAAAAGCATTCTTATTTCTCCACATCCTCTCCAGCATCTGTTTTTTCCTAACTTTTTAATAATCACCATTCTAAATGGCATGAGATGGTATCTCATTGTGGTTTTGATTTGCATTTCTCTAATGACCAGTGTTGATGAGCATTTTTTCATGTTTTTTGGCTGCACAAATGTCTTCTTTTGAGAGGCGTCTGTTCATATCCTTTTCCCACTTATTGATGGGGTTGGTTTTTGTTTTTGTTTTTTTGTTTTGAGAAGGAGTCTCCCTCTGTAGCCCAGGATGGAGTGCAGTGGTGCCATCTCGGCTCACGGCAACCTCCCCATCCTGGGTCCCAGTTCAAGCAATTGTCCTGCCTCAGCCTCCCGAGTAGCTGGGATTACAGGAACGCGCCACCATGCCCAGCTAATTTTTGTATTTTCAGTAGAGATGGGGTTTCACCATGTTGGCCAGGCTGGTCTTGAACTCCTGACCTCATGATCTGCCCACCTTGGACTCCCAAATTGTTGGGATTACAGGTGTGAGCCACTGAGCCTGGCTGTTCATTTTTTTCTTGTAAATTTGTTTAAGTTATTTGTAGATTCTGGATATTAGCCCTTTCTCACATGGATAGATTGCAAAAGTTTTCTCCCATTCTCTATGTTTCCTGTTCACTCTGATGATAGTTTCTTTTACTGTGCAGAAACTCTTTAGTTTAATTAGATCCCATTTGTCAATTTTGGCTTTTGTTGCCATTGCTTTTGGTGTGTTAGTCATAAAGTCTTTGCCCATGCCTATGCCCTGAATGGTATTGCCTAGGTTTTGTTCTAGGATTTTTATGGTTTTAGGTCTTAAATTTAAGTTTTTAATTCATCTTGAGTTAATTTGTGTATAAGGTGTAAGGAAGGGGTCCAGTTACATTTTTCTGCATATGGCAAGCCAGTTTTCCTAACACCATTTATTAAATAGGGAATCCTTTCCCCATTGCTTGTTTTTGTCAGGTTTGTCAAAGGATGGTTGTAGATATGTGGTGTTATTGCTGAGGCCTCTGTTCTGTTCCATTGGTCTATATATCTGTTTTGGTACCAGTACCATGCTGTTTTGATTACTGCAGCCTTGCAGTATAGTTTGAAGTCAGGTAGCATGATTCCTCCAGTTTTGTTCTTTTTGCTTAGGATTGTCTTGGTTATAGGGCCTCTTTTTTGGTTCCATATGAAATTTAAAGTAGTTTTTTCTAATTCTGTGAAGAAAGTCAGTGGTAACTTGATGGGGATAGCATTGAATCTATAAATTACTTTGGGCAGTATGGCCATTTTCATGATATTGGTTCTTCATATTCATGAGGATGGAATGTTTTTCCATTTGTTTGTGTTCTCTCTCATTTCCTTGAGCAGTGGTTTGTAGTTCTCCTTGAAGAGGTTCTTCACATCCCTTGTAAGTTGGATTACTAGGTATTTTATTCTCTTTGTAGCAGTTGTGAATGGGAGTTCACTCATAATTTGGCTCTCTGTCTATTGTTGGTGTATAGGAATTCTTGTGATTTTTGCACATTGATTTTGTATCCTGAGACTTTGCTGAAGTTGCTTATCAGCTTAAGGAGATTTTGGGCTGAGATGATGGGGTTTTCTAAATATACAATCATGTCATCTGCAAACAGAGACAGTTTGACTTCCTCTCTTCCTATTTGAATACCCTTTATTTCTTTCTCTTGCCTGATTGCCCGGGCCAGAACTTCCAATACTATGTTGAATAGGAGTGGTAAGACAGGGCATCCTTGCATTGTGCCAGTTTTCAAAGGGAATGCTTCCAGTTTTTGCCCATTCAGTATGATATTGGCTGTGAGCTTGTCATAAATAGCTCTTATTATTTTGAGATATGTTCCATCAATACCTAGTTTATTGAGAGTTTTTAGCATAAAGGGGTGTCAAATTTTATTGAAGGCCTTTTCTGCATCTATTGAGATAATCATGTGGTTTTTGTCATTGGTTCTGTTTATGTGATGGATTACATTTATTGATTTGCATATGTTGAACCACCCTTGCATCCCAGGGATGAAGCCAACTTTCTCGTGGTGGATAAGCTTTCTGATGTGCTACTGGATTCATTTTGCGAGTATTTTATTGAGGATTTTCACATCGAAGTTCATCAGGGATATTGGCCTGAAATTTTCTTTTTTGTTATGTCTCTGCCAGGTTTTGGTATCAGGATGATGCTGGCCTCACAAAATTAGTTAGGGAGGAGTCCCTCTTTTTCTATTGTTTGGAATAGTTTCAGAAGGAATGGTACCAGTTCCTCTTTGTACCTCTGGTAGAATTCGGCTGTGAATCTGTCTGTTCCTGGGCTTTTTTTTGGTTGGTAGGCTATTAAGTACTGCCTCAATTTCAGAACTTGTTATTGGTCTATTTAGGGATTTGACTTCTTCCTGGTTTATTCTTGGGAGGGTGTATGTGTCCAGGAATTTATCCATTTCTTCTGGATTTTCTAGTTTATTTGCATAGAGGTGTTTATAGTATTCTCTAATGGTCGTTTGTATTTCTGTGGGATCAGTGGTGATATTCCTTTTATCATTTTTTGTTATGTCTATTTGATTCTTCTGTCTTTTTTTCTTTATTAGTCTGGCAAGTAGTCTATCTATTTTGTTAATCCTTTAAAAAAAACCAGCTCCTGGATTCATTGATTTTTTTTGAAGGGTTCTTTGTGTCTGTATCTACAACCATGAAGCTTTATCCTCTAAGTATCCAAATGTTGAACCAATCCGTGCCATCTCCTTTTTCCACAAAATACAAGATATTATACACTCTCTGTTATAGGGACCACTAGGAAGGAACATGTAGCTGAAAACATATAGTTAAAAGGATTTTGGATTCAAATTCATCAGAGTACTAATTTTCCTAAGCAGGTTTTGATAAAGGCCATTGGGACACTTGTCACACTGTTCAAATGCCGAATGGTAAGACTTCTGATGAGACCAAACAGGTCACATTAAATCAATAGAATATCTTAGAAATAAAGCCAATATGACTAAATCCAAAACATATCACATGAAGTACCTCATGTACAATACAAACCTAGTTTAATAAATAAAAGAAGCATAGGTGACTGGACTCTGGGAGAACATCCAGTTCCTGATGGCCTCTTCACAGTCTTCTCTGAGACTCCACAGCAACTTCCACCCGGGCAAGTCTAATGGTGCAGCCATGAAGTTTGTAGCCATCTGGTCTTACTAATGTCACGGTGCTAGGCTGCACCCCAACAGCAGCTGTCACATGACAGATGAGTTCATGCTCTTGGGGGTCATATTTGTCACCAATGGGTGATAGCTTCTCCAGGCCATGCTTGGCAAACACATTTTTCAGCTTTGCTTCTAAAAGTGACAACCCTCGGAAGACCTTCTCCAGAGTGAGCTTCTGGTTCCCAGGCTCTGATTCTTCAGAAATTTACTGTGTAGTCGTCTCCAAAATGTCAGCCACCTATCTTGGCATCTTCCACACATCTCTCGGTTTGCCTCCTTATGTTTTCACAATCAGCTACAGCTCTGTGCTATCTCATGGTTAAATCCTGGACTTCCTTCTCCAGTTTAACAGCTTTACCCTTAAGGCTTGTTGGGCAAGAGAGGGCCCAAGCTCATCAGGAGCGTCCTCAGAACAGCAGTCCACACCAGCAGTTATCAGGGTGGCCGTGCAGAATGGAAGCGGCCATCCCTTGCTCTCCTACAAGGCACTCGAGGCCAGTAGGTGCTGCACCTGGTGCCTGCCCACCCACAGCGACCACACGGCCATGTTCCTGACTTGGGTTGATGGAGGCAGTGCATGCGCACTTGCCCTGTAATTTTGTCTTTACAATTTTCTGTTACTTTAAAAAACACTGCAACAATAATTTTGTGTATGTGGAAAGTCTGTTGTCTAAGTTTTATATTTAGCATCTTCTCACTCTTGTCTCTAGTCTCATTTTATTCTGTAATTTTTTTCCAATCTCTATAAAATTAATGTTTATAATAAATATTATTTAAGGGTTAAATAAATTTAAGTTATATGCTCTCCTTTACTTTGTTCTCCTTGTATCATTCTTTATGAAACTTGGAGCCTCAAATATACATGTGGAAAGCCTCTGTAGATTCATGTTAGGATTGAAATTTTCTTGGTATATAAACTTTCAACAGAAAATGGGAAAGCGACCAATTAAGTTTGCATAAACTGTCTTTCAGATCACATATCTTTCTTTCCTTTTATAAGTGATATCTCATTAGTTAATTCAATAAATTTTTATTGAGACCATTGTATTTTACACATTGATAATGCAGATATGAAAAAAATCAGACAAGATCTCTCCCCTTGTGGCTATTAGAATTTATTGGTATGGTTATGACCATGCTTATGTCTTTTGGAGTAATATGAACATATGATAATATACATTCAATTCTATTTTTCTTGTTCGAAGTTAAACAATTAAAGTCCCACTTCTATATTTCTAATTAAAGTCCCACTTCTATATTTCCTTTCACCTCTGCACAATGGATCTCTCCCTTCTTCTAAGATATTATATTGTTATTGTAGCAATGTGCAGGCCTTATTTTGTACTTTCAATTTAATTAATCAAATTTTCATTTTGCATTTTATAGTCATTTCTGAACATGGTTGTTTTCCATACTAGAATATTTTCTTTAGATCTCTCAAAGATAAACAAACTGGACATTAGTTCAAGTGCTAAAAACAGATTTTATTCAGTAACTACTGACAGTAAGGGAACAACCTAAGCTCCATTCCAATTTGTGCAGAGGTGATGGATGGGGCATTTTAAAAGGAGAATAAGGGAGTAGGAAGGAAAAGTGAGCAGGGCTCAAGTAGTGTCAGGGAAGTAAAAAATTACCAGAAGTAAATAAGAAGGTTGGTCAGTGTAAATGTGATTAGGCCAGCTGTGTATGCTAGTTGGCAATTATTGAAGTTGGAATTCTATCTTCCCACAGAGACTGAGATACAGAGGTTCTATCTTTCCTGCTTATTATATTTTAGAGGAATGGCTTTTAGGTCCTTGAGAAAGATACCCTGGGGCATAGGAGATACATACATATATATCTCAAAGTTACAGAGGAAGGATTTACAATTATAAGCTCTTTTTAGTAAATTCTCTAAGAAAGGGGAGTCAGGGACCTATTGTCAAATGTTGGCTAGAACAAACAATAAATTCTTTCGACAGGCTTGAGCTTTTTCAGACAGGAACTCAAGGAGGGGTTGAGTCTTTCCAGGGATGTAGCCTTAGGCAGCCAGAAGCCATGTTAGGGTTGATCAGGTCTCTTAGTGCAGGGGTTTGTGTGGAGTCATTATGTGCCAAGAGTTCTTTTGTAGTTCTCAGATCCTATCTTTGTATTTCTTATACAGTAAGAACATAGTAGGTTCTCGGTGAATGTTGATCCAATTAGTATTTATTGCTTAAATACTAACAGTCCTTTAATAATGAGATCCTAATTATTGTTTTCTGCTTGTGTTGATTGGCCTGTTCTATTCATCGCTGCATATTCAAGATCCTGTGCCAGAGCCACCTGCACAGTTGTGCAGTTTATATACTGCACAAGTGTGTCTGAATGAAGAAGTGAGAGGGAGCTTAAATTCCAGTTGTGCTTTATTTGCTGTAAACCTCAACACCAGTGTGTCCTCTAAATTGTACGAAGACATTATGTGGGCTAGTTTCTATCCTGCCTATTACAATACCTGTTATAGGATTCTAAAATATATGGGATCTAAAAAAATACTGGTTGGACATGTTCTAACTTTTTGCTCTGGAAAGTTAAAATAAAAAGAGTTTTAGTTCTAGATCCCTGAGGGATCGCCGCCACACTGATTTCCACAATGGTTGAACCAGTTTACAGTCTACTGGGTATATACCCAAAGGATTATAAATCATGCTGCTATAAAGACACATGCACACATATGTTTATAGCGGCACTATTCACAATAGCAAAGACTTGCAACCAACCTAAATGTCCAACAATGATAGTCTGGATTAAGAAAATGTGGCACATATACACCATGGAATACTATGCAGCCATAAAATATGATGAGTTCATGTCCTTTGTAGGGACATGGATGAAACTGGAAACCATCATTCTCAGCAAACTATTGCAAGGACAAAAAACCAAACACCGCATGTTCTCACTCATAGGTGGGAATTGAACAATGAGAACACATGGACACAGGAAGGGGAACATCACACACCGGGGACTGTTGTGGGGTGGGTGGAGGGGGGAGGGATACCATTAGGAGATATACGTAATGCTAAATGACGAGTTAATGGGTGCAGCACACCAGCATGGCACATGTATACATATGTAACAAACCTGCACGTTGTGCACATGTACCCTAAAACTTAAAGTATAATAATAATAAAATTTTCTAAAAAAAGGAAAAAGAGTTTTAACCCCAAATTTTCAATAATTACCTTGATTCTTGCTTTGCCTTTTTAATAAGAGAAGTTTGGTTTGTTAAGGTCTAGGTGTTTGAACACTGGAAAGCACAAGTTAGTCTATTATAATGATCTGTTTGCTTCAGATTCTACCGAAGGTCTTCAAGATCATGGATTTGTAGCCAGGGGCCTCTCAAATATAACCACTACCTTGGTAACCAGTGTCACAACCAAGAGAAACACAGATTCCTCCAGGGAGTTGACTGTCTTTTTGTTGATTTTGTTTTCAGCTTGGGGTAGATTTAGCTGTTTTTATTATCTTTGCTGTACATATTTATGCAGAGATATTTTCAAGTAAAGTCAGGATTTGTTCTTGAGTAATACCAATTTTCTTTTTATAAGGTCATGGGTTTTGGGTTTTTAGACTTTTGAAAGGCTGTACCTGTTTTTCAACTCAATAGTTTGAAATTCTTTTATTTCTTCATGTGCTGACTTAAACATTCCCATTAATCTATCCCAAATTTTTCTCTACCAAAAAAGCCCCATAAAAATTAAACATCTATTTTGATATTTTATATTGTTACAACTCTGCACTCTATATTCCATAAGAGATTATTTAAAAGCAACAATGACAATGGAAAATCTGCTTGGATTAAGAAAATTAATTTTAAAGTTTTTTCATGGTAGCACAAGTATTTAATACAGCAATATATTCCTCCCTTTGGAAAAAAAATACCCTGGAAAAGCTAGAACAGCTGGGACATATATTACTATGCTGTACTCACCTCAATTTTACTAATTTCTAATTTCAGGCTTTGAAATTGTATATTAGTATAATTGACATAACTTTCTTTCAGTTTTTGTCTCAAACCAAAATAGATTCAAATGTCTTCCATTAAGCATTAGAGAGATAAATCGCTGCCCACTTGTAAGAAGCAAAAATTTATATTTGTGTGTTTCAAGACTCAGTAGAACACAGTCTTCAGTTCCCATGGAAACTATCTCTAGCTAAATGGGAGGAGGTCGCAGAACAGAACTGAAATGCCTACACCAATAGAAAGAGCTGTGTTTTAATTCTTCTGAAAGTTATTTACTTTTTTTTTTTTTTTGGTCCTAGCTATGGTGCCAAATTATTTGGTCAGACCACATTTACTTGGACATTAATGATCTTGAAGATAATACTTAAGTGGGGACAATTTTTTTTTGGTAGGGAAAAGAAAAATTGTAATGTTGGAAAAACAAAAGCTGATAGAATTCACACTGAAGAATAAGGTTTTTAGTTTTCAAAGCTGGACGTTTGAGCTATGTAGATTTTACTATTGATTTTATCAGCCATACTCAAAAGAGAATGTCCTGATGTCCTGATGATTCATGTTAGTTTTTATTTATGTGTTCTCAGATAAATGTGGGACAATCTATGAAATGTTTATTTTTAAAAGTTATTATATAATCCATAGCACTGACATAGTTACATTTTTAGTCAACACATCACAAACACTGCAGATTGTCCAAGATTAAGAGATACTTACAATCTTGTCTCAACTGGTACAGTTACATGGAAGCTTTCCTTGGCTATGTTAGCTCTTTTGAGTAAGTGTAAAAACCAGGTACAACTACAACTATTTTCTTTTCTTAACCCTAGAAGAAATACCTATTTAAATTTTAGATGTTTATGTTTTCATAAATGCAAGAATTTTATTTGAAATTTATTTTCATGTTTGAAAAAACTTAGAGGAGCCAATGAATTATGGAATGGAAGAGAACTGAGATATTCTCTAGATGTCAGCTCAGTCCTCTAATTTTCATTTGAGAAAAACAGTCCCAGGTGATTTGCTAATTTCCTCATGTAAAACCTGTAGCATGAACTCCACTGGAACCTGGGGTTCTTAGGCCCTAATCCAGTATGGTTGTCCTTTCCACCTGACTTATTTAAAATATTCGTATTTCTCACATTTATATCTGAAGACTGTGCAAATGGTGCTATTTTAATGTCTTTTAAATTGATTGAAAAACCCAAAGGCTTACTTCGTGTATTAGCCTTTTGGTCAGATGTATAATTCGCCTCAGTAATAAAGATAAGCAGTTCAGTAAAAGAAAGATAAACTTCCAAGTTTTCTAAATATGAGTGTGTTGGAAAACCTCAATCTGGGTGGCACCACTATTTTAGACAGAAAATATGTGGGAAACAATCAGGAGTTGACTATATGGTGTTTGTCATGAGACTTAAATATGAACGGATGTGGAAACACACATTTACTTCTTTGCAGATGGAACCTATCTCTATCTCAGGTGGTAGGCTAGTTACGGTTTTTTCATTTTTCATGTGAATGTTCTTTATTGGCATGAATAATGAAGAATTTACTGTATATACATATAACCTGTTCCTGTGGAAGTGAAACCTTGAAAATACTGCTTTCCACCCTGAAACACAAAACAAGGTTTTAATAAACCCTGATATGAAATAATGTAAAGTCAAGATGTGTCTGGAGTTGGTTCCTTCCAGTGGGTTCTTGGTCTCGCTGACTTCAAGACTGAAGCCGCAGACCTCCATGGTGAGTGTTACAGCTCTTAAAGGTGGTGTGGACCCTAAGAGTGAGGAGCAGCAAAATTTATTGAAAAGAGTGAAAGAACAAAGCTTTCACAGCATGGAAGGGGACCCGAGCGGGTTGCCGCTGCTGGCCACCTTTATTTCCTTATTTGTCCCTGCCCACGTCCTGCTGATTGGTCCATTTTATAGAGTGCTGATTGGCCCATTTTACAGAGTGCTGATTGGTCCATTTTACAGAGTGCTGATTGGTGCATTTACAATCCTTTAGCTAGACACAGAGTGCTGATTGGTGTGTTTTTACAGAGTGCTGATTGGTGCATTTACAATCCTTTAGCTAGACACAGAGTGCTGATCTGTGCATTTTTACGGAGTGCTGATTAGTGCATTTACAATCCTTTAGCTAGACACAGAGTGCTGATTTGTGCGTTTTTACGGAGTGCTGATTGGTGCATTTACAATCCTTTAGCTAGACACAGCAATGACTGATGCATTTACAATCCTCTAGCTAGACAGAAAAGTATATATATTTATACGTGTATAGAGAGATCTCTCTATATATAGAAAGGGTGAGACAGAGAGATATTAAGAGAGAGAAATAGAAAAGGAGAGTGAGAAGTTGATTGATAGTCAGCCAAGAAATAGAAGACTTGCTGAAAAAAGTTTACTCGGTAAGAGATAAAACTGATTAATGTCCTACAGGGCAATAAAACTATAACCTTTTGGGTTGTCTTTTCTGAGAGAAATAATTTGCACCTCTACTGGACAAAACAATCTATACCATTGACATGTAATTCATAGAACCTGGGCCTTTATCAAAGGTAACTAGTAAATCGAACAAAGGTACATCCCCTTGAGAATTAGATAATCCTTGGGTGGTCCTATTACACAGTGTTCTGACACTGAAAGGCAATACGGTGATTCCTTTGTCCTATTTCAAATTTGGCATAATTTTTTTAGCACAACTACTTTCTTTCCCAAATACCTAAAGTCTGCTTTCTGTAGTTCTAACATTATCATGCTCTAGTGAAAGCCCTCCAGTTTGAGCTAAATTTCCCCCCTTTAAATCACAGAATATGCATTCCTGCCTAAAGGAAACAACTTTCTTCCCAGAGTTTTTCCAGGGTTGTGTAGAATTTTTATGTCAGGAAAGGGCTTTTGATCTTATTAAATATTCCAAAAGCAGGGAAACAGGAATTGACTGTATGTTAATATAAATATGACTAGCAGGCCTCCAAATATATTCCTATGCTATATGGAGAAATTCTGAAAAAAGTGAAGAACTTTATTACAAATATTATTTCTAACATATAAAAATATTTTTACCATATGATGTGCTTTGAGTGTTTTATTTTGCTGTGTTTGATTTACTTTCTTTTTGCCCTGGTTGCCATCATTTACTCATTGTTGGAATAATTTTTTCAATTCTGTACTGGGAGTTCTTCATTTCAGGGTCACTTTTAGCCCTCAAGATCCATAATTGTGTTCACATATTGCACTGTATTTTGTTTATCTCACAAGGCACATTTTCCTTTTCAGAGTAAAAGTAATATATATGAGACCTGCATTTTGAATGTAAGATTTATTTGAACCTGTAAAGGGAAGAACTAATGTCCTTCACTCAGTAAAGTTGAAAACGCAACTCCAGAAGGTATTGTTTCTGAAAAGAATTTATATTAAAAACATTGCAATAAGAGGTTTCAGAATAGCATATTAAGCATATGAACTTATGTGGACATTTTAGTCTGGGGCAGTGAAAGTAAATAATTTTAACTCATTTTATGAAAAGAATGCAGTTACCATTGCAAAACAAGGAAAGAAAAATAAGAAGTTAAGCTAGAAATAAAAATTTGAAATGTTCACAACAAAAAGAAATGATAAATGTGTTTGAGATGATGGGTGTCCTAAATATACTGATTTTATCGTTACACGTTATATGCAAGCATCAAAATATCACATGTAACACATAAATATGCATAATTATAAATCAATAAAAATAATAGACAAAGAATTTAATACAATTGACTTTAGACTTCTAATAATTTATACATATGAACCCAAATCACCTAAACATTTTATACTTTAACATGTACTTCTAAAAAACCCTAACTTTTTAAAATATAGTTTTGGATTTACAGAAAAATTAAGGCGATAGTATAGAGTTCCCCTATACCACCCACCCGGTTTCCTGTATTGACATCCTACTAATGTATGATACATTTGTCACAATTAATGAACTAATATTGATACATTATTATTAGCTAATGTCCACATGTAATTCAGATTTTTTCTTTTCTTTTCTTCTTTTTTTGTTCTTCTGAGATGGAGTTTTGCTCTTGTCACCCAGGCTAGAGTACATTGGCATGATCTTGGCTCACTGCAACCTCTGCCTCATGGGTTCAAGAGATTCTCCAGCCTCAGCCTCCCTAGTAGCTGGGATTACAGGTGCCCACCACTACACCCAGCTAATTTTTGTAGTTTTAGTAGAGACAGGGTTTCGCCATGTTGGCCAGGTTAGTCTCAAATTCCTGACCTCAGGCGATCCGCCCACCTTGGCCTTCCAAAGTGCTGGGATTATAGGCGTGAGCAACCGTGCTTGGCCTTTTTTTCTTTTAAGTGTAAATATCTCTGTTTTATTTGGCTATGGAAAGTACATGGGATTCTTGAACTTCATTATTGTTGAACTCCTAACCATATCCATCCTCAAGAATCATCCCTGTATTTGTCTGTTTTCACACTGCTGATAAAGACATACCTGAAACAGGGTAATTTATAAAGAAAAAGAGGTTTAATGGACTCACACTTCTGTGTGGCTGGGGAGGCCTCACAATCATGGCAAGAGGTGAAAGGCACATATTAAATGGTGGCAGCAAGACAGAATCAAAGCCAAGCAAAAAGGGAAACCCCTTATAAAACCATCAGATCTCATAAGACTTATTCACTACCACAAAACAGTATGAGGGAAACTGCCCACATGATTCAATTATCCCTCACTCAGTCCCTCACACAACATGTGGGAATTATGGGAGCTACAATTCACGATGAGATTTGGGTGGGGACACAGCCAAACTATATAATTCCACCCCTGGCCCCTCCCAAATATCAGGTCCTCACATTTCAAAACCAATCCTGCCTTCTGAACAGTCCCCCAAAGTCTTAACTCATCTCAGTATTAACTCAAAAGTCCACAGTTCAAAATCTCATCAGAGACAAGGCAAGTCCCTTCCACCTATGAGCCTGTAAAATCAAAAGCAAGTTGTTTACTCCCTAGATACAATGGGGGTACAGTCATTGGATAAATACACATTTTCCAAACAGGAAAAATTGTCCAAAATGAAGGGGCTAAAGGCCCCATGCAAGTCCAAAATCCAGTGGGGCAGTCAAATCTTAAAGCTCCAAAGCAATCTCCTTTGACTCCATGTCATACAACCAGGTCATGCTGATGGTAGGTTCCCGTGGTCTTGGGCAGTTCCACCCCTGTGGCTTTGCAGGGTACATACTCCCTCCCAGTATGAGTGTTGAGTGTCTGGTGTTGAGTGTCTGCAACTTTTTCAGGTGCATGGTGCAAGCTGTCAGTGGATCAACCATTCTGGGGTCTAGAGGACAGTGGCCCTTTTCTCACAGCTCCACTGGGCAGTGCCCCAGTGGGGACTCTGTGTGGGGGCTCCCACCCCACATTTCCCTTTCATACTGCCCTAGCAGAGGTTCTCCATGAGGGCCTCGCCCCTTAAGCAAACTTCTGCCTAGATATCCAGTTGTTTCCACACATCCTCTGAAACCTAGGTGGAGTTTCTCAAACCTCTATTCTTGACTTCTGTGCACCTGCAGGCTCAACACCATGTGGAAGCTGCCAAGGCTTGGGGCTTGCACCTTTTGAAGCCATGGGCCAAGCTGTACTTTGCCCCCTTTTAGCCATGGCTAGAGAGGCTGGGATGTGGGGCACCAAGTCCCTAGGCTGCACACAGCAGAGAGGTCCTGGGCCCAGCCCACAAAGCCATTTTTTCCTCCTAGTCTTCCAGGTCTGTAATGGGAGGGGCTGCCACAAAGGTCTCTGACATGCCCTGGAGACATTTTCCCCATTATCTTGGCGATTAACATTTGGTTCCCTGTTATGCAAATTTATGCAGCAGGCTCAAATTTCTCCTCAGAAAATGGTTTTTTCTTTTTTCTCACATCATCAGTCTGAAAATTTTCTAAACTTTTTTGCTCTATTTCACTTTTAAAATGGAATCTTTTTAACAGCACCCAAGTCACCTCTTGAATGCTTTGCTGCTTAGAAATGTCTTCTGCCAGATACCCTAAATCAAATCAAATCTCTCAAGTCAAGTTCCATAAATCTCTAGGGCAGGGGCAAAATGCCACCAGTCTCTTTGCTAAAACATTGCAAGAGTCACCTTTACTACAGCTCCCAACAAGTTCCTTATCTCCATCTGAGACCACCTCAGCCTGGACCTTATTGTTCATATCACTATCAGCATTTTGGTCAAAACTATTCAACAAGTCTCTAGGAAGTTGCAAGTTTTCTCACATTTTCTTCTCTTCTTCTGAGCCCTCCAAAGTGTTCCAACCTCTGCCTGTTACCCAGTTCCAAAGTCCCTTCCACATTTTCGGGTATCTTTACAGTAGGACCCCACTCTACAGGTATCAATTTAATGGCAGTAGTCTATTTTCACACTCCTGATAAAGACATGCCCAAGACTCAGTAATTTATAAAGAAAAAGAGGTTTAATGGACTCAGAGCGCCACGTGGCTGGGGAGGCCTTACAATCATAGCAAAAGGTGAAAGTCACATCTTACATGGCAGCAGGCAAGAAAGAACGAAAGCAAAGCATAAGGGGAAACTCCTTATAAAGCCATCAGATCTCGTGAGACTTATTCACTGCCATGAGAATATGATGAGGAAAACCGCCACATGATACAATTACCTCCCACTGGGTCCCTCCCACAACACGTGGGAATTATGAGAGCTACAATTCAACATGAGATTTGGGTGGGGACACAGCCTAACCACACCAATCCCTCTGTCTTTCTGAGAAATGGAAATGTAATCCTCATCCTTTACAGAAACAGAGAAAATCCCTGACTTTATTTCTTTGAATATATATTCTTTCTGAATTTTTAAAATTCTTTTATTTCAATAGGTTTTTGGGGAATGGGTATTCAGTTACATGAGTAAGTTCTTTAGTGGTGATTTCCGAGATTTTTCAACATCATGGGTTGAAAATATTTATAAATATTATACATATTATTTATAATACAGCTATTCACTTTTTTCAGAATTTCTCAATATGGCATAGGAATATATTTTGGGGCCTGCTCACCATACATACAGTCAAGTCCTGTTTCCCTACTTTTGGA
Source organism: Homo sapiens (assembly GCF_000001405.40). Classification (NCBI taxonomy): domain Eukaryota; kingdom Metazoa; phylum Chordata; class Mammalia; order Primates; family Hominidae; genus Homo; species Homo sapiens. Next base: position 94,772,367 of record NC_000007.14, on the reverse strand, counting down.
ATATTTAATAAGCTCATTCAAGTAGTATTCATTGTACCCAATGAGTAGTCTTTTATCCCTCACCCCCTTCCCACCCTTTCCCCAAAGTCCATTGAATCATTCTTATGTCTTTGTGTCCTCATAGCTTAGTTCCCAATTATGAGTGAGAACATACGATGTTTGGTTTTCCATTCCTGAGTTATTTAACTTAGAATAATAGTCTCCACTTCCATCCAGGTTGCTACGAATGCTATTATTTAGTAGATTGATTTTATTATTTTTAACCCAATATCTTTTTTCTGTTACTATATTTTATTTAGGACACCATAAACATTTCATTGTCCAATCTTCTTATACTCCTCTTGGCTGTGACTGTTTCTTAGTCTTGTTTTTAATGACTTTGATGGTTTTGAGAAATGCTGGTCATGAATTCTGTAGAATGCTCTTCTATTAGCATTTGTGTGATATTTTTCTCATTATTAGACTGGGATTACGAGTTTTTGGAAGGAAGACTACAGAGGTAAAGTGCCATTTTCATCACCTTATATCAAAGATACTTAGTGTTAATATTACTTATCACTGTTGATGTTAACCTTGATCACCAGGCTGATGCAGTGTTTGACAGATTTATCCACTGTAAAGTCACTGGTTTTTTTTTCCTCTCCTTTTCCATAATGTATTTTTTTGAAGCAAGTTACTACACACAGTCCACATTAAAGGAGTGGTGAGTTTTACTCTCCCTTCTTGATGGCAGAGTATCTACACGAATTATTTTAAAAACTTCACCATGGGAAAATTTGTCTTTTCTGCTCCATTTACTTATTTAATCATTCAGTCCTATTGGTATGGACTCATGGATATTTATTTTAAACTTTGTGTTATAAGCCAGTATTATTTTAAAATTCTATTGCTCAAATTATTGGAATTTTGACCACAGGGAGATCTTTCAGCTTGCTATGTGTCCCTTTGACATGCCCCCATCATGTGAGATATCCATTCTGCTTGTTTGTTTAGAATTTCCATACATTCTGACACTACAAAATATTGAAGGATCATCTTGTCTATTTTTTGTCCTAGCCCTAGAACCAGTCATTTCTTTTAGGAGCCTTGATTACTTTTACTGCAGAATGCTATTAGAAACCAAGATCTGGATACTAGGTGTCCTTTTTGCTACTGGGGTGTTATTGTTACTAGCTCTCTCAGCTGACAGAGCAAGGAAATATATATGTGCTTAATAACCACTGCATATATACAAATCTATAAATATTTCCATATGTAACCATCTGTATTTATATGAAGCTAAATATCAGTTCATACTGATGTCTCCAATGCTTATCGCAAAACATACTTTTTATTAAGTAAAGGAATTCTTTTCAATGTAAAGAAGTTATGCAATTCAAATCCCCGTTAAGCTACAATTTTGAGTTTGATTTTAACATTATCTGTTTTGCTTTTTAAAAAATTCTTATAATAGACTCATTTGAACAATTGCTGGGCTAATATTATTTGGTTGATCAAAGCAGGAGACCTTTTAGTTTTCTAGGTATACGATTTTGTTGGTTGGCAATATCTAGATACAATAATTAACTTCTCCCTTTTAATGTGCTTAACAAGGAAAAAGAGAAGTTCAAAAGAGGCAGCTTGGGCTAAAAAAGTTAATTCTCTCATTAAGGCATTTATTAAATTTTTTTCAGGGTGGGAAAAATCATAGCAAACCAAACAAAACAGATAATCAGTGGATCCGTGGTGAAATCAGAAGCATACAAAAGTAGAATAAGCTATATCTATACTATTTCTTTTGCTGGATTTTTACCACTTTTGAAGATCACTAATAAGTGATTTGGTTCAAGGGATTCAAGTATCTGGTGGAAAGTAACATTGGATTAGGTAAGAGGTTAACTTAGAATCTGTGATTTTATGATAGCAGGTACTGTGATTGGTAATTTTAATTCAAATAAATGTTTTTGAAGACAGATCTAAATCGTTTAAATATGATGAATAATTTCTAATAAAGTAAGGATAATGGCAGCATCTGCTGTTTTTTCCTTCCTTGAATTTTGTCTAAAATATTCAAAATGACATAGTGACATAGGTCCTTGAGCCCAACAATCTAACTTATTCTTCCTAAATCCTTTCTAATATGGACAAAGCAATGAAGGAAGTTGTTGCTGAGTTTTGAGTGTGCAAACACAAACTTGTTTGCTGCATGATCCTGACCTTGAAGTGTGCATGTGGTTGAAAGATAGAAGAGCAGATGGGATTTAGGAAAAAACTATAGCATTTTTTTCTTGCATAACTGACCAGAATCAGCAGGAAAACAGGCTGATACATTTTGACTCAACTGTATTATACTGACTGAACTTAATTGATTTGATTTTCAACCTAGGTGACAGAAATTGGTGTATGCTAAGCTCCAGCACAATCACCTAATCTAAAGTAAGAAGCCAAGTCCTTATTTCAGCTGACTCGTCACTCTTTTTGGTGAATTTTATAGATTTGCATTTATAAACCCTATCTTTGCTCTTGGTTGAGGAGGCAGTTTTCACAGAAGCTGCTCTCCTTCCTATACACCTATATATAAGCGAATCTCCAATATTTTAAACTAACTGTCTTAGAGTTATTCTTTGATATTCAAGAGGCCCTATTATTTACAGCTTCATTCCTTTGTATTGGATCCAGTTTTCCCTGCCCTGTCCAACAGTGAATTCAGCTCATCACTCACACCAGTGTCTTGGCATCTCTGTTTTTCTTTTATACAAAAGGATCATAAAAATTGAAGTGATCTGTCACACCACTGAAAACTAGGGAAGAATGATACATTCATGTCACAGAAATAAAACAAATTCTATTAGACATAATGAAGATGGGGTTATATTGAGGGTAAATATTGAGCTGAATTTTAATTGCTCCTCCCAAGAAAAGGATGTGATGCTTTTGGGCTGAAGTAGAAGAATCCCCAAAGAATTTCACTCAGCCCCCAACCTAGAATTTTGAAGGATGTGAAAGTGTTAGATTGTGAGGTGTGTGGAGGTAGTAGGCAGTCATTTAAAATCCTTATAGGAATAGACAAAATACATTAGGGAACAACTGCTATTACAGTTTTTTTCACAAATAAAGTATTTTGCAAATAGTATCAATAAAAACATCTAAGATAAGATACTTTTCCTTTTAAAATACGGGATGTGCCGGGCATGGTGGTTCATGTCTATAATCCCAGCACTTTGGGAGGCCAGGGCAGGTGGATCACTTGAGCCCAGGATTTCAAGACCAGCCCAGGCAACATGGTGCAACCCTGTCTCTACAAAAATTACAAAAAAACTAGCCAGGTGTGGTGGCAAGTGCCTGTCCCAGCTACTCAGGAGACGGAGGTGTGAGGATCACCTGAGCCCGGGGTGGTCGAGGCTGCAGTGAGCTATCATCACACCACTGTACTCCAGCCTGGGTGACAGAGTGAGTTCCTGTCTGAAAAAGAAAATAAAGAAGAAAAGAAAATAAAGGAAAAGAAAAGAGGAAAAGATAGGAAAAGACAGGTAAGGAAAGGAAAGAAAAGAAAAGAAAGAAAAGAAAAGGAAAGGAAAGAAAAGAGAAGATATAACCTTAGGGAGACCCAGGGACAAAATTTATATCAATAATTCTAAATATGCTTTTGGCATAGTAAGGAGGAAGAGGGTAGAATTGAAAGTAAATAAAATAAGCTAAATTCAAGGAGTTAAAAAATATCAATTCCTAAGACAATAGAAATGAGAAATTAATAAAGGTAAAAGAATTTTAAATTATAAGAAAAATAAAATTATAAATAAATCCAATAATTTATTCTTTCATAGTGATGCATATGACAACATGAATGAATCTCACAGACATTAGGCTGAAAGAAGTTGAACAGAAAAGAATACATACTGTATGATTCCATTTATGTATTTATTACTATTTTATTATACAGACAGGGTCTCCCGATGTTGCCCAGGCTGATCTCGAACTCCTGGGCTCAAGGGATCCTCCTGCCTTGGCCTTCCAAAGTGCTAGGATTACAGGCGTGAGTCACCATACCTGGCCTTGATTCCATTTAAACATACTAAATTTCATATCAGACAAAACTAATAGATGGTGGGAAAAAATCAGAATGTCACTTGCCTGTATGTGTTGGGTGTGAGACTTGACTGGACAAGGGCCTGAGGGGACTTGACAGAAAATGATGGAAAGTGATAAAAATCTTCTTTATTTTGTTAGGATGCAGATTGCATGTATGTTTGCATTTGTCAAAACTCATCAATTGGTAGACTTAGGTTTTATGCAGCTTACTGTACATAAATTTTACCTAAAAACAAATAAAACTGTGAACAAGGTTCTTACAAGTAGGTTTGCTTTTCTCAGAGGTATAGGTTAATAATTCTGAAGCTAAGTTATGTGTGTTCTAGACTTGGAAAAATTAGTAAAAATATAAAGGCTAATAGGATTCTGGTTTCTCACTGTTTGGAAGAGTGAAAAAGGAATAAAACTATGGAAATGGGAGAACAAAAAGGTGCCCCATGATATTGAATTGGAATTGGAACTCATAGTTTTTTATTTAGATATAGAAATAGTGTATAGATGTAGATGTAGAAAGATATACAGGTCAAGATTCCCTAGCTCTCTTTGCCAAAAGGCACTAGCAGCAACGATACATGTATAGTAATGAACACACTTAACATGTAGATCTTGGTATCTAAATACTCTTCTCCACTAAAAGAAACCAGGATTCCTAGGGAAAATGGTGGACTCCAGGCCTGGGATAGAGAAAGTTCAAGATAAGTCTGAAACACCTCATTCCACCAGAAAGTAAGAAAGTGTTTAATAAAAAGGTGCCTCAGTAGAGTCATGGACCACAGCTCTTGTCCCCACTGAGGAATAGAAAGGCTGAGAAGCAGTGACAGGAGCTGAGAAAGGCTTCCTAGGGAGCACAGTCTCCAACAAATACTGGTTCTTAGGTGTCTTCAGCAGGCTTTTCCAGAATGCATCTAAATAATAAATAAAACAACTACCATGACAAAGCCACAATATAGGCTATGGAAAAAAGGATTCCAGATACATGCAAAAAGGGTTAGAAAAATTCATGAAGAGGAAAATGAAAAGCAACAGAGAAATTATCATCACAAATTTATATAAGCAGGTCTGGACTCTTCTTCCACTTTTTCTAGTATATCTGGGATGGAAATCTTGGAGAAAATTATATCATCTTTGGATATTTACAAATGCATAGATGAACCCCAAAAAAATCCTGTTAATATTTTCGAAATGAAAACATAGAACGTATAGAGAATAAAGATCTACAAAGTCTTACAGTGAGTGAAAGTGAAAAGTTACTGAAAATCAAAAGTTTGTGATGGATGACACAGACCCAAGGCCCATACACTAGAGTTGTGCTATTAAAACATTAATTAATACAATAAGGTCCTCCTCCCATGTCGTAGAAAACAGTTATCCTAAAGATAAAAATAGGCACTTTTGCACAAACTACTCCAGTAAAAGCTAACAAATGGTGAAAGGCAAGAGAGAGGGTTAGTGTGTTTAAGAAGATGTGACGATGTGTTCTGTTTCACCTGTAAATTATTTTCTACTGCAGAAAATTTCTTATCAAGTCAAGATAATTCTGATTGGGCACCTTGGAGCAAAAGGTTGAAATTTAATGAGGGATCTCCTATACATCACAATTCAATGTACCAATGGGCACTCATGAAAACATATTTAACAACAGGAAACAGTTAATAGAGCTAGTAAAAATGCAATACAATTTGAAGATTAAAAAAAAAAAAGAAGAAGAAGACAGTTTCAAGAGGATTATCCCAGCTAACTTTGGGATAAGTTGTAGATCAAAAGAAATAATGATAGTAATGAATTATAACCAAGGTAATAAAATTAGAATCCATGAGACCAGACAGATATAAGTAAAAAGGAGAGAATGAATACCCTTCATACAACAGAATATTAATAAATGCAGTAGGAGTGATTGAGTTAAAAATCAAGATGTTAAAATAAGTAAATGTTGATGGGATTCAACATTATCCTGCTGCAGAAAATCAGGATATTTTCACAGCCTCATATTATCAAATTACTTATTTCTGACAGAGAGATAAATAATTACTCTACAGCAGAGAAACCTGTAAACACCGCCCTGACTGAGTGATCAAAACTAACATCAATGTTTTAGGAACAAACCAACATCATGTTACTCCTTACGTTTTGCACTGATAATGACACAACGTCATTTCCATGATATTGATACCAAAATGTATAACACAAATCTAATGAGGAAAGATCAGACAAAGCTGTCTTGAAGGACATTCTTCAAAGTAACTGCCCTGCTCTCTTTAAAATTGCAAAGTCAAGGAAGGTTTAAAAAGAAAAAAAAGGCTGAGAAATTCTTCCAGGCTCAAGAAAAACCAGAGAGATGGAAATCTTAGGTGGAAGGATTGTTTGAACCTGGGAGATGGAGGTTGCAACGAGCTGTGATCACACCACTGTGCTCCATTGCTATGAAGGAGATCATTGAGGCATAGATATATTTGAATATGGACTACTGATTCAAAAATAGTGTACCAATGTGTAATGTCCTAAATAAGAAGATGTGACAATGTGTTTTGTTTCACCCATAAATTATTTTTATATCGCAGTATAGTTATACTGTGGTTAAGTAAGAAAATATCATTGTTCTTAGGAAATACCAGTGAAGTAGAGAAAAATAGGCATGGTATCTTCAATTTACTCATAAATAATTCAGAAAAATACAGAATATAGACTAGTACTAAAAATACACATACGGCTGCACACGGTAGCTCATGCCTGTAAGCCCAGCATTTAAGGAGGCCAAGGTGGGTGGATCATCTGAGGTAAGGAGTTCGAGGCTAGCCTGGCCAACATGGTGAAACCCCATCTCTACTAAAAATACAAAATTAGCCAGGCATAGTGACACATGCCTGTAGTCCCAGCTACTTGGGAGGTGGAGAATCACTTGAACTCGGGACACTGAGGTTGCAGTGAGCCAAGATCACGCCATTGCACTCCAGCCTGGGTGACAAGAGCAAAACTCCATCTCAAATATATATATATATGATATATATTTTCTATATAATATACATGTATAAAAATAATACAACAAATGGGGCAAAATATAAACAATGATGAATTTGGGTAATTGACATGTATGGGTTTCCTATCGTATTCATTCAACTTTAACATAAATTTGAAATAAAGTTTTAGCAAAGAAACATTTAAAGTGATGATTTTTAAAAAATAGAGATAAAATGTAATATCCTCTACATAATCTAATCAAAATCAAAAAAGTAAGCACAAATAAACAAATTTAAGGATGAGAAAGTAGATATATGCACAGTCCAGAGAATACTAAAAGGTGAAGAGAAAATACCAGCACATGAGTTCCTGTTTTCTGTGATTCGTTGGTTCCCAAACTGAAGCAACGAAGATCTCCGGTGTTTTAGGAGGGCTCCCCATGCTTTTTGTGTTGACTCATGCTCTTTAAGTTTTGTTTGTGGACTACAGTGAATTTTAGCTCCTGGTTGAAATTAGACGAACGTCTTTTGTGGATAACCTGTAATCTCAGTCTTACAAGCTATATCTAGGAACTGGCTGTCCTGTAACCAGAGTGATACATGATATCTTTTTGTTTACTTATCCTCTTGCTTCTTGTGGCATTAGGAAATATGAATGCCTATGGGGCATTCTCATTGAGAGTTTACTCACATATCAACTAGTGTTTTTCAGTATCGAGGTTATATCCTAGTAAGATATGCTGTTGAAAGAAAGCCTTCTTGCCAGGCGCGGTGGCTCATGCCTGTAATCCCAGCACTTTGGGAGGCCGAGGTGGGCGGATCACAAAGTCAAGAGATCCACACCATCCTGGCCAACACGATGAAACCCCGTCTCTACCAAAAATACAAATATTAGCTGGGCATGGTGGCATGCACCTGTAATCCCAGCTACTAGGGAGGCTGAAGCAGGAGAATTGCTTGAACCCGGGAGATGGAGGTTGCACTGAGCCGAGATCAGCCACTGCACTCCAGCCTGGCAACAGAGTGAGAAAAAGGAAAAAAAAAAAAAAAAAAAAAAAAAAGAAAGAAAGAAAGAAAAAGAAAAGAAAGCCTTCTTTCTTTGTACAATATGTAATACATAATATTCATACACCTAGGGAAATAGCCCAAACTCAGTATTATCAAATAGGAAATTTGGGAACTTATCCAGGAGTGTTATTTAGGAGCAGTTTTTTCTCTTATTGAACTATGTAATTATTATGCCTTGACTAAGTGAAGGAATTAAGCTATGAATTCTGGTGGTTAAGGTAACCTTACTAACCTTGGTATTCTGATTAGCTGAGAATTGCACTACCTTTCAGAAGTTGGATTAATGTCTATGGATGCTAACTTTTGCTTCCAGCACAAATCTACTGATAAATTTGAAAATAATTTTCTGGGAATTATAGATGGAATACTAAGTAGCAACAAAAATTATGCTGTTGAAGAATATTAAATGGATGAAAATGTTCATGATATATAGATATAAAAATATAGAACAGTTTACAAATTGCATCTAGCTTTATAAAAATAGCCATAAAATTAGAATTTAAACAATACACACAAAAAATCTAATAATAGTGATTGTCTCCTGTAGATAAATTATGGGTAGTTTCTTTTGAGGGGGGCTTTTCTGCATTTTAGAAATGTTAGGCAATATTGTGTGTTACTTTTTCAATGGCAACAAAAACCCCAATACATGTTATGAAATATCTATGAAAACATAAATTAGAAAAACATGTGCAATGCCTCTGGAAACTAAGGATTAGAATTCATCATATATCAAAATCTTGGAAGGATTTACACTAATTACAAGCAGATGTTGAGGTTTAAACAACTCTAATCATAGCCAATGAACGCTTGACCTTTTGCCCTGAACAGTGCAATAGGGAATTGATGCAGCCCTCTGACAGGAAGGGGGCCAGCAACACGGAAACCGGCTGGAAACCACCTCCTCATTGCAGATACTTTCTGAGGGAGGAAATTCTTCTCTCTCTAGTTCTCTTCCCCATTAGCTCATTCTTCCTACATTCATTTAGGATGTCTAAAGGACCCAGAGTATTATCAAAGTGGATATCTTGCCTCCATAGCTTCGCTTTCTAGATCAGTCAGAGTATAGCAATCCCCAGCATCAGAAAGCTAAGAATGGCCCAAGAGGGAATTAAACAGAGTAACACAAAAGTTAATATCTCCTTTGGCCTATCACCTAGTGGTTTAAATCTGATCAATTAAAATAAGTCTACGTAATAGATAAATTACTAAGGGAAAAATAATTTTTAAAGAGATGGATAAAAGAAACATGGGACAGGAAAAGAAAGCTATAGCAAATTATATGAAAGAATAAATATAAAATAAGCTCGGTAAAACAAAACCAAACATTAATTGATTTCATTAAATTTCCCCAAGAAAAGATAGGCTCTCACATCTGTTTAAGAAATAAAATCTAGCCATATACTCACCATAAGGCACAAACAAAGGATGAAAATAAAGGGATGAAGAAAAATATTAGGCAAACACAAATTTAAAAATTATGATGATATTAATATTGATATAGTAGAATTCAAAAGTATCCAACAAAAAGGATATTTATAGTGATAAAAGGTAAAATAAAAATTGATACAACAATCACTAGTATTAATATTTATTTGTGAAATAACTAAGAATAGAGATCTTGAACAAAACAATAACCAAATGAATTACATACATATGATATTTTATATCTGTCTATATCAATCACTATATATTTCTTATTTTTTAATACATAGAACAATTATAAAAATCAATCTGAAAATGAGCAGATAAAAAGTTGGAAATCTTTAAAATGAATAGATTGAGCAATTATGTTCTTTCACTAAATGTGAAAAACTAAAACCAATTATAAAAAACAATATAAACTTAGCTGCTTTATAATGGAAAATACTCTTTAAAATGATCTCAAGAAGAAATAGGATTTTAAAAATGAAATGTAAAATCACCAAGACAGTAATGGAAAAAACGTATCAAATAAAAACCTAAAATAATACAGCTAATTTTCTGCTTAAAAAATGCTTCATGGGAGGCTGAGGCAGGCAAATCACTTGAGCCTAGGAGTTCAAGTGCAGCCTGGGCAACATGGTGAGACTTTGTCTCTATAAAAAAATTACAAAAAAAATTAGCTGGGTGTGGTGATGCATACCTGTAGTCCCAGCTACTCAGGAGGGTGAGGCAGGAGACTCAATGAGCCCAGGAGGTTGAGGCTGCAGTGAGCCATGATAGTGCCACTGCACTCCAGCCTGGGTGACAGAGTGAGATCCTGTCTCAAAAGAATTAAAAAAAAATGCTTCAAGTAGAATTCTGAATGTTTTATTAAGGATGAAATACTAAATTGAATGAAATAAATATTTAATTTGGTAAACTGGGCAAAAGAACAACAATAGTAACTAAAGTAACAAAAAGAAAATATAAAAGGAGAAGAAAATTATTACACTTAAAGCTTGAAATAAATTAAAGGGTATATTAGTTTCTGTTAGAGAACAAACCATCTTCTACTGTAAGTGTTTAAAACAACACATTTACTTAACTCATAATTCAGCAGTTTGTCAATATGACTTGAGCTTGGATCCAGCTGGGTGATTTTTCTGCTCTAGACTGAGATCTGATCTCTGCTGGGCTTAGGTTCCTGCAGTCAGCTCATGGAACAATTGAGACTGGCTGGTTTATGGAGACCTCAGCTGACATAAACTAGCTGAGCAGGGCCACTCCCTGCTTTGTCTCTTATCCTCCATTAATATACCTGGGCTTGTTCAATTGGAGGTCATGAGCAGACACCATATATCTTCTTGAGTTACAGGTTCTGAATTTATAGAACACCATTTCTGCCACATTCTTTGGCCAAAGTAAATCACAAGGCCATCTCCAGTTCAAACAGTGAGGAAATAGATTTCCTTTCTTGGTGACAGAAACAGTTGCAAAGAATTTTGTCCATTTTTGCAATCTATAGTAAATATTTTATATGCTGCTTTGTAGAAATATCTTCCAAACTATGTAGAAATATATCTCAAACTCCAAAATGGGGGTATAGTGGGGGTAAAAATGAGGGTTTTTCTACTAAGAAAAATTTTAATTATTGCCTTAAAAAGAATTGGAAAATTTAGAACAAATCAAGAAACATTTTTTCATCTATAATTAAAAAGATGACAGTCCAGTATAGTTATATATCTATTTTATGTAACTTCCCAAGAATAGAATATCCTGTTACTCAAACTATTCACAGTATAGAAGAATAAGAAAAAATTCTCCAAATATTTTAATACCATAAGTTGCTAATAGCATCCATATTTATAAATAAAAACCATCATTTATAAAAACAGATGCTCAAGTTCTTCAAAAAGTAAAAAAGATAGCTAATTGAATTTATGCTTATCGTAAAGTAAAATTTTACCTATTCAGCAAATACTGTCCATTGCTATTGACCAGCCAATTTGCTAGGCACTGGAAATACAAAAGTAAGGAAGATCTACAGGATATCTTCGTCTCATGGGCTAGAGAGGTAGGAGATACAATAGACCAGGAATGATGAGCTCCAGCTTATGAGCCAAATCTGACTGGCTGCCTGATTTTGTAAACAGATGTTTATCATAACATAGCCATTTCCAATTGTTTATGTTTTGTTTATGTCTGCTTTCACACAACAGTGGCAGACTTGAGTTGTTGTGACAGAGACCATATGGACCACAGAGTCTAAAAGATTCACTACTTCATCCTTCATGAAAAAAATTTGCTGATTCTGAAGTAGACCACAAAGAACTAGCAAGATAACATAGTTTTTAAAAACCTATGCAAAGAAAATAAATGGATTAATAAGATGGAGAATACCTGGGAGAGTCATCTTTAGACAGATTGGTCAGGAAAAGCTAGTCTGAGGAGACACAGAGGATGAAAGTTGTCTGACATGAAGACCTGAAGAGAGATCATACCTGATACATAACAAGGAAAAAAGGTTTAGTGATCATGGGGAATAGAAAGTAGGCTAGTAGGGTGGAATAGTAGCAGTAGCCTTGGATGATCTTGTGTATTTCTGTGGTATCAGTTTTGTTTCTAATCAAGCTTCTTTGTATCTTCTCTCTTCTTGGTTAATCTCACTAATGGTCTATCAAATTTGTTTATCTTTTCAAAGAACCACTTTTTTGTTTCATTAATCTTTTGTATTTTTTGTTTCAATTTCATTTGGTTCTACTCTGATCTTTGTTATTTCTTTTCCTTTGCTGGGTTTGGGTTTGGTTTGTTCTTGCTTCTCTAGTTCTTTGAAATGTGACCTTAGATTGTCTATTTGTGCTCTTTCAAACTTTTTGATGTAGGCATTTAATGCTATGAACTTTCCTCTTAGTACTTACTGCTTTTGCTGTATCCCAGAGGTTTTGATAGGTTGTATCACTATTATCATTCAGTTCAAAGAATTGTTTAATTTCCATTTTGATTTCATTTTTGATGCAAAGATTATTCAGGAGCAGGGTTATTTAATTACCATGTATTTGCATGGTTTTGAGGGTTCCTTTCAGAGTTGATTTCCAATTTTATTCCACTGTGGTCTGAGAGAGTACTTGCTATAATTTCAATTTTCTTAAATTTATTGAGACTTGTTTTATGGCCTATCATATGGTCTATCTTGGAAAACGTTCTGTGTGCCGATGAATAGAATGTGTATGCTGCAGTCGTTGGGTAGAATATTCTGTAAATATTTGTTAATTCCATTTGTTCTACAGTATAGTTTAATTCCATTGTTTCTTTGTTGATTTTCTGTCTTGATGACCTGTCTAGTGCTGTCAGTGGAGTACTGAAGCCCCCACTATTATTGTGTTGCTGTCTATCTTATTTGTTAGTGTTTTGTAAATTTGGGAGCTCCAGTGTTAGGTGCATATATATTTAGGATTGTGATATTTTCCTGTTGGACTAATCTTTTTATCATTATATAATGTCATATATATCACTATATATATATATATCATTATATAATGTCCCTCTTTGTCTTTTTAAACTGTTGCTGCTTTAAAGTCTGTTTTGTCTGCTATAAGAATAGCTACTCCTGCTCATTTCCAACCATTTGCATGGAATTTTTTCCCACACCTTTACCTTAAGTTTATGTGATTCCTCATGGGTTAGGTGAGTCTCTTGAAGACAGTAGATACTTGGTTGGTGAATTCTTATCCATTCTGCCATTCTGTATCTTTTAAGTGGAACATTCAGGCCATTTGCATTCAATGTTAGTATTGAGATTCGAGGTATTATTCTATCCATTGTGCTAATTGTTGCTTGAATATCTTGGTTTATTTTCCCATTGTGTTATTGTTTTATAAGCCCAGTGAGATTTATCCTTTAAGGAGATTCTATTTTGGTGTATTTTGAGGTTTTAAGATTTAGAACTCCTTTTAGCAGTTCTTGTAGTGCTGGCTTGGCAGTGGTGAATTCTCTCATCATTTGTTTGTCTGAAAAAGACTTTATTTTTCCTTCATTTATGAAGCTTAGTTTTGCTGGATACAAAATTCTTGCTGGATAATTATTTTGTTTAAGGAGGCTAAAGATAGGACCCCAGTGCCTTCTAGCTTGTAGGGTTTCTGCTGAGAAATCTGCTTTTAATGTGATAGGTTTTCCCTATAGGTTACCTGATGCTTTTGCCTCACAGCTCTTAAGATTCTTTCCTTCTTCTTGACTTTATATAACCTGTTAACTATGTGCCTAGGTGATGACTTTTTTTGTAATGAATTTCCTGGGTGTTGGATATCTAGTTCTCTAGCAAGGCCAGGGAAGCTTTGTATTTGGATATGTAGTTTTCTAGCAAGGCCAAAGATGTTTTCCTTGATTATTCCCTCAAATATGTTTTCCAATCTTTGATATTTTTCTTCTTCCTCTGAAACAGGAAGGTTTGATAATTTAACATAATTGCAAACTTCTTGGAGGCTTTGTTCATTAAAAAAAGTTTTTTCTTTGTCTTTGTCAGATTGGGTTAATTTGAAAGCCTTGTCTTCAAGCTCTGACGTTCTTTCTTCTACTTGTTCAATTCTATTGCTGAGACTTCCCCATGCACTTTATATTTCTCTAAGTGTGTCCTTAATTTGCAGGAATTGTGATTTTTATTTATGCTATCTATTTCTCTGGATAGTTGTTATCCATATCCTGCATTCTTAACAATTTCTTTAAGATGGTTTTCACCTTTCTCTGGTGCCTCCTTGAGTAGCTTAATAATTAACCTTTTAAATTCTTTTTCTGGCAATTCAGAGATTTTGTCTTGGTTTGGATTCATTGCTGGTAAGCAAGTGTGAACCTTTGAGGGTGTTATAGAACTTTGTTTTGTCATATTACCAGAATTGTTTTTCTGGTTCCTTCTCATTGGGGTAGGCTATGTCAGAGGAAAGATCTGGGACTCAGGGGCTGCTGTTCAGATTCTTTTGTCCCACAGGATGATCCTTGATATGGTGCTCTTCCCCTTCCCCTAAGGATGGGGCTTCCTGAGAGCTGGACTGCAGTGATTGTTACTTCTCTTCTTGGTCTAACCACCCATTGGAGCTACTGGGCTCCAGGCTGGTACTGGGGAGTATCTGCAAAGAGTCCTGTGATGTGATCCATCTTCAGGTCTCTCATCCATGGATACCAGCTCCTGTTCTGGTGGAGGTAGCAGGGGAGTGAAGTGGACTCTGTGAAAGTCCTTGGTTGTAGTTTTGTTTAGCATGCTCGTTATCTCAAATGCTGGTTATGCTAACAGTGAAGTTGTCCCGTGTCCAGACTCAGGACCTCTGGTTAGCCAGGATGTTATAGGTGGTGGAATTAGCTATTATTTTCTTCCTTGGAACAGGGTTTGTTTTGTTATGAGTTTTTGTAAATGCTCGAGTTGGTTGGCCTCCAGCCAGAAGGTGGCACTTTCAAGAGGGCATCAGTTGTGGTAGTATAGGGGTGATACAAGCTTGCCCTAAGGTCACCTGGATAAGTATTCAAGTCTCTCAGGTGATGGATGTGGCTGTAGAGCTCCCACGGGTTTATGTCTTTTGTCTTTGGCTACTGTGGCAGGTGGAGAAAAACCATCAGGTGGGGGCAGGGTTAGGCATGTCTGAGCTCAGACTCTCCTCAGACGAGGCTTGCTATGGTCACTGTGGGGGATGAGGGGTGGTTCTCAGGCCAATGGAGTTTGGTTCCAAGGGGGATTATGGCTGCCTATGCTGCTTTGTACAGGTTGCCAGGGAAGTAAGAAAAAGCCAGCAGTGACAGGCCTCACCCAGCTTCCCAACAGCCAGCAAGGCCAGTCTCACTCCCATGCTCCCCCAAAAGCAAACAGAGCCAAGTTTATATCCAGGCCCCTGGTGCTCAGGACTGAGATCTTGAACCAGGCTACATGCCTCCCTGCTAAGAAAGCAAGCAGGGCTTTCAGGCCTTGTCCCTCCTCCAGCAAACTCCAGCAGACCTGCAGCAGAGAGGCCTGTTAGAAGGGAAACTAACAATCAGAAAGGAATAGTATCAACATCAACAAAAAGGATATCCACTCAGAGACCCCATCCAAAGGTCACTGACTTCAAAGATGAAAGGTAGATAAATCCTTGAAGATGGGGAGAAACCAGTGCAAAAAGGCTGAAAATTCCAAAAACCAGAAAGCCTCTTCTGCTACAAAGGATAACAACTCCTCACCAGCAAGGGAACAAAACTGGATGGAGAATGAGTTTGACAAATTGACAGAAGTAGGCTTCAGAACATGCGTAATAACAAACTCCTCCAAGCAAAAGGAGCATGTTCTAACCCAATGCAAGGAAGCTAAGAACCTCGATAAAAGGTTAGACAAGTTGCTAATTAGAATAACCAGTTTAGAGAAGAACATAAATGACCTGATGGAGCTGAAAAACACAGCATGAGAACTTCGTGAAGCATACACAAGTATCAATAGACGAAACGATCAAGCGAAAGAAAGAATATCAGACATTGAAGATCAACTCAATGAAATAAAGTGAGAAAATATGATTAGAGAAAAAAGAGTGAAAAGAAATGAACAAAGCCCCAAAGAAGTATGGGACTAGGTGAAAAGACCAAATCTATGTTTGATTGGTGTACCTGAAAGTGATGGGGACAAAGGAACCAAGTTAGAAAACACTCTTCAGGATATTATCCAGGAGAATTTCCCCAGCCTAGCAAGGCAGGCCAACATTCAAATTCAGGAAATACAGAGAACATCACAAAGATATTCCTCGAGAAGAGCAACCCCAAGACATATAATCATCATATTCACCAAGGTTGAAATGAAGGAAAAAATATTAAGGGCAGCCAGAGAGAAAGGTCGGGTTACCCACAAAAGGAAGCACATCAGAATAACAGGGGATCTCTTGGCAGAAATCCTACAAGCCAGAAGAGAGTGGGGGCCAATATTCAAGATTCTTAAAGAAAAGAATTTTCAACCCAGAATTTTATATCCAGCCAAACTAAGCTTCATAAGCGAAGAAGAAATAAAATCCTTTACAGACAAGGAAATGCTGGGAGATTTTTGTCACCAGCAGGACTGCCCTACAAGAGCTCCTGAGGGAAGCACTAAACATGGAAAGGAACAACCAATACCAGCCACTGCGAAAAGATACCAAATTGTAAAGACCATCAACACTAGGAAGAAATCACATCAACTAATGGACAAAATAACCAGCTAGCATCACAATGGCCAGATCAAATTCACACATAACAATATTAACCTTAAATGTAAATGGGCTAAATGCCCCAATTAAAAGACACAGACTGGCAAATTAGATAAAGAGTCAAGATCCATCAGTGTGCTGTATTCAGGAGACCCATCTCATGTGCAAAGACACACATAGGCTCAAAATAAAGGGAGGGAGGAATATTTACCAAGCAAATGCAAAGCAAAAAAAAAAAAAAGAAAAACAGCAGGGGTTGCAATCCTAGTCTCTGATAAAACAGACTTTAAACCAACAAAGATCAAATGAGACAGACAAGGGCATTAAATAATGGTAAAGGGATCAATGTAACAAGAAGAGCTTACTATCCTAAATATATATGCACCCAATACAGGATCACCCAGATTCACAGAGCAAGTTCTTAGAGACCTACAAAGAGACTTAGACTCCCACACAATAACAGTGGGAGACTTTAACACCCCACTGTCCATATTAGACAGATCAACGAGACAGAAAATTAACGAGGATATCCAGGACGTGAACTCAGCTCTGGACCAAGCAGACCTAATAGACATCTACAGAACTCTCCACCCCGAATCAACAGAATATACATTCTTCTCAGCACCACATCATTTATTCTAAAATTGACCACATAATTGGAAGTAAAACACTCCTCAGCAAATGCAAAAAAAAAAAAAAAGGAAATCATAACAAACGTCTCTCCGACCACAGTGGAATCAAATTAGAACTCAGGATTAAGAAACTCACTCAAAACTGCACAAATACATGGAAACTGAACAATCTGCTCCTGAATGACTACTGGGTAAATAAGAAAATGACAGCAGAAATCAAGAAGTTCTTTGAAACCACCGAGAAAAAAGACACAATGTACCAGAATCTCTGGGACACATTTAAAATAGTGTGTAGAGGGAAATTAATAGCACTAAATGCCCACAAGAGAAAGCAGGAAAGATCTAAAATTGACAACCTAACATCACAATTAAAAGAACTAGAGAAGCAAGAGCAGACAAATTCAAAAGCTAGCAAAAGAAAAGAAATACCTAAGATCAGAGCAAAACTGAAGGAGATAGAGACACAAAAAAACCTTCAAAAAATCAATGAATCCAGGAGCTGCTTTTTGAAAAGATCAACAAAATAGATTAGTCAGACTAGTAAAGAAAAAAAGAGAGAAGAATCAAATAGATGCAATAAAAAATGATAAAGGGGATATCACCGCTGATCCCACAGAAATACAAACTACCATCAGAAAATACTATAAACACCTCTATGCAAATAAACTAGAAAATCTAGAAGAAATGGATAAATTCCTGGACACATACATCCTCCCAAGAATAAACCAGGAAGAAGTCAAATCCCTGAATAGACCAATAACAAGTTCCAAAATTGAGGCAGTAATTAATAGCTTACCAACCAAAAAACAAAAAAAAAAAAGCCCAGGACCAGATGGATTCACAGCTGAATTCTACCAGAGGTACAAAGAGGATCTGGTACCATTCTTTCTGAAACTATTCCAAACAATAGAAAAAGAGGAAATCCTCTCTAACTCATTTTATGAGGCCAGCATCATCCTGATACCAAAACCTGACAGAGACACAACAAAAAAAGAAAATTTCAGGCCAATATCCCTGATGAACATTGATGCGAAAATCCTCAATAAAATACTGGCAAACCGAATCCAACAGCACATCAAAAAGCTTATCCACCACGATCAAGTCAGCTTCATCCCTGGGATACAAGGCTGGTTCAACATACACAACTCAATAAACGTAATCCAGCATATAAACAGAACAATGACAAAACCCACATGATTATCTCAATAGATTCAGAAAAGGCCTTCAACAAAATTCAACACCCTTTCATGCTAAAAACTCTCAATAAACTACATGTCGATGGAACATACCTCAAAATAGTAAAAGCTGTTTGTGACAAGCCCACAGCCAATATTATACTGAATGGGAAACACTGGAAACATTCCCTTTGAAAACTGACACAAGACAAGGATGCCCTTTCTCACCACTCCTATTCAACATAGTGTTGGAAGTTCTGGCCAGGGCAATCAGGCAAGAGAAAGAAATAAAGGGTATTCAATTATGAAAAGAGGAAGTCAAATTGTCTTTTTGTAGATGACATGATTGTATATTTAGAAAACCCCATCGTCTGATCCCAAAATCTCCTTAAGCTGACAAGCAACTTCAGCAAAGTCTCAGGATACAAAATCAATGTGCAAAAATTACAAGCATTCCTATACACCAATAACAGACAATCAGAGAGTCAAATTATGAGTGAATTCTCATTAACAATTGCTACAAAGAGAATAAAATACTTAGGAATCCAGCTTACAAGGGATGTGAAGAACCTCTTCAAGGAGAACTACAAACCACTGCTCAAGGAAATAAGAGATGACACAAACAAATGGAAAAACATTCCATGTTCATGGATAGGAATAATCAATATTGTCAAAATGGCCATACTGCCCAATGTAATTTATAGATCCAATGCTATCCTGATCAAGCTACCACTGACTTTCTTCACAGAATTGGAAAAAACTACTTTAATTTTCATATGGAACCAAAAAAGAGCCCCTATAGCCAAGACAATCCTAAGCAAAAAGAACAAAGCTGGAGGCATCACACTACCTGACTTCAAACTATACTGCAAGGCTACAGTAACAAAAACAGCATGATACTGCTACCCAAAACAGATATATAAACCAATGCAACAGAACAGAGGCCTGAGAAATAATGCCACACATCTACAACCATCTGATCTCTGACAAACTTGATAAAAACAAGCAATGGGGAAAGGATTCCCTATTTAATAAATGGTGTTGGGAAAACTAGCTAGTCATATGCAGAAAGCTGAAACTGGATCCCTTCCTTACTGCAAATATTAACTCAAGATGGATTAAAGACTTCAACATAAGACCTAAAACCATAAAAACCCTAGAAGAAAACCTAGGCAATACCATTCAAGACATAGGCATGGGCAAAGGCTTCATGACTAAAACACCAAAAGCAATGGCAACAAAAGCCAAAATTGACAAATGGGATCTGATTTAACCAAAGAGCTTCTGCATAGCAAAAGAAACTATCATCAGAGTGAACAGACAACCTACAGAATGGAAGAAAATTTTTGCAACCTATCCATGTGAGAAAGGGCTAATATCCAGAATCTACAAAGAACTTAAACAAATTTACAAGAAAAAAACAAACAACCCCATCAAAAACTGGGTGAATGATATGAACAGACAATTCTCAAAAGAAGACATTTATGGAGTCAACAAACTTATGAAAAAAAGCTCATCATCACTGGTCATTAGGGAAATGCAAATCAAAACCACAATGAGATACCATCTCATGCCAGTTAGAATGGCCGTCATTAAAAAGTCAGGAAACAACAGATGCTGGAGAGGATGTGGAGAAATACGAATGCTTTTACACTGTTGGTGGGAGTGTAAATTAGTTCAACCATTATAGAAGACAGTGTAGTGATTCTTCAAGTATCTAGAACTTAGAAATACCATTTGACCCAGCAATCCCATTACTAGGTATATTCCCAAAGGATTATAAATCATTCCACTATAAAGACACATGCACACATATGTTTATGGTGGCACTATTCACAATAGCAAAGATTGGAACCAACCCAAATACCCATCAATGATAGACTGGATAAAGAAAATGTGGCACATATACACCATGGAATACTATGCAGCCACAAAAAAGGATGAGTTCATGTCCTTTGCAGGGACGTGTATGACGCTGGAAACCATCATTCTCAGCAAACTAATGCAAGAACAGAAAACCAAACATCACATGTTCTCACTTGTAAGTGGAAGTTGAACAATGAGAACACATGGACACAAGGAGGGGAACATCACACACTGGGGCTTGTCAGGGGTGGGGAGCTAGGGGAGGGAGAGCATTAGGAGAAATACCTAATGTAGATGATGGGTTGATGTGTGCAGCAAACCACCATGGCACATGTATACCTATGTAACAAACCTGCATCTTCTGCACATGTACCCCAGAACTTAAAAGTATATTTAAAAAAACAACTAAAGAAAAAAATACACAAATATCAGAAAAAATAAAAGTGATCAAAAAAGAACAGGTAATAGATTTTAAAATGGAAGTGACTACTAAAGCATAAATACTCAATTTCAGAATTTATTAAGCTTTGTGGGTGTATAGATTCATATCTTTTTCAAATTTGGAATTTTTTGGCAATTATTTCTTGAAATATTAAATATCCTTCAAACATTCTTCCTGCCCATTTCTCTGTCACCTCTCCTTCCTATTATGCATAACTTGGTATGCTTAATGGTGTCTCACAATTCTCTTAAGCTCTGTTCATTTTTCTTCATCTTTATTTCTTTCTGTTTCTCAGACTGAATAATTTCATTTGACTTCTTTTTTAGTTCACTGATTCTTTCTTCTGATGGCTTAAATCTGCAGTTGAACCCCTTCAGTGAATTTTTCATTTCTGTTATGGTATTTTTCAGGTCCAAATATTCTATTTATTTATTTTTTGAAATCTATTTTCCTTTGTTGATATTTTCTATTTGTTGAGATATAATTTTCCTTGTTTCTTTTCTTTCTTTCCCCATGTTTCCCTTTAACTCTTTAAGCATATTTATAACTTCTTCAGATCTTTGTCTACTTAAGAAAAATGTCTATGCTTCCACAGGGGTAGTTTTCATTAATTTCTTTTTTTCTCCCTGTAAATGGGCCATAGTTTCTTTGTTCTTTCTTTCTCTGCTTCTTTGTTTAAAACTGCACTTCTTTTTTTTTTTTGAGATGGAGTCTCGCTCTGCCGCCCAGGCTGGAGTGCAGTGGCATGATCTCGGCCCACTGCAAACTCCGCCTCCTGGGTTCACACCATTCTCCTGCCTCAGCCTCCCTAGTAGCTGGGACTACAGGTGCCCGCCACCACGCCCGGCTAATTTTTTTGTACTTTTAGTAGAGACGGGGTTTCACCATGTTAGCCAGGATGGTCTGGATCTTCTGGCCTCGTGATCCGCCCGCCTCGGCCTCCCAAAGTGCTGGGATTACAGGTGTGAGCCACTACGCCTGGCCCTTTTTTTTTTTTTTTTTTTAAGACGGAGTCTTGCTCTGTCGCCCAGGCTGGAGTGCATTGGCGTGATCTGGTTCACTGCAAGCTCCGCCTCCTGGATTCATGCAATTCTCCTGCCTCAACCTCCACAGTAGCTGGGACTACAGGTGCCCACCACCACGCCCCGCTAATTTTTTGTATTTTTAGTAGAGACGGGGTTTCACCATGTTAGCCAGGATGGTCTCAATCTCCTGACCTCTTGATTCACCCGCCTTGGCCTCCCAAGGTGCTGGGATTACAGGCGTGAGCCACCGCGCCCAGCCACATTTTGTATATTAAAACATACTAACTCTGGAAATCAAATTCTTCTCTCTCCAGGATTTGCTGATTTTACTTGCTATGAGTTGTAGTTGTTTGTTTTAATGACTTTCCTAAACTCTTCTTATAAAGACTATCTTCTTTATTATGTGTTTGTCAGAAATCTCTGTTCTTTTAGTTTAACTGTCACATAATTCCTTCATAGAGATTTTTCTTAAATTCTGGGAACACTCTCCCCACCTCAAACACACACAAAAAGCAGAAAAAAAAAGAAAGAAAGAAAACAAAGGTATGAAAAAAGAAAAGAAGAGAAAGAAATATGATATCCTCTAGGTTTTTGAAGATTGGTTGTTTGTTGAGGCACTCCTTCATTGCTTAGGCAGTTTACAACTCTGACTTAACCTTCACTTCCTGCTTTCATTAACCCTAAAGATCAGTCAAAGGTGAAAGTTTATGGCCTTCTCAGGTCTTTTCTGAGCAAGCATCCTGCTCTGAGTTTGTGTGTAACTTCCTAGATTCTCCATTATAGGCAAGAGTTTTTCAAAGCCCTTATTCCCTACAGATTCCTACTCTCAACTTTTTCTTCCTCGCTGTGTGGAAACAATTGTTTTCCCCAACCTTTCTTTTTTGTCTCAGCTGACAGATGCTCATTCTTTTGGCTTTCAGTGATTTAGAGGAACATACTCTGTGTATGATGGTGTACAATGTTTTAGAGGAACATCTCTCTGATTCTCCACCTTGAGAGAATTCCAAGGTAGATGAAACAAAGGCAGGACCCTTGTGTTAGTCTTTCAGGGAACCCGCAGACAGGTCAAAAGAGAAAAGAGTAATTCTTGGGAAAGAGGTCCACTAGCCTCCTTCTGGAACCATGTCCCCATATCAGGAACACAAGATACTGTCTTCAAGACCTCTGTTGTGCTGAGGAAAGGGACGGGACAAGGCTAAGTTAAACTGCTGCAAAGTTCTTTACTTTGTTTCAATGGCCTTTCTCCTGATTAAGTGTTCCCTTTGTTGCTGCAAACCATTGTCTGTCTTTTAGAGTTGAGATAAAGTTGACTCTGAAATTTTTTGCCAGGTTTTTGGTTTACTGACGTCCCTGTGTCTTGAAACTCTTTTTTTTTCCCCCCCAGTTCTTACGATATTGTCCAGGCTGGTCTAGAACCCTGGGCTGCAGTGATCCTCCCACCTCAGTCTCCCAAGTAGCTGGGATTACAGATGCAAACTATTGCACCCAGTGAAACCCTTTTTTAATAAAAGGGTTTCAAAGGTATTTTTTTCTTTTACAATACCAAAATGCAATGAATATTTTATTTAAAAAAATCAAATTACATGTGGTCACTCATGCCTGTAATCGCAGCACTTTGGGAGACCAAGGCAGGAGAATTGCTTGAGCCTAAGAATTCAGGATCAGCCTGGGCAACATGATGAGACCCTGTCTCTATAAAAAGATAAAGAAATTAGCCAGCTGTAGGGGTGCACAACTGTGGTCCCAGCTACCTAGGAGGCTGAGGTGGGAGGATCACTTGAACCCAGCAGGTTGAGGTTGCAGTGAGCTATGGTCATGCCACTGCACTCCAGCATAGGTGACAAAGTAAGACTCTGTCTCAAAAAAAAAAAAAAATTAAATTACAGACCAACTTTACCAATGATTATGTCAAACTTTTTGTGTGTGTTTCAATGGAAACTATGAATCATTTGCAGCATACCTTCCAGCTTATCAGATTCTAGTCTTGTTCATTGTCTTTGAGCTATTTGATCTCTTTTTATGTGTAGGTAACTGATAAATATATGACTGCTGTATTGTTCTATAATGATTTTGACTAACTCTGTGGAAAAACCAGTTTTGTGCCTATTTGCAATTCCTTTCACCATCCCTTTACTCTGTATAGTTTTTTTTTCCATTTTAGCTTTCCTTTTGAAAGTTTTCATATTTGCTATTTTTATGTTTATATGAGTCATGATTTTCCCTTTTTCTGAAAATTTTCTGGGAATAATTACAAATGCAAATATCCTAAATACAAATATTAGCAAATAGAATTTGGCACCAAAATATCAAGTATATTATATATCTCAGGAATGCAAGGTTGATTCAATATTAGGATATATATTGTTATAATAGCTCAAAAAAACCCATCATATAATGTCTTTCCTTCAAGAGTTTAATTTTTTTTCTCTTTTATCAGTCAGCCCCAAATGTCAGGGAGCTTACATTTTTAATGGTTAAAGTATAATTTTTAGAAAGATAAAATTATATCTCATGTTGAATATCAAATGAACATGTGTCAGTTTTTTTTCAACCAGTTAATGAGGGAACTAGTAGATGTTAAAACTAGTACAAAGAGCATTTGAGGAGCCAGGAATCTACAGATAATTTAATAAAAAATTAGTATTAGATTGCTTGGGTAAACACTAAGTTGTTTAATACTCACAGGGCAATAAATGATACAGAGTAGAAGTTGTTTTTCTATTCAACAGAAATCTACCTGTTAACTTCTGCCCCTACAGAGGTGAAAGAACACTCAGTACTCAATTTTGCCTATTTCTGATTTTTTGAGTTTTTCTATTACATTCATGGAGACAAAATGTTAGTTTTCCTGTAGGGCTGGCATGTATTTCGCTGGGCATAGTTTTGACATCTCTATAAAACTACATGACTGACAAGGTGTTTCCCAAGCTTCTCTTAATAGTAACCCTCCTTATAAAACCATCTAGTGGAAATGACTGTGAAGTCAGCAGGAATTTACTACTCAAGATTCATACCTATGTTTCGAGGGTCAGTTTTTGGAGGTCAGTTTGGAGATGAGATGACCATAGCAAGGTTTAATTAAAGACAGGGTAGACAAACATGGAGCGGTCACCTCGACTTTTAAAATCTTTGAATTGAGACCTCCTTAATTTTGGATAAACTCATAGTATCCCTGCATTTGGGGGCACAGAAAAAGTGAAGTGTCTATATATTTCTTTAGAGCAAGACAGTGGCATTTTTGCATAGATGTTTTGACTCTGGAGTTTGAGATTAAGTAGCATAAGAGTTATTCTGACGGTAGGTGGGATTGGTAGTGCTCAGGAACTTACCATAGCTAGGAACCAAAATTGTTCAAATAAAAAAATTCTGAGTGGAGAATATGGAAATAAATACAATGCAAGTAAGAGAAAACTCAAAAGAGACTGTTTATGCAGGGCTTGTTATAGCAAGGCCGTCAGCCTCCATCACTTGCATCTGGCAGACACTTGAAGGCAGACAGGGGAGTGCAAAAGCTCTATAGTGAAAAAAAGGAGGCTCTATGTGTGCTCTGATTGCAGGTTATTGGCATGGGGAAGTTGGAGGTGGGCTAACTAGAAATGTGGCATCCTGTGTGATTGGTTTGGGGGAGATCATTTAGCAGTTCATCCTGAGTTGGAAGCCAGGGCAAAAATTAGGGAAGCTGGCAGTCATTGACCATGTTCTGATTGTTGTAGGCTGATTGCAGCAGAGGTTGTGAGGTTTTGAGAGGTCAGAGTTGGATTGCATATTTGGTCTGGCCATTGTCCATTTGTATATTCAGTCTCTTAGTCCCCCGCCTTTGGTCATTCTCTTACTTTCAAGAGGTTGACCAATTCCAGAAAGGCTAGGGATCCAGATCTTCACTGATGGGGGACTGTTTAGTCATCTCCATAGTCAATTGCATTGCAAGATGTTCTTCAATTCATAAAGAAGTATCACAAGTTCAAAAGGATTTGATACCCAATGTTTGCAATATCCCGTTAAATTTAGAAATCATCTCAATTGCCATTTTATAAGGGGCATAGGATATGTTTGGATGGTCGTTAGGACTTAGGAGAAAGTGTTTTTCTCAGATAGGTCATGCCCTAAATAATGGGCAGTGTTTTGGCAAAATTGTAACAACTTTTGAAATTTTATGTCCCTCTTCTTGTACAGCTAAGAGCAAGTAAATGAAATTCTTTGTTCTCTCAACAAATTATGACATTGTCTACATATTGTACTAGTACTGAATCACAAGGGAAATTTAAATCTTTTAACTCCCGATTGAGTACCCAGGAAATACAGGAGGGAGCTTCAATAACTCCTAGGCATGATTGTCCTGATATATTGTTGTCTTCTCCAGGTGAAAGGAAAGGTATTCACTGTCCTGGTCTAGAGGCACACTGAATAAGTTAGAATAAAGATCCACTACACTGAAGCAAGTGGTTTCAGGTGGAATTAATGACAGGTTGATATTTGGGTTAGGTACTACTAGCAAGTGAGGGATAACACTTTTGCTGCTGATTCTCAGGTTGTGAAAAAAATATACTTTTGTGTTTGATTTATTTACTCTTAGGATGGGAGTGTTACAAGAGCTATTGCAGATCTTTTGCTGTAAATCCTTAAACTATAGGTCTGAGCCCTTCCTTTGCTTCTGGTTTCAAGGGATCTTGGTGAACTTTGTATAATGGTTTGGTAGGATCTATTTAAATAGGTTCTGCTCCAATCATTTTTCCTATGTCAGTGGCATTTTTAGCCCATGAAGTGTTAGGTACAGTGTTATAATCCTTATTTGAGATATGCCTCAAATATAATGGAGAAGTAAATGTATCTCTAGACTAGAAACAACTTGGTAATAAATAGAGGTGTCCTCTGGAACCTCAAGACAAAATCCTCCTATTGTGCATTTAATATTACAATTCTATGACTAAGTAAGCCTTTCTATTTTAAATTTGCAGGGAAGGTATCACAGAGTAGAAAGGAACATTCTTCAGTTAAGGGCCTAATGGTTATAGTTAAGGGCTGGGAGGAGGTTTAAATTCTACAGGTGCCTGCATGCCTGGATCAAGGGAGAAATGGATCATTCGAAGCAAGTTGTATGTCAGGCTCTTTGAAGAAGTGTTGGCAAAAGAAAGAGGGTCTGAACCAGGGAAGGATGAGTCCATGGAGGTGCAGAAGGAGAGGATCAGAGGATAACAGAGAAGAGGAAAAGCTGAATATAGGGAAGCAACTGAAGATAAGGAGCGGGGCACTTAATGGGGGATTAGTCTAGTTTATTTTAGCTTACATTTGCTTAAGTTTGCTTTATTGCTCATTATCTTTGGCCAAAAGATCTTTTAGTGAAGCAATTTTTAATTCAGGATTTCATTTAGAGGACTTTGCATACCATTAAGAAATGTTGCCTATTTGGCCAGAGAAATATTATTCCCTTTCTTAAAGCACTTCTCAAATGAACAATTTTGTTCAAGTCAAATGTTCCCCAGAGTGGCCATTGAAGGCCCCAGTCATTCTTGGTAAACTTATGCCTTTTAGAGAGACAGGTGCAAAAAATAGGATTATACTATGAGTACATTTAAGAAGGAGTTCTTTCTAGGGAGGAGAGATTTTAGACACACATGACTCCATGAGAGCTGGCCATGGTCAGTAGAAATGTGATCCTTGGACATCTCATGTTCTGGTCGCTAACCTGAAAAGTGGCTGCCTCCATGCACAGAACCGATAATCTGCACCTCCCTAACTCCCAGACCCTGCAGGTTGAAGACCAGAGAACACTCTCTCTTCATTAAGCCAAGCTTTTAAGACAAAAGGTCAAGACAAAAGAAGAAACTCATTTTGTTTTTGGTGACCACAGCAGAATTTGTCAAATGGACACCTGTCCAGTAAGAACCACAAATTAATGAGCCTCTGAGGCCAGCTGGAACAACAGGTTTATTAAGGCTATGCCTGTGTCTTCCCTGTGATTCTCCTTAAAACGAACAATACTTTCAAACAGCACAACACAGAACAGAAGCACAAAAGACAGCAAAACAGAATGACCTGATTCCACCAAGGAAGCTAAACAAAGGGGAACCAGTTACAAACTCTGCTTATTGAACTGAATAAATGGGTAAGAAACTCAGCGTAAAGAAAGCCAAGTTTAGACCTGCTGCAAACTTACCACATCAGCGTGCACTCTGTAAGACACGAGTAGCGAGGCACAAGGGGCCTCCTACTGTAGCATCTTCACCTGGTTGACAGCAACAGACAGTGCAGAACGTATTCAGGTGGGGCGTCCAGTAAAATTGTGGAAATAAATGAAGACCACTGAGATGAGAATTTAAAAGACTGTTTTTTCAGACCTTGCTATAGACAGGGAGTCAGCCACGATCACTTGCTTTTGGCAGAGACTCCAAGGCAGCCAGGGAAGCCTTACAGTGAAGAAAAAAAAAATGGGGGAAGGCTTTAGGTCTGCTTTGATAGGAAGTTAATGGTGTGGGGAAGCTGCAGGTGGGCTAGATAGAAGCAGTTCATCCTATGCAACTGAATTGGAAAGCACATTTGGCTTTCTCTGGTTGGTCCCGAGTTGGAAGCTGGGGCAAGAATCAGGGGAAGCTGGCAGTCACTGACCAAGTTTTAATAATTTTGGGCTGATTGCTGCAGCAATTGTGGGTCAGAGGTGGATTGCATATTTGGTCTGGCCATTGTTTGTATTTTCAGTTTTTCAAGGAGGGACGTGATTTTTTTGTAGTCTGAAAATTCTTCATTGAACTGATAGTTGGACCAAGTGTTGTGGTAAGTAACAAATATAATTTTGGATGGGCTTCTCTGGTCCCCCTGCTTGATAGGTTTCATTTGATCATTGGTCTGAGGATTGCTTTGGAGGTAATTTCATTTTTATAGTCTACTTCTAGTTCTCAACTCCTTTCTTCTTATCCTAGTGAATGACCCTGTACCCTGAAACTGACACAAGGCTGCAGCAGGTTGCCTTGGCCTTTGCCTGCCCAAAAGTGTTCATTATTCCAAAAAGGCTGGTAGAAACGCTTTGAAGTCTGAGTCTTTTTTCTTCTGTTGTTCTTTTAAATTGTCAATAAGACTAACACAGGAATCTACACACAGAGGGTGATCAATAAGTGATTCTGACTCATTTAAAAATGTACCTTATATGCACCAAGGACCAGAGCTTACTTAGCAACAAACTGGCTCATTAAAATGGTATCATACCAGGTCATCCTTATTATCTTCCCCCCAAATTATTAAATGTACATGTTGCTGAGCAGGGTGCTTTGCAGATTACTTAAAAATAAAAGAAAATCTATTTTTGACTGTAGGAAAATCTTTAAGAGCTGGAGCCACAGTCAGTTTCAAACTGCTTTTGCACCTGAGCAGAATTATAAGTTACTCTGTCCCAGAGATGAAGAGAGAATTAGGCTACTCATTATCAAGGTTCCTTATAGTCTCCGCTCCACAGTTTCAGGCCTTCCCCAGAACTCACAAGTTGCCTGCTGGCATAACAGTTAATGAATAAAAAACCAAGTAAAAGCTCTAAGGTTAAAAATTACTGAGAAGGGTTCAGTATAACTTAAATAGGAAGACAAGTACTCCAACATTTACATTTTTAGCCATGGCTCTCTGGAGTCTTTGAATTTAGTTCTATTTGTTCTATAGGGTACCTGACTTGCTCACACTATGTCAGTTAACAACTACCTATTAGCTTGCTGCAACCCAAGTCTCACTCCTTCTTTACCTTTGTCAAAGATAAAGAAAGTTGGACATGAGTTGAAGTGGTAAGGACAGGTTTTATTCAGTAATATTCTATTGCAATAGGGAAAAGGGTCCAATGTGAAATGACCTGAGCTTTGATTTGTGCAGAAGTGAGTGGGTGTTTTAAAGGAGCAGTAAGGGAATAGTGACAGGAGTAGGCCAGCTCTCAATGGAGCTGGAGAAGTGAAAAATTAGAAAAAGTGAAAAGGGGGTTGGTCCATGTGAAATCAATCTGGGCTTATTAACTGGTGTTTATTAAACTTAAGCTCCTACCCTCCCACAGAGACTGGGAGACAGGGTTTCTATCTTCAAATGTTGGCTAGAGAAAACAGTAAATTCTTTTGACAGCCTTGAGTTTTCTAAGGCAGGCACTTGAAGAAGGGCTGGGGTCATTCTGGGGATTCAGCCTTGAGCTGTTAGCAACTATGTAAGTGTTCATTAAAGCATTTATAGGCCAAGGTTGAGGCCTAGTTGAGAAGACTGCTCAGAGGAGCCTGGCTAGAGTTTGGTCAGGGAAAGGATTTTTGTCACTCTCGATATTATTGTCAGTGTTAAAATGAGTTTTCTGATGCCCTCAAGGACAGCTTTTATGTGTAGAAGAAGCCATTTAGAGGTTTACTTAGGTTTCTTTTTAAATGAATGTTTTATTTACTTGATTCTTTCTTAAGCTTTTATTCACCTTCTAGTCTTTAAATTCTTTTTAAAAATCTAGAAAATTTTTGTAACTCCTTTTAAGGAGGATTTTAGGACCTTATTAAATTCCCTTAAACATCTAAGTTTATTAAATTTCCTTTTACATTACACATTTTATGTTAAAATGTTCAGTTTTCTTTTCATCAATATGATTGTCTAACACAGTCTTCCTGACTACTCTTATTAATTTCACAAATTAAACTCATAAATACCGCAGGTTATCTTAGATTTTTTTCTAGACCATATATATATGTCTATATATATGTCTATATATATATGTCTATATATATGTCTATATATATATGTCTATATATATGTCTATATAGATGTCTATATATATGTCTGTATAGATGTCTATATATCATATATATTTAGCAAGAATTCAATTTAATATCATAAGCCTAAATCAATTACACAAGTACATTTTAGAAAATTGAATTACAAGGCTAATAAAACAAACATTAAAAAAACTAGCAGATATACAAGATTCCTTAATGCAAAATAATAACACTACAGATTTTATTTTCTTAATTTTTTTACACATACTGCTAATTCTTCCTGAGTGAAAACATCCTTAATCACTAGAGACACTTATGTCATATCAAGACATTTTTGGAGACATCTTCTGAGTAAAGTGAGGTTCTAGAATGACTCTCCTCCCACATACTTTTTTTTATTATTATTGTGGTACAAAATACAAAACATAAACCTTACCATGTTCACCATTTCTAAGTGTAGAGTTGAATAGTGTTCCATATATTCAGGTTGTTGTGCAACCAACTTGTTCACGTTGTGAAACTGAAACTCTATACCCATTAAACAACAACAGCCCATTTCCCTCCCAATTCCTGGCAATCACCATTCTACTTTGTTTCTGTGAATTCGATTGTTCCAGATACCTCATATAAATGGGATCACACAGTGTTTGTCTTTTGGTCACTGGCTTATTTCGCTTAGCCTGGTGTCCTCAAGATTCATCTATGTTTTAGTGTGTATCGGAATTTCCTTCCTTTTTAAGGCTGACTTTCAGAATGACTTTTAGTGACAGCAGTAAGTGGCTCAAATTAAGTCTTAATTGTAATCACTATAACTTTAAAAAAGGCCTGTAGAGAGGGTTTCGCATAGTTCAAGTCCATGCATTTAAATCACATATTTCATAATATCAGCAATATGCTGCTTGTTCTCTCCTCAGTTAAGATTTTCCCAGTAGGATGCCTCTTGGTTTTTAATACCTCTAACTTCATAAAACATATTTATCTCACAATACATTATTTGAGGTTTTTGTTTATGTGGGGGGAAATTATATTTGTGTCCCCAAAGCTCAATGCAATATTTTTAATCAGAATGATGAGAGGAAAAAGCCATGAGATGTGATTCAAATACAATTGACAGAATGACAGAATCAGCATAGAATCCTTGACAAACATATCAAAGTGTCAGTAGGAGGGATGCAACTCTCATTATGTCCATGGTATAAAGAGAGGCACTGCAGCATTATTGCACACAATGCAACATTTGGTCATAATAATTTCACATCCTGACATTAGAGTCTGTTACTCATATGCAACTGTTTTTTGTATTTGAAGAAATTGGAGGCTTTGAGTTACTGTTGAGCATATTATACATTTTGCTGTTTAAAATAATTGGAGTTCTTGCGT
This sequence comes from Homo sapiens, assembly GCF_000001405.40. Lineage (NCBI taxonomy): Eukaryota > Metazoa > Chordata > Mammalia > Primates > Hominidae > Homo > Homo sapiens. The sequence continues at coordinate 94,740,464 of NC_000007.14, read as the reverse complement.
CGGCAGCACATATACTAAAATTGGAACGATACAGAGAAGATTAGCAAAATTATCAAATTTTAAAAATAAATAGGCTGGGCATGGTGGCTAACGCCTGTAATCACAACATTCTGGGAGGCCACAGCAGACGGATCATAAGGTCAGGAGATTGGGACCAGCCTGGCCAACATAGTGAAACCCAATCTCTACTAAAAATACAAAAATTAGCCAGGTATGGTGGCGGGAGCCTGTAATCCCAGCTACTTGGGAGGATGAGGGACAAGAATCGTTTGAACCCGGGAGGCAGATGTTTCAGTGAGCCAAGATCCTGCTACTTGCACTGCAGCCTGAGCAACAGAGTGAGACTCCGTCTCAATAAATAAATAAATAAATAAAATGATTGGAAATAGGCTCCTGTTAACAATTTTGTGTACAAGTGCAGATTGTCAGAAACAGTTTACTGACATTAAGCAGGAAATGCCTGAACGTGTCTCTTAAAAAAAGTGTGCAGCCGCCACCATGATTGTTGTTACTTTGCTTCATCATCTTATTTGGATTTTCACTTCTTTGTCCCCAAAATATTTAGATATCTTTCTGTCTAGCTTCAAAACCCTTTGGACTTGATCATAGCTTGTATCCTTTTCATATTATTTTCTATTCTATAGCTTGCATTCTTTTTATATTCAATTCTAGAAGATAGAGTTTTATAGTTTATAATTTGTAATTTTTTTTCTTGTTTCAATTGTCACTTTATTGCCAGATGGTAGAATTAATTACAAGTTTAAAATGTATCTTGGTAATCTTTAGCCAGGCAGCAAGTTTTAATAAAAACAAACTGTTTATTCAAAAGTGATCATGGAACAACTCAACATGCAGAGGAATAAAGATGAGACCCATCTGATTGGCCAATAGGTTTAATTCTTTCACTATAATGACACTCAAACTTTTCACTTTTAGGAAAAGTAAACTGTAACTTCAGTAGACAGCAATACAGAAAGATTTTGGCACAAAGACTACCTTTCATTTAGTCGGTCAGTTGTTTCAGTTGTCTCAGTTGGGATGGATACACTGACAGAACTGGCTGTGCTTGAGCCTTCTTTGAGAGCAGCTTTAGATTTGTTTGCAATGCACTTGGCAACTGTCTCCTTTTCCTGCTGTGCAGAGATCCTCTGGAGCATGTGCTTCTCCACCCAGTTGATCATGTGCTCTTTTTCCTTTTGATGCATCATATTCTACATACACATATGATAGTCCAGGTGATTCTTTACCTTATATACTCTATGCAGCCATTTCCAGTAAATAACCTCCAAAGCCATAGCAATGTTATTCCTCTGGACATCAAAATAGTAATGGCACTTCTGAACCAATAACTGGAATAACTTCTCCAAATGAATCGTGTCCTGGATTTGTTTGATGGAAGCCTGCTTCACCTCTTCTAGTTGGGCAATTTTTTGCTCATTGAGTTTATCAGCTAATCTCCAATAGATGCACCATATTTTTAAATTACATAGACCAGTAACCTACTACTGATACTGTAGAGTAGGAGTAATCACATATATTTGTTTGGGTACCGCATACAACACAAGCCCAGGCTCCAAGCACATAGGGTACTGTTACACAAGTTTTGGGATAAAGAAACTGGAAGAATTCCTCAAGGATCAGCCCAAGACAAACTTTTCCTCCATATTCAGGAAGAGGTTGTAGAGGGTAGGACTTGGCTGCCCTGTAAGAAAGGTCCTTGTTGCCTGCAATATCCCTGGACCTAGGAGGGCTGCATTCTTCAGAGAGGGCACTGGTGTGGTGGCAGCAAAAAGTACCCCCTGGGACAGCATGGTCAGTGAAGGTCCAGGCAGTGGTCTTCTAGAATTTATAATTTTTATAACTATTAGAAGACATTAAATTAAATTACAGGCATCTTCATGGCTTTGTTTAGTTTTTGCACTCGACTTCTGAGATCTTTCTACTGACGCTTTTATGTATAGTATGATTATTCCCTGTATATTTGCATTGTCTGTTTATGTTTGCCTCTGTACCTGCCTTGTCAAATTAAAAGGCCTTTGAGATGAGTGACAAAAATGTTTCTAATATTTAATGAATCAAATTAGGTTTTAATTTCTCTGTTTTAATAAATGTAGGCAATGAAATATGTGTTTCGTGCTTCTGTTCAAATTGCTTCACTGCATCACTGTTGGCAAAGGAATTCTTGCTGTGGTCCAAAATAATGAAGTAGCTTATATTAGAAAGTGACCAGAGTGAGTCCATCATCTGTAATCTTTTTTTGATTTTACCAATCAATCATGTTAGAAGAAAAATCTTCAACTTGTTTGCTTTTCAAAAGAATCTTAAAGGCAAGCTGTTTAATTTTTTTCAGCATAGATTCTTGAGGGAAAAATCTGTAAAACATTAAACATCAGAAAAAAATTGTTACTGGCCCTAGAAGTTTGAGGAATTTTTGCTAGACATGAAGGGGAACAGGTTAAGGAAAGATACACCAGAAAGTGCCTTCCTTTATGGGCCATATGCAAAGGAATCCTGGCAAAACTTCTAAGTCTAATCTGTTAACAACGAATACCCCCTTTGCAAGGAAATAGAAACAGAAATACTATCAGATAGGTTAAAGGATAATACCATTGTAAAGAAAGTGTACATTCTAATGCCACAGATAAAAAAATTATCTGAAATATTAATTGATGTTTTTATAGGAAATAATCTTAGGTCAATGATACCTTTCAGGTATACCATTGAGCAAGCTGTGGCAGAGGTCACAAAATAGAAAGGTTCTGAGAACTCAGACCAGCTGTGCCATCATAACAAAACTGCTCAAGAGAATTCTAGTTCAGGAAAATAAGACTATAAACCAGTAAATTTTACTGTTTGGTAGGGGAATTTCTGCAAACCAAGTTTGTCCTGTCAAATACTTTGCTCATTTGCATAAACAGCTCCTATTATGATAAGTTTATCTCTTAGGCAAACTGCTTGCTTATCTGTCAAGTTTACTCATCAAAACATCTTATTGTGCCACCAATTTCAAATTATTATGTCAAAATTGTACTTGTCACAATCTGTTACCTGCCATGAAAGATTTGCCCTAAACCTCATAAGCTCAAGCCCCCTAAACCCTACAAATAATATTCCTTAAACTCTCCTTTTTGAGCCACAAATAAGACTTTAAATGTGGTGCTCTACCTTATTACAGTAAGTCTAATAAACTTAGCTTTGTTTGATCAATGGATTTTTCAAATGGTCTTTTAGGGAATTGACTGTTGATGATCCTAGAGGTCCCGAGCTATAATTTAAACACCGTCCCTGCCATGGCTTAAGGCTTGTAGCTTGGAAATTGTACATAACCTTGAAGCTTCCTGAATCTCATGTTCAGGGGTCTCTCCCGCTGCAATGGTGAGGTAGGTCCTCCATTGGGGCTCAGGTCCAATATATTTATTTGAAGCCCTGTAATACTGAGTTTATTTTGTGTGCTGGGAAAGAGAATTCCTCTCTCGGAATCCTTTTATTATCTGATCAGATTTGAAAACTCATATTTGGTGGGGAAACTTCCTTATTAATTCCACAATGTTTTGGCCCTTGTTCTGTTCTTGTTTCTTTTTGTTGTGAGTCCCCAGGAGAAAATTATAAGATGAGAAAGGATTAGCATAGGTTGAATAAGTGTGTCTCTCAGTGCACCCCAAGGCTGACAAGTCCAGAAGATCTCATCAGACCAGTGTCCTTACAGAAAAAAATTTTGCCTTGGACCAAACTTCAACCTAATAAGAACATTCCTCAGGCTTGCCTTTGTTTCTTTGATAACTACTTAATTTAGTGTCTTTTACTTGGAGGTGTTAATTTTTTCTAGACTGCCAGACTTGCTGATTGACCAGATTCTTACCTAGCTTTGCAGTTGCCATGATTTGTTTTTGTTTTTGCTTTTTGTTTTTTTGTTCATTTGCTTTTCGACACTCTGGGCCAAACATGCCTTTACTCATGGCCTAATTTCACAAATTACTGTGGTCACATTGGGGAATTTTTGGCATGAACAATATGAATTATTTGAGTGATAAACTAGAATAAATGGGGAAAAACACTTTGGGAGGAGATTCTCTGGTTTGTCTGTCCAAACGAGAGATCACTTTTTTAACATAAGAGGTTTCTACCACCCCCTACCTTCCCTCTAAGGTTTCCCACTTAGATGATGATTAGGTACCTTTTTTTTTTTTTTTTTGACTTTTAAGTTCAGGGGTGTACTTGCAGGTTTGTTATATGGGTAAGCTTCTGTCATGGGGGTTTGTTGCACAGATTATTTAGTCACCTAGGGATTAAGCCTAGTACCCATTAGTTATTTTTCCTAATCCTCTCCTTCCTCCCACCCTCCACCCTCCAGCAGGCCCCAGTGTGTGTTGTTACCCTCTATGTATCCATGTGTTCTCATCATTTAGCTCCCACTTATTAGTGAGAAGATGTAGTATTTGTTTTTCTGTGCCTGCATTAATTTACTAAGGATAGTGGCCTCCACTCCATCCATGTTCCTGCAAAGGACATGATCTTATACTTTTTACGGCTGCATAGTATTCCATGGTGTATATGTACCACATTTTCTTTATCCAGTCTACTATTGACAGGCTTTTAGGTTGATTCCATGTCTTTGCTATTGTGACTAGTACTGCAGTGAACATATGTGTGTGCGTGCCATTATAATAGAATGATTTATATTCCTTTGGGTGTATACCCATAATGGGATTGCTGGGTCAAATGGTAGTTCCATTTTCAGGTCTTTGAGGAATCGCCACACTGTCTTCCACAATGGTTGAAGTAATTTACACTCCCAACAGTGTATAAATGTTCCTTTTTCTCTGCAACCTTGCCAGCAGCTGTTATTTTTTGACTTTTTTATAGTAGCCATTCTGACTGGTGTGAGATGGTATCTCATTGTGGTATTGATTTGCATTTCTTTAACGATCAGTGATGTTGAGCTTTTTTTCATACGCTTGTTGGCTGCATGCATGTCTACTTTTGAAAAGTGTCTTTTCATATTCTTTGCTCACTCTTTAATGGTGTTTTTTTTCTTATAAATTTAAGTTCTGTAAACAAATTAATAATAGATGTTGGATATTAGACCTTTATCAGATGCATAGTTTGCAAAATTTTTCTCCCATTCTGTAGGTTGTCTGTTCACTCTGTAAGTAGTTTTGTTTTTGTTTTTGTTTTCATTTTTGTTTTTGCTCTGCAGAAGCTCTTAATTTTGATTAGGTCCCACTTGTCATGTTTTTGTTGTTGTTGTTGTTGTTTGTTTGTTCTTTTACCTCTGACTCAATTTCAGAGCTTGCTTTTGGCCTGTTCAGGGATTCAATTTCTTCCTGGTTCAGTCTTGAGAGGATGTATGGGTCCAGGATTTTATCAACTTCTTCTAGATTTTCTAGTTTATGTGCACAGAGGTGTTCATAATATTTTCTGATGGTTGCTTGTATTTCTGTTGGGTCAGTGGTAGTAACCCCCTTGTCGTTTCTGATTTTTGCCTTTGTTACAATTGCTTTTTATGTCTTCATTATGAAATATTTGCCTGTTCCTATGTCCAGAATGGTATTGCCTAGGTTGTTTTCTAGGGTTTTTATAGTTTTTGGTTTTACATTAAGTCTTTAATCCATCTTGAGTTAATTTTTGTATATGGTGTAAGAAAGGGGGGTCCAGTTTCAATCTTTTGCATACGGCTAGCCAGTTCTTCTAGCACCATTTATTTCATAGGGAATCCTTTCCCCATTGCTTGTTTTTGTCAGGTTTGTTGAAGAACAGATAGTTGTAGGTGTGTGGCTTTATTTCTGGGTTCTCTATTCTGTTCCATTGGTTTATTTGTCTGTTTTTGTACCAGTATCATGCTGTTTTGGTTACTGTAGCCCTGTAGTATAGTTTGAAGTTGGGTAGTGTGATGCCTCCAGCTTTTTTTCTTTTTGCTTAGGATTGCCTTTGTTATATGGGCTCTCCTTTGGTTCCATATGAATTTTAAAATAGCTTTTCTGTTTCTGTGAACAATGTTGATGCTAGTTTAATAGAAATAGCATTGAATCTATAAGTTGCTTTGGATGGTATGGCCATTTTAATGATATTGATTATTTCTATTCATGAGCATAGAATGTTTTTCTATTTGTTTGTGTCATCTCTGATTTCTTTGAGTGGTGTTTTATAGTTCTCCTTCTAGAGATCTTTCACCTCCCTGGTTAGATGTATTCCTAGGTATTTTAAATTTTCGTGTGGCAATTGTGAATGGGATTGCTTTCCTGATTTGGCTCTGTGCTTGACTGTTGGTGTATAGGAATGCCAGTTATTTTTGCACATTGATTTTGTATGCTAAGACTTTATTGAAGTTGTTTATCAGCTTAAGGAGCTTTTGGGTTCAGATTTTCTAGATATAGGATCATGTCATCTGCAAATAGGGATAGTTTGGTTTCCTGTCTTTCTATTTGGATGCCTTTTATTTCTTTCTCTCACCTTATTGCCCTGGCTAGGACTTCCAATACTATGTTGAACAGGAGTGGTGGTGAGAGAGGGAATTCTTGTCTTGTGCTGGTTTTCAAGGGGAATGCTTCCAGCTTTTGGCCATTCAGAATGATGTTGGCTGTGGGTTTGTTATAGATGGCTCTTATTATTTTGAGGTATGTTCCTTTAATACCTAGCTTATTGAGAGTTTTCAACATAGATGGGTTTGAATTTTATCAAAATCCTTTTGTGTATGTATTGACATAATCAAGTGTTTTTTGTCTTTAGTTCTGTTTATATGATGAATCACATTTATTGATTTGCGTAAGCTGAATCACCCTTCCATCTCAAGGATAAAGCCTACTTGATCATGGTAAATAAGCTTTCTGATGGGCTGCTAGATTTGGTTTGCCAGTATTTTGTTGAGGATTTTTGCATTGATGTTCATCAATTATATTGGCCTGAATTTTTCTTTATTTGTTGTGTCTCTGCCAGGTTTTGATATCAGGATGATGCTGGACTTACAGAATGAATTGGGGAGGAGTCCCTCCTCCTCAATTTTTTTGGAATAGTTTCTGCAGGAATGGTACCAGCTCTTTTTTGTACATCTGGTAGAATTCAACTGTGAATTTTTCTGGTCCAGGACTTATTTTGGTTTGTAGGCTACTTATTACTGGTTCAATTTCAGAGCTCATTTTTGGCCTTTTTAGGGATTCAGTTTCTTCCTGGTCCAGTCTTGGATGTATCCTTCCTGGATGTATGGTCCAGGAATTTATCAATTTATTCTAGATTTTTCAGTTTATATGCCTAGAGGTGTTGATGATATTCTCTAATGTTTGTTTGTACTTCTGTGGGGTCAGTGGTAATATCCCTCTTGTCATTTCTGATTGTGTTTATTTGGATCTTCTCTCTTTTCTTCTTTGTCTAGCCAGTGGTCTATCTTATTAATTTTTTCAAAAAAAACAGCTCCTAGATTAGTTGATCTTTTGAATTGTTTTTCATTTCCCAATCTCCTTCAGTTCAGCTCTGATTTTGATTATTTCTTGTGTTCTGCTAGCTTTGGGATTTGTTTGCTCTGGGTTCTCTAGTTCTTTTAGTTGTGATGTTATGTTGTTAACTTGCTATCTTTCTAACTTTTTGATGTGGGCATTAAGTGCTGTGAATTTCCCTCTTAATAGTGCGTCAGCTACGTCCCAGAGATTTTAGTATGTTGTATCTTTGTTCTCATTAGTTGTAAAGAACTTCTTGATTTCTTCCTTAGTTTCATTATTTACCTAAAAGTCATTCAGGAGAAAGTTATTAAATTTCCATGTACTTATATGGTTTTCAGTGAATTTCTTAGTCTTGATTTCTAATTTGATTGTGCTGTGGTCCAAGAAATTGTTATGATTACATTTCTTTTGTATTTGCTGGAGAGTGTTTTACTTCTGATTATGTGATTGATTTTAGAGCATGAAGAGTCCTGTAGATGTCTTTCAGATCCATTTGATTCAGTGTTGATTTCAGATCCTGAATATCTTTGTTAATTTTCTGTTGCAATGATCTGTCTAATATTGTCAGTGAGTTGTTAAAGTCTCCCACTACTATTGTGTGGGAGTCTAAGTCTCTTTGAAGGTCTCCATGAACTTGCTTTATGAATCTGGGTGCTCCTGTGTTGGGTGCATATATATTTAGGATAGTTAGATCCTGCTTAATTGAACCCTTTACCATTATGTAATGCCTTTTTGTCTTTTTATATCTTTGTTGGTTTAATGTCTGTTTTGTTTGAAACTAGGATTGCAACCCCTGCTTTTTTCTGTTTTCTATTTACTTGGTAGATTTTTCTTCATCTCTTTATTTTGAGCCTATGTGTATCATTGCATGTGAGATGAGTCTCTTGAAGATAACCTACCAATGGGTCTTGGCTCTTTATCCAGCTTGCCATGCTGTTTCTTTTAATTGGGGCATTTAGCCCATTTGCATTCAAGGTTAGTATTGACATGTGTGTATTTGATCCTGGTATCATGATGTTAGTTGGTTATTTTGCAGACTTCTTATTTGGTTGCTTTGTAGTGTCACTGGTCTGTTAAGTGCCAAGTTTTTAATCATTAAGGTTTGATGGAATGGTTGAAACCTCTAGTTATTGTTTAAATCAGCTGTAATGCTTTTCCTCGATTGTATATTGTAAAAATAGGTTTTCTGTCATTTAACCCTTGTCTTCTCTTTGTAGAATTTAGGTAATTGGCCTGTTACAGTAATAATTTCATATCTGTCCTAAGCTGGCTTCTTCTTGCTTCCTTCTTTCCCTTTCTTCTCCCTTTCTTCTTCCAATCTCTCTGAAAATTTGGATATTCATTTGTTCATGAACACTGCTCTGTCATTATGTGTAAACTCTGGAAATGGCTAGTGCAGATATAAGGTCAAGAACTCCCAAAATTAACTAAAAAAAAAAAGACAAAATATTAAATTGTTTGTGTGGGTTTTTTGGTATGTTTTTTCTTGTCAAAAGTGTGATTCAAGAAAAGTTAACTGGGAGTTCAACTAATAGTTTGGTTCCTGCACTGAAGAGCTTTTGGCAAAATTTTAATCTTTTAAATTTTTGATATTTTATTCAAGATTGTCTATAATTGAAAAAGGAAAAGGTATACTTAAATAGGCAATTCTTTGGACAAATTAGAGTAATGTAATTTTATTTACTTATTTATTTACTTTAAAAATTATTTTTATTTTTTATGGATACATAATAGGTATAGATATTTATGGGATACATGAGATATTTTTATACAGGCTACAATGTGTAATAATCAAATAAGAATAAATGGAGTATTGATCAGCTCAAGCATTTTCATTTATTTGTGATACAAATATTCCAGCTATAGCCTTTTATTTATTTTTAAACATGCAATAAATTATTGTTGACTATAGTCACCCTGTTGTGCTATCAAGTACTAGATTTTATTCATTCTATCTAACCATACTTTTGTACCATTAACTATCCCCACTCCCCACCCCACTCCTCACTATTCTTCCTAGCCTCTGGTAATCATCTCTCTCTCTAGCTCCCATGCTCCCATAATAATTGACGTTATATATGTGGGCACTCCAGTGTCTGGTGCATATATATTTATAATTATATCCTCTTGCTGAATGGACCCCTTTATCATTATGTAATGACCTTCTTTGTCTCTTTTTATGGTCTTTGTCTTAAAATCTATTTTATTGGAGTATAGCTACTCCTGCTCTTTTTTGGTTTCCATTGACATGAAATATCTTTTTCTATCCCTTTGTTTTCAGTCTATGTGTCTTTACAGGTGAAGTATGTTTCTTGTAGGCAGCAGATAGTTGAATCTTGTTTTGTTTTGTTTTTAATCCATTCAGCCTATGTCTTTTGATTGGAGAGTTTAGTCCATTTTCATTCAGTGTTATTGTTGATAAGTAAGGACTAACTCCTGCAATTTTAAAATTTGTTTTCTAGTTGTTTTGTGATCTCTCGTCCTTCCTTCCCCTCTTCCTTTTTGTGAAAGTGATTTTCTCTGGTTTTGATTTCTTGCTTTTTATTTTTTGTGTGTCTGTTGCAGGTTTGTTGATTTGAGGTTACCATGAGGCTTGCAAATAGCATGTTATAACCCATGATTTTAAACTGATGACAACTTAACTATGATCACAAAAACAAACAAACGAGTAAAGAGAAAACTAATAAAAATTATACTTTAACTTTGTCTCCCCCACTTTTTAACTTTTTGTTGTTTCTATTTACATCTTATTGTACTATTTATTTAAAATTTGTTCTAATTATTATTTCTCGTAGGTTTCTCTTTTTGTCTTCCTACTCATGATATGAATAGTTGACACACTACAATTACAGTGTTATAATATTCTGTATTTTTTGTGTACTTACTATTACTAGTGAATTTTGTACCTTCAGATGATTTCCTGTTGCTCAGTTATATCCTTTCCCTTCTGATGGAGGAACTTCCTTTAGCATTTCTTCCTTTAGCATTTCTGGTATTGGTGAAATCCCTCAGGTTTTAGCTTTTGTTTGGGAAAGTCTTTCTCCTTCATGGTTTTGTTTTTCTTGTTACTGTTTTCTTTTTTTATGCAATGGCATGCTCTTGGCTCAATGCAATCTCTGCCTCATGGGTTCAAGTGATTCTCATGCCTCATCCTCCCAAGTAGTTGGAATTACAGGTGTGTGCCACCACACTCAGCTAATTTTTGTATTTTTAGTAGAAACAGTGTTTCACAATGTTGGGCAGGCTGTTCTCAAACTCCTGGCCTAAATTGATCCACCTGCCTTGGCCTCCCAATGTGCTGGGATTACAGGTGTGAGCCACTGCACCCAGCCTCTCCTTCATGTTTGAAAGATATTTTTGCCAGACATATTATTTTAGGATAAAAGATTTATTCCTTCAGCACTTTAAATATAACATGCCACTCTCTCCTGGCCTGTAAGGTTTCCACTGAAAAGTCTACAGCCAGACATAGTGGAGCAATTCCATTATATGTTACTTGTTCTTGTTTTTGTTTTTATCTTGCTGCTTCTAGGATCATTTCTTTATCCTTGATATTTGGAAGTTTGATTGTTACATGTCCTGAGGTAGTCTTATTTGAGTTAACCCTGTTTGGTGTTCTACAATCTTCTTGTACTTAAATACTGATATCTTTCTGTAGGTTTGGAAAGCTCTGTGTTATCTCTTTGAATACAATTTCTACCCCAGTCTCTCTCTCTACCTTTTCATGCTGGGGATAGGCCCCCAAATCTGGCCATAAACTGGCCCCAAAACTGGCCATAAACAAAATCTCTGCAGTGCTGTGACATGTTTGTGATGGGCCATGATGCCCATGCTGAAGGTTGTGGGTTTACCGGAATGAGGGCAAGGAACACCTGGCCCACCCAGGGCGGAAAACCGCTCAAAGGCATTCCTGAACCACAAACAATAGCATGAGCAATCTGTGCCTTAAGGACATGTTCCTGCTGCAGATAACTAGCCAGAGCCCATCTCTTTGTTTCACCCCATCCCTTTGTTTCCTGTAAGGAATACTTTTAGTTAATCTATAATCTATAGGAGCAATGTTTATCACTGGCTTGTTGTCAATAAATTTGTGGATAAATCTCTGTTTGGGGCTCTCAGCTCTGAAGGCTATGAGTCCCCTGATTTCCCACTCCACATACTGTATTTGTGTGTGTGTCTTTAATTCCTCTAGTGCCGCTGAGTTAGGGTCTCCCCAGCCGAGCTGGTCTCAGCAAGTGGTGCCTATACAGAGGCTCGAACCCAGGTTGAAGGGTCACCAGAGCGACGGTTGGAAAATGTGGAATGAAGCTGGAGGACACCCGAGTACTCTTAAGCAATCCCCATGGTGAGTAAGAAAGGGAGCTTGGAAGCATCAGGGTAACAATGGAACAAGTGTGGGCTCTGGTTCATTCCACCTTGGAACCTTTACATAGTAATGATGAGGAAGAAGGAAAGTATAACGAGGTAACAGAAGAGGTGACAGAGCAGGTTTTTTTGCCAGCTAAAGCTAAAGTGGCAAAGGAGGGAGAGGTTTGTCCCTACTCTTCTGCACCCCCTCATTATTTTGAAGCAAAAGAGTAGCCTGACCCTCCAGATCTTTCTTTTCCAGAGGACACTGGGCAAAAAGTCGTTGCCCCAGTGACTGTTTGAGCAGTGCCTCGAGTGACCACTCTCAGTTCTATTCAGGCAGGAATCCAGCAAGCTAGACGTGAAGGTGATATAGAGGCTTGGCAGTCCTGTTTAGGATACACCCCCCAAGATCAACAGGGAAATATGATAGCTACATTTGGGCCTTTTCCTTTTAAATTACTCAAAGAATTTAAAAAGCTATTAATCAATATGGACCAGGTTCTCCTTTTGTAATGGGACTGTTAAAGAATGTTGCTGTTTCTAGTCAGATGATTCCTACTGACTGGGACACTCTTACACGAGCTTGTCTGACTCCTGCTCAGTTCTGATAATTTAAAACTTGGTGGGCAGATGAAGCTTCCATTCAGGCTGCTCACAATGCCCAGGCCCAACCTCAATTTAATATAACTACAGACCAACTTTTGGGGGTCGGCAGCTGGGCTGGTTTAGATGCACAAGTGGTTATGCAGGATGATGCCATAGAACAGCTTAGAGGGGTGTGCATTAGAGCTTGGGAAAAAAATCACTTCAGGTGGAGAACAATACCCTTCCTTTAGTGCTGTAAAACAGGGACCAAAAGAACCATACACAGGTTTTATAGCTCGGTTACAGGAGTCTCTTAAAAAGGTGATTGCAGATTCAGCTGCTCAGGATATAGTGTTGCGGTTATTAGCTTTCAACAATGCTAATCCTGAGTGCCAGGCTGCTCTGTGACCTATTAGAGGGAAAGCACATTTAGTTGATTATATCAAGGCCTGTGTTGGTATCGGAGGTAATCTGCATAAGGCTACTCTGCTAGCCCAGGCAATGGCAGGACTGAGAGTGGGTAAAGGAAATACTCCATTTCCTGGAGCTTATTTTAACTGTCAGAAGCATGGTCATACTAAAAAAGAATGTAGAAAAAATCAGCAAGTCAGGCCACCAGATGAGGGAAAAAGGAAAACTGCTGAGCCTGAAATATGTCCAAAATATAAAAAAGGAAAACATTGGGCCAATCAGTGTCACTCTAAATTTGATAAAGATGGGAACCCAATTTCAGGAAATGCCATGAGGGGGCCGTCCCAGGCCCCATTCCAAACTGGATCATTTCTGGCTCAGGCCATTCCCTCACCCCTGTACAATATCTGTCCCCTGTCACAGCTGGTAGTGCCACAGTAGATTTATGCTGCACAAAAGCTGTGAGCCTTCTGCCTGGGTAACCCCTGCAAAAAGTTCCAACAGTGGTCTCTGGACCCTTGCTGGGGGGATGATAGTATTACTCCTAGGTAGATCTAGTTTAAATTTAAAAGGAGTGCAAGTACATACAGGAGTCATTGATTCAGATTACAATGGGGAAATTCAAATTGTTATATCTACTCCTGTTCCCTGGAAAGCAGAGCCAGGAGAGCGCATAGCACAACTCCTGATTGTGCCGTATGTGGAAATGGAGAAAAGGGAAATTAAATGAACAGGAGGATTTGGAAGCACAAATAAGGCAAAGCAGCTTATTGGGTGAATCAGATTACTGATAAACGTCCTACCTGTGAAATAACTATTCAGGGAAAGAAATTTAAAAGTTTGGTAGATACAGGAGCAGACATTTCAATCATTTCTCTACAGCACTGGCCATCCATTTGGCCAATTCAACCTGCTCAATTTAACATAGTTGGAGTTGGTAAAGCCCCTAAAGTATATCAAAGTAGTTATGTTTTGCATCGTGAAGGATCCGATGGACAACCTGGGACTATTCAACCAATTGTAACTTCTGTACCTATAAATTTATGGGGGAGAGATTTATTACAACAATGGGGAGCACAACTTCTAATTCCAGAACAATTATATAGCCCTCATAGTCAACATATGATGCATGAAATGGGGTATGTCCATGGTATGGGACTAGGAAAAAATTTGCAAGGTTTGAAGGAACTGCTTCAAGTGGAAAGACAAAAGTTCCCACTGAGATTTAGGATATCATTTTTGATGGTGGCCATTGTTAAGCCTCCAGAACCTATACCTTTAAAATGGTTAACAGATAAGCCAATTTGGATAGAACAATGGCCACTGAGTAAAGAGAAACTGGAGGCTTTAGAGGACTTAGTTACTGAACAATTAGAAAAAGAACACATAGCTCCAACATTTTCCCTTTGGAATTCTCCAGTTTTCATAATTAAGAAAAAATCAGGTAAATGGAGAATGTTAACTGACTTAAGAACCATTAATTCAATTATACAACCTATGGGGACATTGCAGCCAGCACTGCCTTCTCCTGCTATGATTCCAAAAAATTGGCCTTTAATAGTCATAAATTTAAAAGAGTGTTTCTTTACTATCCCCTTAGCTGAGCAAGACTGTGAATGGTTTGCATTTACAATTCCTGTGGTAAACAACCTGCAACCTGCTAAGCGTTTTCACTGGGAAGTGTTGCCACAAGGCATGTTAAACAGCCCAACAATTTGCCAGATGTATGTAGGGCAAGCAATTGAACCTACTTGTAAAAAATTTTCACAGTGTTACATTATTCATTATATGGATGATATATTTTGTGCTGTCCCCACTCGAGACATATTACTCTAATGTTATGATCACTTGCAAAATTTGATTTCTTGCACTGGTTTAATTATAGCTCCTGACAAAATTCAGACTACTACTCCTTAATCCTACTTGGGGACCTTAGTAAATGACACTACCATTGTGCCACAGAAAGTAACCATATGTAGGGATCAATTGAAAACATTAAATGACTTTCAAAAATTACTAGGGGACATTAATTGGATATGACCTGCTCTAGGCATTCCTACCTATGCCATGAGTAATCTATTTTCTCTTCTTAGAGGAGATCCTAGTCTCACTAGCCCTTGGCAATTAACAAAAGAAGCTGAGGCAGAGTTACAGCTGACTGAAAAGCAAGTCCACAAAGCTCAAATAAACAGAATAGATCCAGAGAAGACTGTAGATTTGCTAATTTTTTTAACTCAGCATTTACCTACTGGTGTTATTGTTCAAGAGCAAGATCTTGTAGAGTGGCTTTTTCTTCCACATACTAATTCACAGACTCAAACTCCGTATTTGGATCAAATCGCTACTATGATAGGAAATGGGAGAACTTGGATTGTTAAATTACATGGATAAGATCCTGGAAAAATTATTGTCCCTCTCACGAAGGCACAAATACAGCAAGCTTTTATAAATAGTCTTACTTGGCAAACCCATTTAGCTGACTTTGTGAGTATTCTTGATAATCATTTTCCTAAAACGAAACTGTTTCAATTTTTGAAATTGACAATTGGATTCTCCCTAAAATCACTAAATTTAAACCAATTGAAGGCACTGCGAATGTTTTTACAGATGGGTCTAGCAATGGTAAAGCTTCTTATTCTGGCTCAAAAGGTAAAGTTCTTCAGACACCCTATACTTCAGTCAAAAAGGAGAGCTTGTAGCTGTAATTAAGGTATTCACTGTTTTTAATATGCCTATTAATGTGATTTCTGATTCTTCATACGTGGTTCATTCCACACAATTAATTGAAAATGCTCAGTTACGATTTCATGCAGATGAACAACTGATGACTTTATTTACCCAATTGCAAGCAGCAGTCAGGAGTAGAATGCACCCTTTTTACATCACTCACATTAGGGCTCATACACCTCTTCCAGGACCTTTGACTGCAGGGAATCAAATGGCTGATTGCCTAGTTGCTACTGCAATATATAATGCTAGACACTTTCACAATTTAACCCATGTTAATTCCTCTGGTCTCAAATGCAGTTACAGCATTACCTGGAAAAAAGCTAAAGCTACTATCCAGTGATGCCCAACTTGCCAAATGGTACATTACTCATCTTTTACAGGAGGAGTTAATCCTCGAGGACTGGTACCTAATTCTCTTTGCCAAATGGATGTCACACATGTTCCCTCATTTGGGAGACTAGCTTATGTACATGCATGTGAGGACACCTTTTCTCACTTTGTCTGGGCTACATGCCAATCAGGAGAGTCTTCTGCCTGTGTTAAATGTCACCTTTTGCAGTGTTTTGTGGTGACGGGCATTTCAGCTTCTATTAAAAGAGATAATGCCCCAGGCTATACTAGCCAAGCTCTAGCTTCATTTTTCTCTATATGGAACATTAAACACATTACTGGTATCCCATATAATTCTCAAGGACAAGCCACTGTAGAACAAATGAATCTCTCCTTAAAACAGCAATTGCAAAAGCAGAAAGGGGGAAACAGGGACTATGGAACACCCTATATGTAATTGAATCTAGCATTATTGACCTTAAATTTTTTGAGGCTGCCTAAAGGCCAGATGCTATCAGCAGCTGAACAGCATCTACAGAAACCAGCTGCAAAGACAGAAGCAGAACAACTGGTTTGGTGGAGAGATCCAATAACAAAAAGTTGGGAAATAGGTAAAATAATAACTTGGGGTAGAGGTTTTGCTTGTGTTTCACCAGGCCAAAACCGGCAGCCAATTTGGATACCATCAAGACACCTGAAACCTTATCATGAGCCAGATGCCGAAGAAGAGATTCCAGGAGGATCCCAAGGACCCCCTGGTTGCAGCCATGTTGAGACTGATGCTGAGGAGGACTGCAGCTGTCACGAGCAACACCCATTGAACACAGCCACCTACCTGGGGACAGATCAAGAAGCTGTTGCAGATGGCAGAAGAAAACCTGAGGAAAGCGGGACAACCAGTCACAATAAGTAATTTAATGATAGCTATGATAGCGGTGATCACCATTGCCATGAGTATTCCTTCAACAAGGGCTGACACAGAGTGTAATTATACTTATTGGGCATATTTATCAATCTTGGCTGGCAATAATGCCCGGATGTAATCACTCTATGACACAGTTACACATGCTTTCTGATCTCATTTTACCATAATAAATCTGCTCCTATAATTGAGGCATACTGCCCTCAAAGCCTATTTGTAAACAGAATTGGACCTGGCCAGAAATAATGAATGTATTTGTTTTGGAAGATTGCATTGCAGAACAGGCAGAGGTGTTGCACAATGATTCCTATGGAATCATTATTGATTGGTCCCCTAAGGGGATGTTTAGCTTAAATTGCACCTCTCAGTCTGCATACCATGGCCACACTATGTTCAGCTGGTCTGAACAAAATGGTCAGATGGTAGAAATAGTAAGAAATATGGTAAGAGTTCCTATTATCTGGAAACATGACGGTATAGTGGCACCTCAACCTCAAATGATATGGCCCGCTGTAGGAGCTAAACATAAGGATTTGTGGAAACTATTAATGACTCTTAATAAGATCAAAATTTGGGAAAGAATAAAAAAACATCTAGAAGAACACTCTACAAACTTGTCTTTGGATATTCCAAATTTAAAGAACAAATATTAAAAGCATCCCAGGCACACCTGACCTTAATGCCAGGGACTGGAGTGCTTGAAGGAGATGCAGACAGATTAGCAGCTAGTAACGCATTAAAACAGATAAAAACACTTGGAGGCTCTGTGATTTCAGTGATGATTGTGTTATTAATCTGTGTTGTCTTTGTGTAGTCTGCAGATGTGGATCCCAACTCCTGTTAGTAGCTCACTGTCATAAAGCTGCCTTTGCTTTTACTGCCCTGCAAAAACAAGAAGGGGAACATGCTGGGGATAGACCCCCAAATCTGGCCATAAACTGGCCCCAAAACTGGCCATAAACAAAATTTCTGCAGTGCTGTGACATGTTTGTGATGGCCATGACACCCACACTGATGGTTGTGGGTTTACCGGAATGAGGGCAAGGAACACCTGGCCCACCCAGGGCGGAAATCCGCTTAAAGGCATTCCTGAGCCACAAACAATAGCATGAGCAATCTGTGCCTTAAGGACATAATTCCTGCTGCAGATAGCTAGCCAGAGCCCATCCCTTTGTTTCGGCCCATCCCTTCGTTTCCCGTAAGGAATACTTTTAGTTAATCTATAACCTATAGAAACAATGTTTATCACTGGCTTGCTGTCAATAAATATGTGGGTAAATCTCTGTTCGGGGTTCTCAGCTCTGAAGACTGTGAGTCCCCTGATTTCCCACTCCACCCGCTATATTTGTGTGTATGTCTTTAATTCCTCTAGCGCCGCTGGGTTAGGGTCTCCCTGACTGAGCTGTTCTTGGCATCTTCATTAAGGCCAATAACTCTTAGATTTGCCCTTTTGAGACTATTTTCTAAATCTTGTGGCATTCTTTTAAATTCTTTTTTCTTTTATCTCCTCTGTGTATTTTCAAATAGCCTATCTTCAAGCTCACTATTTCTTCTGCTTGATCAATTCTGCCATTGCAAGTCTCTGATGCATTCTTCAGTTTAAGAGTAATTTAATTTTACAATGAACACTGTCTTCTTACTAATTTTATCAATATGTGAAAATTTTTAGCAAAATATTTTTGTTAGTAAAAGTTTAATTTTTCATGATTTAAATGTTTAAGTTTTCTTACCTTTGTTTCATGAGTCCAGTAATTCATTTTTGTTTCCACAGATATTTTTTAGATAAAAATTGTTTAACTAAAAATGTAATGAGAGATATCTTTTGAAATACCTTAATATTTTGAATTCTTATTATCTAGACCAACATGTCAATAGTGCCAAAGTGGAGAAATGATTATTTAAACCTAAATTACGAATCCAATTTGACTTGTCCAAGTTTTCACCTTAATTATGTGGATTTGAATTCTTATATAAAAGTTCTCTTGAACTAAATTTCACAAGAAAGTAATTTTTAATAGACTATCATATATAACATTAAAATTTAGTTATCTTTTCTGTCACACAGAAATCTACAAGATAACATGAATTTTGTAGTGTCTAGGATCTAATCAAATAGTAAAGAGCAAGGTAAAACACAAGTAAATATGCTAGTTTAATTTTCTAAAAGAAATATCATAGATATGTATTAAATAATGATAGAGTATGACATTGAAAGGACAGACTACATTCTCTGTAGTAAATAAATAAAATCATCCAAGTTTTAAATGTTTTTTCACAAACTGTGACCACAACATGCTTGTTCTTAATTTGATATCATTGCATAGATGCTGATAGTGTCCTTGCCTTACTTTCACTGTTTATACAGTAAACTTCTATGCATCCTTCAAATTTTACCTACAGCTGTTAACAAAGACAAATATCCATAGTGATCTTGGCAATACTCAAGGTACAAAAATAACATAATCAAGAACATTGAGATATCCAATTTTCTTTGGTATGTTTGTTCATGTCCCAGATGAAAACAAATAACATGTCTCCTATCTAGAGATTTACTAACTGTATTAATACTTTATAGAAACAAACTTTTTGCTTTGTTACTTTTCTCTATTTGTCATTTTCAATTTTATTGATTTCTGTTCTTATCTTTATAGTTTATTTCTTTTGATTTCCTATATATTTAAGTTTTGCTTTTAGGTTTCTAAGGTAGAAAGTTAGATCCATGTTGTTAAATGTTTTGTGTATAATATGAACATTTAAAACTATAGATTCTTCTCTAACCATTGCTATGGTTCCATGCTGCATATTTTGATATAAAGAATTTTCATTATTTTTCAGTTCAAAATATTTCAGATTTCATGATCTTTTCTGTTTTCTGTTTCTATTTTATGATTTTTCTTTAACCCTACAGTGATTGCAATGGTTTATTTAGAAGAGTATTAATATCCAAATACTTGAGGATTTTCTAGATTTTGTTATTATTTTCCATCTTTAATTAACCATTTTTTCACAGGTAATCAACCATTTAGAGGTATAATCTTTGTACCAAAAAAACTGTGCTCAATTTGTATATACAACTTTAAACAGATACACAACTCTTGTAACAGAACTGCCAGTCAAGATACTGAATATCATCATCTCCCAAATTTCCTCATGGTCCTTTGCAGTTCATCATGCTCTCCCCCATAGACAGTTTAAAATAATTTTTAAAATATACTATGTAAACAATAGTCAAAAGAAATTTGTAGTGGCTATAATATATAATGTAGACCTCAAAAAATAATATCTGAGATAAGGAGAGATATAGGAAGATGAGTCAATGAACATGGAACATTGTCCAAATAGTAGACCATATCATGGGTCATATAAAAAATTTCAGGGGACAGGGACAAGGTGGCCAACTAGAAGCAGCAGTGATCAGAGGCTCCCATTGAAAAGATCCAAAACTGTGTGCGAATCCTGTACCAGCAACCAAGGTATCCTGGTTCTGTCATTAGGACTGAATAGATGGCTGGTGGGTGTGACTCACAGAGAGGAAGGAAGAGTAGTAGTGTGGTGCTGCAGCTCACTTGAGAGCCGCACAGGGCAGGGAGCCCCCGCCCCCAGCTAAGGGAGGTGGTGAGTGAGCATGCTACCCAGCCTGGGAAACCATGCTTTTTCCACGGAACTGTGCAATGCATGGGTCGGAAGATCTCACTTGTGAGCCCATGCCACCGGTGCCTTGGGTTCCAACCACGGAGCTGTGCAGATTCTCAAGAGCTACTCAGTTAGAATCAGCCTAAGCCTGTGGAGTTCACAGGGAGAGGGGTAGCCATCACCACTGCTGTGGCTACCTGCTGTCTAAGCTGTCTGAGCTCCTTGGGGGAGGGGCGGCAGCCAACACTGCCACTGCAGGGCCTCCCTGCAGGAACTCCAACTCCATTCAGGGGGTCAAAGACAGAACTCTGCTCTCCCTGGGTCTGAACCCCTAGGGAGAGGGGTGGCCAATGTCTCCATGGACCAGCAGACTTAAACTTTCCTCCTGCCAGCTCTGAGGAATCCAGGCAGCCCAGACAAGTGGGTTTTCCCCCAGTGCAGCACACCCCCTCCACCAAAGGACAGTCAAAATGCTGTCCTTTAAATGTCCTCCCATTAAATGGGTCCTGTTCCCCATGCCACCCAACTGGGTGAGACCCCCCAAAAGGAGTTGTCAGACATCCCATATGGGAGCATTCTTACTAGCATCAGATTGGTGCCCCTTGAGGTCAGAGATCCCAGAGGAAGGAGCAGGCATCCATCTTTGCTGTTCTCCAGCCTCCTCGAGTGACATCTCTAGGCGCAAGAGCGAACTAAATTAATAGGGACTGAAGCAAACCTCTAGCACACCACAGCAGTCCTACAGAAGAGGGACCTGACTATTGAAAGAAAAACAAAGAGAAAGCAACAACAACAGCATCAACAAGAAAAGTCCCAAAGAAAACCTCAACCAAGGATCAGCAGCCTCAAAGATTGAAACTAGACAAACTCATGAAGATGAAAAAAAAAATCAACAAAAAAACACTGAAAAACCAAAAGGCCAGAGTGCCTCTTCTCCTCCAAATGATCACAACACCTCTCCAGCAAGGGCACAGAACTGGATGGAAGATAAGATGACAAATTGACAGAAGTAGGCTTCAGAAGGTAGTTAATAACAAACTTCACTGAAGTAAAGGAGCATATTCTAACCCAACACAAAGAAGCTAAGAACCTTGATAAAAGGTTAGAGGAGCTGCTAACTAGAATAACCAGTTTGGAGAGGAACATAAATGCGGCACAAGAACTTTGTAAAGCATACACAAGTATCAATAACCAAATTGATTGAGTGGAAGAAAGAATATCAGAGATAGAAGACTACCTTGCTGAAATAAGGCAGGCAGACAAGATTAGAGAAAAAGAATGAAAAGGAATGAACAAAACCTAACCGAGAAATATGGAACTATGTAAAAAACTGAACCTACGACTGATTGGAGTACCTGAAAGAGACAGGGAAATGGAACCAAGTTGGAAAACACACTTCAGAATATTATCCAAAAGAACTTCCCCAGCGTAGAAACACAGGCCAACATTCAAATTCAGGAAATACAGAGAACCCCACTAAGATACTCCATGAGAAGATCAACCCCAAGACACATAATCTTCAGATTCTCCAAGGCTGAAATGGAGGAAAAACTGTTAAGGGCAGCCAGAGAGAAAGGCCAGGTCACCTACAAAGGGAAGTCCATCAGGCTAGAAGCAGATCTCTCGGCAGAAACCCTACAATCCAGAAGAGAGTGGAGGTCAATATTCAACATTCTTAAAGAATTTTCAAACCAGAATTTCATATCCAGCCAAACTAAACTTCATAAGTGAAGGAGAAATAAAATCCTTTTCAGACAAGCAAATGCTGAGGGAATTTGTCACCACCAGGCCTGCCTTGTAAGCGTTCCTGAAGGAAGCACTAAATATGGAAAGGAAAAATTGGTACCAGCCACTGCAAAACACTCGAAATATAAAGACCAATGACACTATGAAGAAATGGCATTACCTAGTGTGCAAAATACCCAGCTAGCATCATCATGACAGGATCAAATTCACACATAACAGTATTAACCTTAAATGTAAATGGGCTATTAAAAGACATAGACTGGCAAATTGGATAAAGAGTCAAGACTCATTGGTGTGCTGTATTGAAGAGACTCATCTCATGTGCAAAGACACACATAGGCTCAAAATAAAGGGATGAAGGAAAATTTACCAAGCAAATGGAAAACGGAAAAAAGCAGGGTTGCAGTCCTAGTCTCTGACAAAACAGACTTTAAACCAACAAAGATCAAAAAAGACAAAGAAGGGCATTACATAATGGTAAAGGGTTCAATTCTTTAGGAAGAGCTAACTATTCTACATATATATTCACCCAATACAAGAGCACCCTGATTCATAAAATAAGTTCTTAGAGATCTACAAAGAGACTTAGACTCCCATACAATAATCGTGGGAGACTTTAACACTCCACTGTCAATATTAGACAGATTAACAAGACAGAAAATTAAAAAGTATATTCAGGACTTGAACTCAGCTCTGCATCAAGTGGACCTAATAGATATCTACAGAACTCTCCACCCCAAAACAACAGAATATACATTCTTCTCAGTGCCACATGGCACTTACTCTAAAATCGACTGCATAATTGGAAGTAAAACACCCCTCAGCAAATACAAAAGAACTGAAATAATATGAAATAGTCTCTCAGACCACAGTGCAATCAATTTGGAACACAGGATTAAAAAACTCACTCAGAATCACACAACTGCATGGAAATTAAACAAGCTGCCCCTGAATGACTCTTAGGTAAATAATGAAATTAAGGCAGAAATCAAGAAGTTCTTTGAAACCAATGAGAACAAAAGACAACGTACCAGAATCTCTGGGATGCAGCTAAAGCAGTGTTAAGATGGAAATTTATAGCACTAAAATGCCCACATCAGAAAGCTAGAAAGATCTCAAATTGACACCCTAACATCACAATTAAAAGAACTAGAGAAGCAAGAGCAAACAAATCCAAAAGCTAGCAGAAGACAAGAAATAACTAAGACCAGAGCATAATTGAAGGAGATAGAGACACACACACACAAAAACCCTACCAAAAAATCAATGAATCCAGGAACCAGTTTTTTGAATCAAATAATAAAATAGATCATTAGCTAGACTAATAAAGAAAAAAAGAGAATCAAATAGATACAATAAAAAATGCTAAAGAGGACATCACCACTGGCCCCATGGAAATACAAACTACTATCAGAGAATAGTATAAACAATTCTGTGCAAATATACTAGAAAATCTACATGAAATGGATACATTCCTGGACACATACACCCTCCCAATACTAAACCAGAAAGAAGTCAATTCCCTGAATAGACCAATAACAAGTTCTGAAATGTAGGCAGTGATAAATAGCCTACCAACAAAAAAAGCCCAGGACCAGACAGATTCACAGCCAGATTCTACCAGAGGTACAAAGAGGAGTTGGTACCATTCCTTCAGAAACTATTCCAAACAATTGAAGACGAGGAACTCCTCCCTAACTCATTTTACCAGGCCAGCATCATCCTGATACCAAAGCCTGGCAGAGACACTACAAAAAAGGAAAACTGCAGGCCAATACCCCAATGAACATAGATGTAAAAATCCTCAATAAAATACCAGCAAACCGAATCCAGCAGCATATTAAAAAGCTTATCCACCACAATCAAGTTGGCTTCATCCCTGGGATGCAAGGCTGGTTCAACATATGGAAATCAATAAACGTAATCCATCACATAAACAAAACCAATGACAACCCACATCATTATGTCAATAGATGCAGAAAAAGCCTTTGATAAAATTCAATAACTTTTCATGTTAAAAACTCTCAATAAACTAGGTATTGATGAAACATGTCTCAAAATAATAAGAGCTATTTATGACAAACCCACAGCCAATATCATATTGAATGTGCAAAATGAAAGCATTCCCTTTGGAAACAGGCACAAGACAAGGATGCCCTCTCTTACCACTCCTATTCAACATAGTATTAGAAGTTGTGGCCAGGGCAATTAGGTAAGAGAAAGAAATAAAGTGTATTCAAATAAGAAGAGAGGAATTCAAATTGTCTCTGTTTGCAGATGACATGATTGTATATTTAGAAAACCCCATCGTCTCAGCCCAAAATCTCCTTAAGCTGATAAGCAACTTCAGCAAAGTCTCAGGATAAAAAAATCAATGCGCAAAAATCACAAGCATTCCTATACATCAATAATAGACAAACAGAGAGCCAAATCATGAGCAAACTCCCATTCACAATTGCTACAAAGAGAATAAAATAACTAGGAATACAGCTAACAAGGGATGTGAAGGACCTCTTCAAGGAGAACTACAAACCACTGCTCAAAGAAATAAGAGAGGACACAAACAAATGGAAAAACACCCCATCCTCATGGATAGGAAGAATCAATATCATGAACATGGTCATACTGCCCAATGAAATTTATAGATTCAATGCTATTCCCGTCAAGCTACCATTGACATTCTTCACAGAATTAGAAAAACTACTTTAGATTTCATATGGAACCAAAAAAGAGCCTGCATAGCCAAGACAATCCTAAGCAAAATGAACAAAGCTGGCAGCATCAGCTACCTTACTTCAAACTATACAAGACTACAGTAACCAAAACAGCATGGTACTGGTACCGGTACCAAAACAGACATATAGATCAATGGAATGGAATAGAGACCTCAGAAATAACACCACACATCTACAACCATCTGATCTTTGACAAACCTCACAAAAACAAGCAATGGGGAAAGGATTCCCTGTTTAATAAATGGTGTTGGGAAAACTGGGTATCCATATGCAGAAAACTGACACTGAACCCCTTCCTTACATCTTAAACAAAAATTAACTCAAGATGGATTAAAGACTTAAACGTAAGACCTAAAACCATAAAAACCCTAGAAGAAACCCTAGGCAATACCATTCAGGACATAGGCATGGGCAAAGATTTTATGATGAAATCCTCAAAAGTAATTGCAACAAAAGCTAAAATTGACACATGGGATCTAATTAAACTAAAGAGTTTCTGCACAGCAAAAGAAACTATCATCAGAGAGTACAGGCAACATACAGAATGGGAAAAAAGTTTGCAATCTACCCATCCGACAAAGGACTATGGTATAATATCCAGAATTTACAAGGAATTTAAACATATTTACAAGAAAAAAACAACCTCATCAAAAAGTGGGCAAAGGGTATGAACAGACATTTTTCAAAAGAAGGCATTTATCCAGCCAACAAACGTATTTAAAAAAAAGGTCAACATTACTGATCATTAGAGAAATGCAAATCAAAACCACAATAAAATACCATCTCATGCCAGTCAGAATGGCAATTATTAAATAGTCAAGAAACAGAGCTGGCGAGGCTGTGGAGAAATAAGAACAACTTTTTACGTTGTTGGTGGGAATGTAAATTAATGTAATAAAAATTAATCAACCATTGTGGAAGACAGTGTGGCGATCCCTCAAGGATCTAGAACCAGAAATACCATTTGACCCAGCAATCCCATTACTGGGTATATACCCAAAGGAATATAAACCATTCTATTATAAAGACACATGTACACATTTTTTTTTATCTTCCCCAATTTAAGTCTTTTAATTTAGAAGTAAACTTTAATGTTGAAAATGCAAACTTGAGGAGGGCAGAAAGATCACACACTAGACTGCCACTTCACACCTGTAGAGTTGCACTGGGGTGGGACAGAGGCGCTCCTCACTTCTCAGATGGTGCTACAGCCTGGCAGAGGCGCTCCTCACTTTCCAGAAGGTTCCAGGGAGAGAAGGTTAGCACACGTATGATTATTGCAGCACTATTCACAATAGCAAAGACATTGAACCAAATGCCCATCAATGATAGACTGGATAAAGAAAATGTGGTACATATACACCATGGAATGCTATGCAGCCATAAAAAGGAATGAGATCATGTCCTTTGCAGGGACATGGATAAACCTGGAAGCCATCATCCTCAGCAAACTAACACAGGAACTGAAAACCAAACACCACATGTTCTCACTCATAAGTGGGATTTGAACAATGAGAACACGTGGACACTGGGAGGGAATAACACATACTGCTGGGCGGGGCCTGTCGGTGGGGGGAAAGAGGACGGAGAGCATCAGGACAAATAGCTAATGCACATGGGGCTTAAAAGCCAGGTAACAGGTTGATAGGTGCAGCAAACCATCTTGGCACACGTATACCTAGTATACCTATGTAACAAACCTGCACGTTCTGCACATGTATCCTGGAACATAAAGTTAAAAAAAAAAAAAAGAAAAATTCAATAAATTAAGGAAAAATAAAATCATACAAATAGAGAAAGAAGCAACCCTTGACAACCAGAGGGCCGCCAGATATGGTTTTCAAGTAAAAACAGAATAGTGTGTCAATTTGTTCCAGAATATTAAAGATTATAGTGAGGGATAAAACTTGAGTGTACATAGCAAGTTGTATAAGGTTTGAGAAAAATGAATTTTATTTACCATACTTTATAATATCTTAGTCTAGGAAAAAAGATGAAATATATTAAAATTTGGAGGAAGTTTGCTTAATTTTAATGGGTTTATTTATAAAGATATTTTAATATCCTTTACTGCAAAAGA
Source organism: Homo sapiens (assembly GCF_000001405.40). Classification (NCBI taxonomy): domain Eukaryota; kingdom Metazoa; phylum Chordata; class Mammalia; order Primates; family Hominidae; genus Homo; species Homo sapiens. The sequence goes on along the minus strand of NC_000007.14, from coordinate 94,713,512 downwards.
CTACATTAATGCAATCCTGGAATTTTATCTTCTCCCTGTTAAAACATAAATTGATCTTGAAATATTTAATCGGCTTTTAACAAAGGGAATAAGATTATTTTTTACCGTCTGTGTAATCTACAGAGTTAGCAGGAATTCTGTATATCACCAGAATAATTTCCTGAAATTTGTGCTGATTTTATTTTGTTATCAATTTTTTTAAAGTTCATCATTTCAGGAGAACTAAAGTTTCTTATAATTGTGTTACTTTCATCTTTTATAAAATATTGTTACTTTATGTATAATTAAGCTATAATCAGTCATTGCTCACAGGCAACTGTGATACTGTATCAATCAAATGACCAGATCTTTTCTGATAATTCTGTTTCTTCAAGATCAGATTCTAAACACAGAAAAAAAAAAGAATAGATTGTCTTTTTGTTTTTTCATTGTGGTAAAATATACAAAACATAAAATTTGCCACTTTAACCATTTTTAAATGTGCAGTTCTGTGGCATTAAGTACATTCACATGTTTGTGCACCTGTCCCTACCATCCATCTCCAGAACTTTTTCATCTTCCAGAACTGAAACACCATACTTATTAAACAATAGCTCCCATTCATCTCTCCCAACAGCCCCAGCATCCACCATTCTACTTGCTGTTTTATACATTTTATTATTCTAGATAGCTTATATAAGTGCAATCATACAGTATTTGTCTATTTGTGACGAGTCTTACTTAGCATACTACACAAAAGCTTTCCATGTTGAACGTAGTCTAATCTATCTACTTTTTTTGTTGTCTGTGCTTTTGATGTCATATCCAAGGAGTCATTGCCAAATCTGATGTCATAAATCTTTCCTCCTATGTTTTCCTCTAAGAGTTTTATAGTTTTAGATTTTGCTGCTTGGACCTTTGATTCACTTTAAGTTAATGTTTATATATGGTATAATGTAAGAGTCCAACTTTATTCTTCCGCATGTGGATATCCAGTTGAAATAGATAACCATTTGTCGAAAAAAAAAATAGAATGCTTCGCAAATTTGTGTGTCACACTTGTGCAGGGATCATGCTAATCTTCTCTATATTGTTTTAATTTTAGTACACTTGCTGCTGAAGCAAACTCGAAGATGTTTTCTAAAATTACAATTATCTTTTAGATTGCCCAGGGACCCCCCTGGAAAATGCAGAAATCACAAAGATTTCTATATTTACTACATAAAAAGAGAGATGCTAGAAGTATTTTAGATTGCTTTGATATACCTCTGTTTCTGAATTCTGAAATATTTCTGAAGAATTGTCAAAATAAAAGCATAATTTTGGACAGATAACATGTTATTCATATAAAAATTTCTGAAATTGTACATTTTGCAAAATAGGTTGACAGGTTCAAGAGATTTGTTAATGACTTCATTTGTCCATAATGTGATTTTAATCCAAGGAAAAGCATTGAAGAAATTCTTATGAATTGGTTATGTATTGTACCCCCATGGAAAAGTTTACTCGCCTTTTGATATTGTTAGTTACTGGAATAAATCAATCTCATCCATTTAGTCATAGTATTATGCAGGCAGTTCTGCTTTGTTCATGATTGTAATACAAAAACTGGTATTCACCAGATCCAGAAGCTACACTATTAAATAGTTCTTCAAGGAAAAAACTTGAGAAAAAAATAATACATACATAAAAATATAAAAACACACAATGAGAAAAACAATAATACATCATCCAAGTATTGGAAAACAAGCACTGTACTCCTAAGAAATATTTTATTTATGGAAAGATCTTCAAAATAGCCTAAAAATACAAACCAGTTAAGTTTATAAAGCATATGCTAAAATTGCAAGGTTATGAAAGGCGTTTTGGTCTTTTTGATGCATAACATTTAGTTATGTATTAATATGTATTTTTAACATGCATCCAGTCCCCAAAGAAAACATATTTCATTTTAAATATTATTTTTGACAAAGCAGTTTTTGTCTTACACAATTTAAAGTAAATCAAGTGGCATTTTTTCTGAATAGAAAGACACCTAAATTTATATTGTTATAAAATAACATAATATTTTATATTATTCATATCTTTACATAGACATATATTTTATGTCTAAAAATATACATATATAAATACATATATTTATAATATGAATATAAAAATTTATGTAATATATTTTATATGAATTATATTGTTACATAGATAAATGATAAATATACACATTTCTATTTATATAAATTTACATATTTATATTTGTAATATAAATATATAGGACATTTATATAAATATAAACGTGTATTTATATTATAGTATTATTTATATATTTATATAGTACATATAACTATATGTAAATGTTATATATTTAAAAGTGATCAGTGACCCCATATTAATATTTAAAACTATTTTAGGTAAATGTTATTTGTATTCTTTATTGATATGCTAATATAAAATAAAATATTTTGCTTAAATTCAATTTTTTATTATCTACCATAGAAAACAGGCAAAATGGTTTTTAAAAACTTGAAGGAGACTTGATAAGCCAAATAGATTGGAAAGTCTTAGGTGGTGTAATTATGTAATGTTTATGGATAATTTTCTTTTCATTTTATTGCCCGTTTCACCATGTGCTGGATAATTTTCTTAATGAAAGCTAATAATAGGTTTATGTTATTTAAAGAGAAACTCCAACAACTTTTGTAGAAAATAACTATCAATAAAAAGAGGACATTTTGTAAACATATATAGATGAATTCTAATTGTGTCCAGGCATTCATAAAAGTTCATATCTGTGGCAAAATATCATTTTAAAAGTATTGAACGAAGCTGCTTCAGAAAAACCTGAATTTTAAAATTTTTGTTTCAGAAGAGTATTTTTATATCTTATTCATTTTACAATGCATATCAAACTGATATTCTTAACATTGTTTACCTTATTGTCATTCGGCAGCAGAAAATGGAAACATATATAGCCTTTGTAGTTTCAACTTAAGTAGGGGCAGGATAGCCTCTCTTTTTCTCCAGCCTTTGGTCCTCATGAATTCAAATGTTTTGTTAATGACAAATTCAGTATGCCTGAGGCTTTCAAGAATGTTAGTCTTCCTATTTTTATACTTAGGCAGTACTGCATGGCTTCTGAGCCTTTCCAAGTGTATTGTTTTTAATAATTTGTATGTACAATCAAAGAAACTTCAGGAAACAAGGTTGTTTGAGGATATTTTCTGTATTTCTTGGGTAATTGCTGAGCATCCCTCCAGCTTCAGAATGTACTATGGAAACCTCGTGTTTATCCACCTGCCCCTGCATGTGACCTCTAGATTCCAAAGAGTGGATTGAGGTGTCATTCCGAGGTCCAAGAGTTTACACAAGGCATATTTTAATTTGGTATATTCTCTATCTTAAATTAGTATATTCAGATCATGTTTAAGAATTTTGAGCTAGAGTTTATGCTATTTTTATGATACCACAAGAATATACATGGACATTAAGTTTAGTAATTACCAGAAGAAATGTTTGCAGAACAACAACAAAACAACTTTGGGCAACGATCATTCTTGAAGTTAATGTCGCTGATGCCACCTTCCCCACCCCCTGCTACAACCAATCAAATCTAATCCTGTTATTAAGTTTACAAATTTTTTAAAAACCCTAAGTTGATTACTGTTAATTTAAATATTCCAATAGTTTTTACTTTAAGTGATGAACAAATGGTATCATCGAGCAATGCCTAAAAAATGGAGGAGATGTTACTAGGCTTCAAGCCACTGCAAAGCCAGTTGAATTTCGGGTGCTAAAGCAATGATATTATTGTGGAAGTAAGGAATGTGCATATTGCACTAACGTGCTTTTATCAGAGAAAGAAATACAATGAAACTGTATTTCAGCAACATTTTTAGAAGAGTAATCTTCCTAGAGCCCTGGTATCTTCTATTTTCACTTCAGCTGTTCCCATTATTGACAATAACTGTTATAATCCTGATCCTAAACCTGGGAGTTCATGAATTTATTCATCACTTACATACAAGTTAGATTGTTGCTGTACTCCTGATGAGATAATGAGGGCCAAGATAAGGCAAAAGGAACAGAAAAGATAAGTTTAAAATATATTTAAGGTAGGATGTATACAATATGGGTACTGCTTGGAATAAAAAAAGAAAAGTAGATTTGGAAGCTTAAAATAGGGTATAATTGTGACTGACATACAAATACAAAATGAATACCTGTCAATGATTTTATTTAACTCATTAACTAATGAGGGACCCATAAATGTTACAATTGATCCAAATGAGTGTTAAAGAATATGCGCATATATAAGCAATAAGTATGTGGGAATTTATTTACAAATTGGTGTAAAAAGGTCTTATTCCATGGGAAGTAGAGAGAAATCAGTTTAATTTCCCTAAGACAAAATTAATTTGTGTGATTCTGTAGAGTAATTACTTGCATTGCTATCAGTTACTTACAACTTACAAGAATTATAAAATAACTCAAAGATGAGGAAAAATACAGAGAACCTATAGATCAGATGACAGTAATAATGTGCTTAGACAACTGCCTAGTTTTCCGCTGAAGACACCCAGTAATCCTTCTGGTTCATTACAAAGAAGAGAAGACATGAGCTTAATTTAAAAAAAAAATTTAAGTGTTCTCAGAGATTTTTAGAATAAATACTGATAAATATTCTTTATATTTGACGTCTGATAATTCTTTTTTTTTTTTCCAGAAAAGACTGAGAACAAGGCTTACCTGACATACAGTAAGACTCACTGAATGCTTTCTAGTATACCTTGAGAGAAAGGCTATTAATATTGCAAATCTTCTTATAAAGAATATATTTTGATGGAAGCTTTATTTAAGTCAATGATCCTTTTTCTGATTACAGCATTGCCCAGCTGTCTGTAATTTTCAGTCGCAAACATCCTCAGTCCCATCACTTTCAAAGCAATCTTACAAGCAGCAACAAGGTTCATTACCAAGAGAAATGGCAGTGAAGAGATGCAGAAGATGCACCCCAAAATATGTCATTTTGGCATATTGATTATTTTGAGCTGAAGACAATTAAGAAGAAACAGACATAAGAAAAACTCTCTTCCCTCCCTCATTTGATTAAAAGCAGAATGTAAATTTGTAAATGTGCCTCTCTCTCCTCTCCACCAGGAAGGACAGAGGTAATTATTGGAGACAGCTCTAGACCCTTATCAGCCTGGAGATTGCACTAGAGGAATCCATGTAACAAATCTTATTAATTAGCCCTTATCTTTCATTCATCCCCCCATATATTTGCCTTCCCATAATTTGCTGCCCTAGAAACTCAAAGTCCTTTTCCTTCATCTTGTCACATCTCTAAAATTTATTGTTTAAAATTTATTAAGATGCTATGTAAGCCCAAATGCTAACCATCCCTTTGAGTGCTCTTCTGTGTACGCATACTGTACATGTTAACAAACTTCTGTTTGTTCTTCTCTTATTAATGTGTCTTTTGTCAGTTTAATTTACAGGGCCCCAGCCAATGATTCTAAGAGGGGTAGAGAAAAGAAAAGAAAACTTTCTCCCCTACAAAAGGAGCAGCCGTTGCTCAATTTTAGCCATGACAGTTTCATCTTTCATCATCACCATACACCCTCTTGGCATGTTAAGTCCCACAACCTTCACCTTGTCAGCAGGGAGTGTTATCCAGATAGATCCATCCTCCGACACTGTGGTACCAAAGGTATTTCTTGATTTCTTCCCTCTAGCTAGTATTTCTCCATGAAATAAATTCCAAAATTACATAAACCCTACATGTCAGAGAAAATATATATTTTATGGCAAAAATGAGAGCATATTATTAACAAATTATGCTGAATAATAGCTGGCTTGACTAGATTCTATTGCTAAGGAATAAAGGTAAAGAAATAACTAGACAAGGCAGTTTTATACATGTATCCCAGTCATTCATTTAAGCAGGCACCTGCAATTCCTTTTACAATTGCAATGAAAGCCCTCAACAATCTCAACTATGTTTGAAAAAATACTTGGAGAACTTAGGTCAAATTATTAACTAAAATTAACTCCGGATAGTGGGTTTATGGTTTTTTTTTTAATTTGAGCAAGCTTTTATTAGTTTTTATCAGTTAGTTCTTTTGTTTGCTTCTGTTTTTAAGGAGAATTTAAAATTCTACCTGAAATCAGTAAACTAACGTCAGAAAAAATTTAATGAGAAAAGAGTGTTTTTCAGGAAGAACTGATTATCTCTGGCTAATTTTCTTTCCGCTTGTTAGACTTTATAAGTAAGTTATTTTGTTAAACCTTGATTTCAGTAAAAATTTCCTATAGTCAGTGGAGCGATGTAAAACAGTCTGGAGCAGTGATTTAGAATCTCAAATGTTCTGACGTGTCAAATTGAAGCCATGCTTGAAAAATCCATGTTACAGCTATTATGTTATTATTCAATGCTGCTCTTTGCCCTGGAAGGAAGACATGCATTCCTCACAATCTTAGGAGCCTGGAGAGCTGGCTACAACACCTTCGAAGATTACATTTAATTAATTAATTAATTTATTTATTTATGAGACAGAGTCTCGCTCTGTCACCCAGGCTGGAGTGCAGTGGCGCGATCTCAGCTCACTGCAACCTCCGCCTCTCAGGTTCAAACGATTCTCCTGCCTCATCCTCCCGAGTAGCTGGGACTACAGCTACACCATGCCAGCTAATTTTTTTGTATTTTTAGTAGAGATGGGGTTTTACCATGTTAGCCAGGCTGGTCTTGAACTCCTGACCTCAGATGATCTGCCTTACTCGGCCTCCCAAAGTGCTGGTGTGTCCGGAATTGATGGGTTCTTGGTCTCACTGACTTCAAGAATGAAGCTGCGGACCCTCGCGGTGAGTGTTACAGCTCTTAAGGTGGCGCGTCTGGAGTTTGTTCCTTCTGACGTTCGGATGTGTTTGGAGTTTCTTCCTTCTGGTGGGCTCGTGGTCTCACTGGCTCAGGAGTGAAGCTGCAGACCTTCACGGTGAGTGTTACAGCTCTTCAGGCGGCGCGTCTGGAGTTGTTCATTCCTCCAGGTGGGCTTGTGGTTTCGTTGGCTTCAGGAGTGAAGCTGCAGACCTTGGCGGTGAGTGTTACAGCTCATAAAAGCAGTGTGGACCCAAAGAGTGAGCAGTAACAAGATTTATTGCAAAGAGCGAAAGAACAAAGCTTCCACAGTGTGGAAGGAGACCCGAGAGCGTTGCCACTGCTTGCTCGGGCAGCCTGCATTTATTCTCTTATCTGGCCCCCACACACATCCTGCTGATTGGTAGAGCCCAGTGGTCTGTTTTGACAGGGTGCTGATTGGTGCGTTTACAATCCCTGAGCTAGACACAAAGGTTCTGCACGTCCCCACCAGATTAGCTAGATACAGAATGTGGACACAAAGGTTCTCCAAGGCCCCACCAGAGTAGCTAGATACAGAGTGTCGATTGGTGCATTCACAAACCCTGAGCTAGACACAGGGTGCTGATTGGTGTGTTTACAAACCTTGAGCTAGATACAGAGTGCCGATTGGTGTATTTACAATCCCTGGGCTAGACATGAAGGTTCTCCACGTCCCCACCAGACTCAGGAGCCCAGCTGGCTTCACCCAGTGGATCCCGCACCGGGGCTGCAGGTGGAGCTGCCTGCCAGTCCCGTGCCGTGCACTTGCACACCTCAGCCCTTGGGTGGTTGATGGGACTGGGCGCCGTGGAGCAGGGGGTGGTGCTCATCGGGGAGGCTTGGGCCGCACAGGAGCCCATGGAGGGGGTGGGAGGCTCAGGCATGGCGGGCTGCAGGTCCCGATCCCTGACCGGCAGGAAGGCAGCTAAGGCCCGGTGAGAAATTGAGCGCAGCGCTGGTGGGCTGGCACTGCTGGGCGACCCAGTACACCCTCTGCAGCCGCTGACCCGGGTGCTAAGCCCCTCATTGCCCGGGGCGGCAGGGCCAGCTGGCTGCTCCGAGTGCAGGGCCGCCAAGCCCACGCCCACCCGGAACTCCAGCTGGCCCGCAAGCGCCTCGCGCAGCCCGGGTTCCCACTGGCGCCTCTCCCTCCACACCTCCCTGCAAGCTGAGGGAGCCGGCTCCGGCCTTGGCCAGCCCAGAAAGGGGCTCCCACAGTACAGCAGTGGGCTGAAGGGCTCCTCAAGTGCCACCAAAGTGGGAGCCCAGGCAGAGGAGGCCCCGAGAGTGAGCGAGGGCTGTGAGGACTGCCGGCACACTGTCACCTCTTACTGGGATTACAGGCGTGAGCCACCGGGCCTGGCCGAGGATTACATTTTAATGAGGTAGACCAGGAATACAAAAAAGTCTTTCAGCTTTTCCTGTGCCTTTACATGTCTTACTGAAAGAGTGCTCAGAAATTATAATTTGGGTGTGTTAGGACTTCATTCTGTTAGGGATTCTAAAAAGTAATATATGATATGTAAAATGTGTGTAATCTATGGGAGTTGTTCATTTCTTTTTGTTGAATTTTAAGTGTTTGTTACATATCTTAGATAATATTTCTTTCCAGGTGGGTGTTTTGAAAATATTTTTCTTCTGGTCTGTGCCTTCTCCTCTTATTAGAATGAGAACCAATATCTTTTACAGAGTTTTTCTTTGTTTTTAAATTTCAATGAAGAACAGCATATTATTGCTCTATTTGAGAACATCTAGATTTTTTTTCCTGTTTTCTTTTAGTTTCATTGTTTTGTGTTTACATTTAAGTCTGATACATTTTGAGATAATTTTTCTTTTTTTTGAGACGGAGTTTCACTCTCGTTGCCCAGGCCGTAGTGCAGTGGCATGATCTTGGCTCACTACAACCTCTGCCTCCCGGGTTCAAGTGATTTTCCTGCCTCAGCCTCCCTAGTGGCCGGGGTACAGGCGCGCACCACCACACCAGGCTAATTTTGTATTTTTAGTAGAGACAGGGTTTCACCATGTTGGTCAGGCTGGTTTCGAACTTCTGACCTCAGGTGATCCGCCTACCTCAGCTTCGCAGAGTGCTGGGAATACAGGTGTGAGCCACCATGCCTGGCCTTGAGATAATTTTTGAGGAGTGTAATAACTATGTCTAGATTCTTTTTAAATTTTTTTTTGCATGTGGATGTCCAGTTATTACAGCACCATTTGTTAAAAGATTATCTTTTCTCCATTGTATTGCTTTTTATTCTTTGTGAACAATCAGTTAACTGTATTTTTGTAGATATTTGAGATTTGTGTTTGTTCCTTTAATCAATTTGTGGATTATTTTGCCAATACAATGTTTCGTGATTACTACAGATTTATAATAAGTATTGAAGTTGAGTAATAACAGTCCTCTTTCTTGTTCTTTTTCAATATTGTGTTGTTTTGATTTTTTTCTCTTCATATAAATGTTAGAAAGTATTCTCAAAATCCACAACATAATTTCTTTGGGTTTAGATAGGGATTGTGTTGATCTATAGATGAAGCCGAGAAATGACATCTTGACAATACTGAGTTTGCTTGTATATGAGAAGGAAATATTTCTTCTGTGAAATACAAACTATACTCTGAAATACACTGCTTCTCATTTGAATAAGAAGACGAGGCTCAGACTGGAAGAAAAATACTTTGAGAATACCTATAATATTGTATATGGTTATTGATTTTTTCATCAGAATTATATAGTTTTTATCAAAATGATATTGAATATATTTTTTTAGATTTATATGTTTCATTTTGAAAAGCACTAATTTAAATGTTAAGGCATTTAAAATTTCAAATTTGACTTGTTCATACCTGCTATATAGGAAACAATTTACTTCTGTATATTAATCTTGTGTTCTGTACCCTTATTATAATTGTTTATTAGTTCCAGATTTTTTTAGGTTGCTCATTTTGGATTTACTACATAGACAATTTAGTCATCTGCAAAAAATGGCAGTTTTATTTTATCCTTCCCAAACAGTATACACTTTGCCCCATATTATACTATTCAGATTTTCAGTAAAATGTTGAGATGGAATGCTGATAGAGGCCATCACTGACTGGATCCTGATCTTGGCAGGATAACTTCTAGTTTCTCACAGTCTAGGTTATGATGGTAGCTGTTGGCTTTTTTTTTTCTTGTTGTTGTTGTTGTTTGAGATGGAATCTCACTCTGTTGCCCATGCTGGAGTGCAGTGGCGTGATCTTGGCTCACTGCAACCTCTGCCTCCCGGGTTCAAACGATTCTCCTGCTTCAGCCTCCCAAGTAGCTGGGACTACAGGTGCCTGCCACCACACCTGGCTAATTTTTTATTTTTTGTAGAGATGGGATTTCACCATGTTGGTCAGGCTGGTCTTGAACTCCTGACCTCAGGTGATCTGCCCGCGTCAGCCTCCCAAAGTGCTGGGATTACAGTCATGAGCCACCGCGCCTGGCCAGCTGTTGGAGTTTTTAAAAAATATTTTGTATAAAGTTGAGGAAGTTCCCTTCTTTTCCTTCTTTGCCCAGTCTTTTAACCACGAGAAGGTACTAGATGTTTTCAAATGTTTTTTTCTCCATTTATATGCTCATGTTATTTTTCTTCTTTAGTCTTCATGGAATGGATTGCATTAATTGGTTTTTAAATGTTGAACCAGATTTGCATTATCTGAAATAAATCCAAGTTGGTCATAGTGTGTAATTGTTTTTGTACCTCATTGAATTTGAATTGCTAGTATTTTGTTGAGGTTTTTGCATGTACATTTATAGGAGATATTGGTCTGTGGTTTTATTTTATTGTAATGTCTTTGTCTGGTTTGATGTAGGTTAATGCTGGCCTCATATAAAGATTTAGGAGGTATTCTGTCTTCTCCTGTCTTCTGGGAGTTTGGCTACTGTCTCATGTCTCTTCACATTGCAGGGCTATTTCTTTTCCTCCTTCTTGGCTTCAGGAGTGTCCTGGGGTCTTTGCTATGAATGTTCCAATACCAGCAGGTCACAGAGCGATGGAGGCTTAGGCTGTGGCACAATCACAGAGACCTCCTGGAGCGGAGGACACAGGGCAGTGAAGCACTAACCCCAAGCTCTGGCTGGAGCGAGAGACAAAGGCTTTATGGGTTTTTAAAATCTTCTTTACAGTTCACTGTGCTCCCCAAATTTTGTACAATGAATTATATCAATGTTTAATTAAAAATAAAGGGAGCCAACCCCTCACAAAAATCTTCAAGGATGTCCTTGTAAAGCCTTAGAAGCAAAAGGAATGATGTAGACACATAAGGTAATATAAATCATGTCAATTTAATTTTTTTCACTGACATACTGCTATGTCAAAAAAAAACCCAAATATTTTTCTAAGTCACTAATACAGAAAACATTGTCTCATATTGGGAATACACTTGAAGAATCATGGAGCACCTGGTAAAAAAGAAGTAGTCGACTTTACAATAGAAAGTCTTGTATTCTCCTGGTAAATGCACAATTGTTATTCCAGCTTTGGCAATAGCAAGTATGCACTTCTGTTAAAGTTACCAAGTTACTTGCTCCCCAGTTTCTATGGTAACCTCTTTTTGTGGGGGTATATGTGTAAAAACATCATAAAATTAAGAATGGGGTTTCTTCCAGAAGTTCCACAGCATAGGGCTGAGAGGTAAGCGGTCTGTGTTTGAATTGACCTTAAAATGGATTGACACTTCTGGCCCCTTAGTAAGAATCGTAATATAATGTTCCTCCACTGAACTAAAAGATGATGTGGAAATGAGAAGAAACAGTCAATAAAGGATTTAACTACTTCAAAAAGGGAAACATAGAGCTTAAAACTGAGCATACTAATGGTCTAGAGCTGAAGAGCTGTGAAAGTCATTCACTCACAATGTGTCTTTTGTCTGCCCCTAGAAAGGAATGCATAGGTTACACACATAGACTCCCTTTTCTATGGTAACAGCAACTTTCCCCAGGGCAACAGGAAATAGGAAGGGAAAATATTTTTGCAGGCCTGACATTGGAGTTAAGTAGATGAAGTTTTTGGTAAATAACCAGGCTTCACCAGACTCTTAATCTCCCTTCACCAAGGACACTCTGCCCTCCTGCTCTTTCCTTTGTGTATTCAGTCAAAGCTTACTTGTAACAATCTGTCATAAATGTCCTTAGAAATATAAATGCTTGATTACAGGTTGTTACTTTAGGTATTTATTCACAATGGGGAATATGCTCATAACCACAAGGAAGGATGCTCCACAGGTAACACTTAAGGCATAAAACAGGTTAGTAAGGGAGATAGCAGGGTAAAGGGAATCCTGTGGTGAGCCTGGAATTAGGCTCCTAAAGCTGCCTTCTTTTAAAGCCATAAAGTTAATCCTATCCAGAAATACTTTTTTTTTCTATTTTTAATTGTGATAAAAAATCCAACATAACATTTACAGTCTTAACTATTTTTAGGTATAGCATTCAATAGTGTTCATTATGTTCACATTGTTGTGCAATGGATCTCCAGAATGTTTTCATCTTGCAAAACTGAAACTCTATATCCATTAAACAACAACCCCCCCATTTCCTGGTTCTCCCAGTCCCTGGTAACCATGATCCATTGTTTGTCTCTATGAATTTTTTTTTTAATAGAGACAGGGTCTCTCTATTGCCCAGGCTGATCTTGAACCCCTGGGCTCAAGTGATTCTTTCACCTTGGCCTCCCAAAGTGCTGGGATTACAGGTGTGAGCCACTCCACCCAGCCTGTCTCTATGAGCTTGACTGCTTTAGATATCTCATACAAGTAAAACCATGTGGTATGGTCTTTTTGTGACTAGTTTATTTCACTTAGTGTAATGTCCTCAAAGTTCATCCATGTTGTAGTGTGTGACATGATTTCTTTCCTTTTTAAGACTGAATAATATTCCATCATATGGATATACCACATTTTGTTTATCCCTTCATTCACTGATGGACATTTGAGTTGCTTCCACCTCTTGGTGGAAGCTGCTATAAACATGAGTGTTCAAATACCTCTTTGAGATCTTGCTTCCAATTCTTTTGTATATGTACACAGACAGGGATTGCTGGATCACATGGTAATTCTATGTTTTTATTTTTTGAGAAACTGCCATACTCTTTTCCATAGTGGCTGCATGATTTTGCATTCCCATCAACTGTGTGCAAGGATTCCAATTTCTCCACATCCCTTCTAACGCTCGTTTTTGTTTTTGTTTTGGTGGTAGCCATCCTAATGTATGTGAAATAATATTTCATTGTGGTTTTGAATATTTATATTAATTAATACTACATTTTTTACTAGACCATCTAATTTATAAAAATAGCTTACAATCTAACTAAATTATATCCCTGCAAATATTATAATACTTGGCAAACAATGATGCAAAAGAATGAAAAGCATAGTGATTCTCCAAGACTCATGGGAAATTAGTAATAAATTGGGAGTTAAACTTGTAGCTATGAAGGCCCGTGCCATTTATGTAATCCCTGGAAACACAGATATACTTCTGACTTCCATGTTCTGTTATTATTTCTCTATGCTAAAATATGTTTTTTATACTACCCAATATGGATGCTACCCAATTTTGATGAAGAAGATAGTCATGTGGTATATTTCTGCATGTTAACATAAAAAGGACTCTGAGAGGTACTTTAATGAAAATAAAAATGAAGAGAAAATTATTTCTGATTAATAGTAACCATCTTATGACACAACGTCTTGAGAGTTTCAAGAAAACATTGAAGCACGTTAAGTCTGAGGCAAGAAAAGGAAATCTACTGAAATAATGTAAGAAATTTCAAAGTAATTTCATGAATTTCACAAAAGATGTACCTTTCTATTTAAAAGAGTTACCTTAATGCTCTGTGTACAATACTAGATTACAATTATATAATAAAATCCAAAAGTACCAAAATTCAGTCAACAACCATTCATTCAAATGTGTTAAAGTATAATTTTCACAAAAGTAAAATTATTTCTCTCATACAAATATAATATAAACAAGTGTAAAAAATGTTATTGAACTCACATGTGTGAGGGAACCAGTGAGGTATTAAAACCAGTTCAAGAAGCAATTGAGAAACTATTATGCATGCATGTATGCACTTGTGTGCACACACACACACAGACATATTCAGTTAAGATAGTTGGGTAAGATACAAAACTGGTAATGTCTTATAGGGCAATAATATTTAGAATTATCTGTTACTCTGTACAGAAATTATTTCCATTTCTACTGAACAGAAGTCTATAAACTGATACCTAGAAATGCAGATGAATAATGTACAGTAATCTAAGTAGGTATCTTCTTCTGTATCAGTGATTCTGAAATTATAATTCCTGGATTAGAAATTCCTGAATCTGTCTCACCTGGAAATTTGTTAGAAATTAATATTCTCAGGCCCTTTTGCCAGATTTACAGAATCAGGAGCTCTGAGTGGGACCCAACAACCTATGATTTAGTAAGTTATTTAGATGATTTTGAATGCACACTGAAGTTTCAGACCCACTTCCCTAGATAATAATTAGGTTGCTGTCACCCTAGTATGACATTGAAGGGATATGGTACCCAACTTTTTGCCACACTTTCAAATTTTGCCTATTTTTTTCATAGCAAGTAAAAATGTTAATATTTTGTACTCTTGATTTTGCCCAGGTTTTGCAAATGCCTCATAATGTCACTTCTACATTTAGGGTCATCTGTCCCTGACATCACAGGAACCTTTATTGGATGAGTCCCAGATATTTTAAAAGGAAAATGCTAATGTTATATTTTCATAAAATAATTTTATGCATATTATTTTCATACAATTTATGGGGAAATTCGAGACATGTGGGTTGTAAGCCAAATTATAATGGAGTCCACTAAACTCTATATTTGCCATGTTAGGCTTCGGAAGACTTAGAAGAGATTTCATAAGGCGTGAACACATATTTCTTCTGCATAATAAATGTTACTGTTGAGTAAATAGTTAACATTGATTCTTTTGTTGCACATCCTAACAAAATTATGGTTAAGGTGTGCTAACACGACTAATTTCTAATCTCAGCTTTTACAACTTTGTTCTGCCTTTATACAGTACTGCCAAACTACAGTCTGAGGAGAAGGAGAACTTCTAGCAGTAAAATGTCCTATTTCACACTGGTTCTCATGAGTCATCTCAATAATATGTTGTTTTCAAGGTCAACAGCTGGCAGGAAACAGCACAGAAGAAATAATACATGCAGTTTTAAACTTGCATTCTATACAATGGTATACACACAGAAATCTTTATGCAATCAGTATACATAAGGCTGTTTATGCTTTTTAAATTTTTGCTTCTTAAATTTGCTGCTCTTTGTGACTACTTCTCTTGGTAGCCGTGGGCATGGTATAATATTTGTCTAGCAAACCGAAAAAAAAAAGCAAATACATTTATTTTTAAAAGTCCTCCTTCAAGTTACGTACATGTTTATTGTAGAAAATTTAGAAAACACAATCTAAAAGCAAAAATATCAACATCGCTCTAAATTCTACCTTCTGGAATAACCACATTAATATTTTTATCTTCATATGAAAATATATGTTTATGTTAATGTATGTTTTAATGTTAATGAACATATATCTCATTCAGAAAAGGGCTAAGAAAACAATTTCTAAGCAGAAGTACTGAAATGAATTGTACAAACATCACATAATAATTTGCATTTTTAAAGTATCATGGTAAAAATGCCTATGCCTAAGGATTCATTTGCACAAACACAGATTCCAAATATACCAATGAAAAAGCTGAGTTTTTGATCACAGCAATGCATCATTGTTTATTTTATTTAGTCTCAGCTAGCCTGAAAATTACCATTTTACCCAGTGGATTATTCACCCATTGTGTGGTAGAAAAAGACAAATGTTGTCACCAAACAAGATGATACAGTATTTCCTTTTATTCATAAAATCACCTTGAAAAACAGAAGTGATTCATGAATAAAAAAATCTATAGCAGCACTGGAGACAAAGCAGTGTCATTATTATACTTAAAATTGGAGAAATTTCTTAAAAACATACAGTAGTTAGCAGGATTAGTGCTAGAAACCATAGTGAAATGCAAAGCATTGAGTCAGCAGGGTTAGTAATGGGAGCTGGTCATGGGTCAAATAGTGAGTCAATTCACTGAAGAATTGTGCAACAGTTGGGCCAGTCCCAACTTGACTATTCTTTAGCCTGCAGGCTAAATCATGTTAGAAGAATTAAATAAAGTAGAATTTTTGACTCAGAAAATGAAGCCTTAGCATGAACTCCTGAACTGGAGTAAGGCAAAAAGGTAAAATTTGACCGTTAGAATGGACATCAAGAAAATGACAAGGACATTGCAGCTCCATGCTAAGAGTTGGGCCACACTCACACTTTTCTTATTTCACCATTTGAGGAAAGTCTGTAGATTATCTCTTTGCTTTTTATCTATGGGCCTTTCAAAAACAGCTGCCCTTTTTTTTCCTGGCAAGAAGCATTCCTGTAAGTTTTTCCCTGTCACACTTATGGAGCTCTAAAGTTACAACTCTCTTTCAAGGGGTAGTTCTCTATAGTAAAGAAGGCTTGAAAATGGCCAGGGAGCCCCATGACACCCACAATGGTGAGGCAAGTCTTTCATTTATAAATGTGAATACAAAATTTGCCAGACATTTTGAGGAAAACCAAGAGCAAATTTTAGTGAGGGACACTAAAATGAATACAAAAATACAGAGAAAAAAGAAACATATTCCTTAAATAATTTGTAATTAATACTTCCAAATAGATTTGAAAGGTTATTGCATACAAAAAATGGAACTATCAGAAAAAGAGAGCATTCTTAGAAATCAAAAACATGACACAAGGATATTTTTGAAAAAGAACTCAATGGTTGGACTGAAGATAAATGACGTATTTGTAGAATGACTTAATGACTGGAAGACAAAGTAGAAAGAAATTAACTGTTTTAGGAACTAAGCAAGGAGGTGAAAAATAGGAGAAAAAGTAGTTAAGAAAAATATGTAGTAGATTTTGTGTTCTTTGTGGCTGCTCAGCAATTTTGAACATCCTTACTATGTTTGAAAAATTTCTCATGAGTCTCACCAAGATAAAGGCCAGAAAGTTGTCTTCCCCATCTCTCTTGCTATTTAAAGGTAAATTTGATTAGTTAAAAATTAATATTGAAAACTCTAGGGCAGTCCTTACTCAATTATTTTTACAAAGAAGTATAATTAATATGCTAAAGGATGAGATAATGGAGAATTATAAAATGCTCAATTAAAACCAGGCAAGACAGAAAAAGAGGGAAGAGAAAGGAACAAAAAATAAGTGGAATAAATAGAAAACAATTATAAACAAGGTAGATGTTAGCCAAACTATATCAGTAACCATTTAAAATGTGAATGGTCTAAATGCACCAATTAAAAGACAGATATGTCAGAGCGGATAAAATATCAAAACCCAACTAAACACTGCTTACCAGAAAGCCACCTTAAATATGAAGACACAGAGTAAAACTAAAATAATAAGAAAGATGGACTATGCTAACACTAATAAAAAGAAAAGAAAGCGGCACTTTAGGAGGGCCAAGGTGGGAGGATTCCTTGAGCCCAGAAGTGCAAGACCAGCTTGGGGAACATAGGGAGACCATGTCTCTGTAAAATATTTGAAAATCAGCCAGGCATATTGGTGTGTGCCTGTGGTCCCAGCTACTTAGGAGGCTGAAGTGGGAGGATCACTTAAGCTCAGAAAGTTGAGGCTACCGTGAGCCATGATTGTGCCACTGTACTGCAGACAATAAGACTCTGTCTAAAAAAAAATTAAAAAGCCTTTTGGCTCTGACCAGCACCATGGCAGTTGGCAAGAACAAGTGCTTTATGAAAGGCAGCAAAAAGGGAGCCAAGAAGAAAGTGATTGATCAATTTTCTAAGAAAGATTGGTATGATGTGAAAGCACTTGCTATGTTCAATATAAGAAATATTGGAAAGACGCCATCACCAGGACCCAAGGAACCAAAATTGCATCTGATGGTCTCAAGGGTCATGTGTTTGAAGTGAGTCTTGCTGATTTGCAGAATGATGAAGTTGCATTTAGAAAATTCAAGCTGATTACTGAAGATGTTCGGGGCAAAAACTGCCTGACTAACTTTCATGGCATGGATCTTACCCATGACAAAATGTGTTCCATGGTCAAAAAATGGCAGACAAGATTGAAGCTCACATTGATGTCAAGACTACCGATGGTTACTTGCTTCATCTGTTCTGTGTTGGTTTTACTAAAAAACACAACAATCAGATACAGAAGACCTCTTATGCTCAGCACCAACAGGTCCGCCAAATCCAAAAGAAGATGATGGAAATCATGACCTGAGAGGTGCAGACAAATGACTTGAAAGAAGTCGTCAACAAATTGATTCCAGACAGCATTGGAAAAGACATAGAAAAGGCTTGCCAATCTATTTATCCTCTCCATGATGTCTTCGTTAGAAAAGTAAAAATGCTGAAGAAGCCCAAGTTTGAATTGGGAAAGCTCATGGAGCTTCATGGTGACAGCAGTAGTTCTGGAAAAGCCATTGGGGATGAGACAGGTGCTAAAGTTGAACGAGCTGAGGGATATGAACCACCAGTCCAAGAATCTGTTTAAAGTTCAGACTTCAAATGGTGGCAAATAAAAAGTGCTATTTGTGAAAAAAAAAAAAAAAAAAAGAAGAAAGAAAGAAAAAAGGAAAAAGCTAGAGTAGTTATTTTGATTTCAGGAAAAAAGTAACCTTCAGAAAAAAATTATTAGGAATAAAGGCATGCATTATGCAATGGTAAAGGCATCAATTCTCTAAAAATACATAACAATCAGTGTGTGTGCAGCTAACTAAGAACAGACCATCAAAGTACATTAGGCAAAAACTGATAGAACTGTAAAAAGAAATAGATAGATCCACTATTAGATGTGGAGAATTCATCTGTTAGCAGAAGGTTAATAATGCATAGATCAAGCAGGTTGAAAATTAGTAAGACTATAATTGACCAGAATAGCACTATCAATCAATGTGATCTAACTGACAATTACAGGATACTCTATCCAATAACAGCTAAATATACATTCTTCTCAAGTTCACATAGAACATTTGCCAAGGTGGACCACAATCTGGGTCATAAAACACCACCTTAAAAACTTGCAAAGAATAGAAATCATACAAAATATGCTCTCAGACCATGATAGAATTCAACTAGATCAGTAAAAGAAAAATAACTGGAGAATTCCCAAATGTTTGGAGATTAAACAACACCCATCTAAATAACACATGATTGGCCAAGGCGGGCAGATCGAGGTCGGGAGATTGAGACCATCCTGGCTAACATGGCGAAACCCTGTCTCTACTAAAAATACAAAAACTTAGCCAGTCGTGGTGGCACGCACTTGTAGTCCCAGCTACTCAGGAGGCTGAGGCAGGAGAATCCCTTAAACCCAGGAGGCAGAGGTTGCAGTGAGCTGAGATCGTACCACTGCATTCCAGCCTGGGCGACAGAGCGAGACTCCATCTCTAAATAAATAAATAAATAAATAAGTAACAAATGAATAAGAAAGAAACTTCAATAAAAATTATAAAATTATTTATAACTAAATGAAATGAAATGAAAATGAAAATTTTTCAAATTTGTGGAATGCAGAAAAAACAGTGTTTAGAAGGAAATTTAAAATTAAATGCCTTTATTAGAAAAGAAGAAAACCTAAAATCAATAATCCGAGCTCAGGAAACTAGACAAAGGAGAGCAATTTATACCTAAAGAAATCAGAAGAAAATAAATACTAAAACTGAAAGCAGAAAGTAATGACATTGAAAAGAATAAAGTAGTAGAAAAAATCAGTAAAGCCAAAAGCTCTTTAAAAAAAAAAAAATTGGTAAATTTGATAAACTTCTAACCAAGATAACCAAGAAAAAAGACACAAGTTACCAATATCCGACATAAAAACAGGGCCATCACTACTGATTATTATCAGTACTGGGCCAATTCCCTGAAAGACACAAACTCCCAAAACTCACACAAGGAGAAATAAATAAACTAAATGAGTGTACGTCTATTAAGAAAATTAATTAATCATTAATAACCTTCCAAAACAGAACACATCAGTTCCAGATGATTTCACCAGTGAATCTTATGGAACAATTAAAGAAGAAATTATATGAATTTTCTACAATCTCTTCCAGAAAATAGAACCAGAGGAACACATTCTAACTCATTGTATGAGGCCAGCATTATCCTAATACCTAAACCAAATAAAAATATTATAAAAGATAGCTTTCAGTAAAAAACTACAAATCACAATCTCTCACTACAGAGATGACAAATTCTCAAAACCAAATCAGCAAATTGAAAAAAAATCTATGAGAATAATTGTAAAACACAGCCAAGTAGGATTTATTCCAGTTCTGCGCACTGATTCAACATTCAAAAACTGATTAATATAATCAGCCATCAGTAGCTAAAGAAGAAAAATTTCTTGATCATGTCAATTGAGGCAGAAAAATCGCTTGACAAAATTTATTACCTATTCATGATAAAATCTGTCAACAAAGTAGGAATAGAGGGGGAACTTCCTAGATTTAATAAAGAATGTCCACAAAAACCTACAGCTAACATCATACTTAATGGTGAGACACTGGATGCTTTCCCACAAAGATCCAGAACAGGAAAGAATGTTTCCTCTCACCAGTCCTATTCAATGTCATACTGTAAGTCTTAGTGAAATAAGACAAGAAAAGGAGGGCTTCAAAGTGGATTACTGGAGGCATCTGGTACTTGCTTCCTCCACAAAGAAAACAAAAATAGTGAGTAGATAATCACGCTTTGAGTAGATCATCTGCAGAGAAGTGACAGGAAACATCTAACACAAGAAGAGAGGGAAGTGAGGCAGTCTGTTTGGCCAGGATCATCTGGGAGCCCGGAGAGGCTCCTTAACACACAGAAAACGTAAGTGAGAGATCCTTAATGGCATCTTGTGAGACCCAGCATGAACTCCCACTCTGGAGAAATACCTTTGCACAGTCTCCGTGCAGTTCCTTGTTAGTCTTGGGGCCCTTGAGGGTCTAGGGGTTCTCCTTAAAGGGCCCTATTAGGATTGTAGGAGTCTGTGATGGAAATTTGGACCATTAAGCATCATATTATCAACATCATTTTTCACATAATTAGAAAAAAAATCCTAAAATTCATATGGAAACAAAAGGATCCTGAGCAGCCAAAACAATTCTAAACAAAAAGAACAAAGCTAGAGACATTACATTATCTGACTTCAAATTACACTGCAAGGCTATAGTAACCAAACATCATGGTACTGGTATAAATATGGACATGTAGATCAATGGAACAGAATAGAGAACCCAGAATTAAAGTCACATACCTACAACCAACTGATGTTTGACACAGCCAACAAAAATATACACTGGGGAAAGGACCTTATTCAATAAATGGTGCTGAGAAAATTAGATAGCCATATGCAGAAAAATGAAACTGGACACCTGTCACTCACCATATCCAAAAATTAACTCAAGATGGATTAAATATGTAAATGTAAGACAAGAAACTATAAAACTACTAGAAGAAAACATAGGGGAAACACTTCAGGACATTAATCTAGGCAAAGATTTTATAGCTAAAACCTCAAAAACAAAGGCAACAGAAACAAAAATAGGCAAATGGGATTATATTAAACTTAAAAGTTTCTGCACAGCAAAGGAAACAATTAACAGAGTGAAGAGACAACCTGTTGAATGGGAGAACATATTTTCAAACTATTCATCTGACAAGGGACTAATGCCCAGAAAATACACGGAACTCAGACAACTCAACAGGAAAAGAAACAATTCCATTAAAAAGTGCGCAAAGAACACAAATAGACATTTATCAAAAGAAGGCATAGAAATGGCCAATAGGTATATGAAAAAAGCTCAACATCACTAATCATCAGGGAAATGCAAATCATAACCACAATAAGACCTCATCTTACCCCAGTTAAAATGGCGATTAGTAAAAAGACAAAGAAAGTACAGATGCTGGAGAGGAGGCAGAGAAAAGGGATCTCTTATACACTGTTGATAGGAATGTAAATTAGTACAGCCACTATGGAAAACAGTATTGAGATTTCTCAAAAAAAAATAAAAAATAAAAGTATCATATAATCCAGCAATCCCACTACTAGGTATTTATCCAAAGGAAAGACTCTCAGTATATCAAAGGGATATCTGCACTCTCATGTTTATTACACCACTATTCACAATAGTGAAAATACGGAATCAACCTAAGTGCCCATCAACAGATGAATGGATGAGGAAAATATGGTATATATACACAATAGAATGTTATTTGGCTATAAAGAATAAAATCCTGTCATTTGCAGCAACATGGATGAAACTGAAGTTTATTACATTAAGTGAAATAAGTCAGGCACAAATGGATAAATATTGCATATTCTTTATCATATGTGGGAGCTAAAAATGTTGATCTCATGGAGGTAGACAGTAGAATGATAGATACCAAAGGATGGGAAGTTTTCCTGGGTTGGAGGTTGGAATAAAGAGAACTTGCTTAACGAGTACAAACATACAATTATACAGATAGAATAAGTTCTAATGTTTGATAGCAGAGTAGGATGATTATAGTTGACAGCCGTGTGTTGTATATTTCAAAATAGCTATAAGAGAGGCCTTGAAACATTCCCAACACATAGAAATAAATACTTGAAGTAATGGACACCCCAAATACCATGACCTGATCATTGCACGGTCTATGTATGTAATAAAATATCACATATATCCCATGAAAATGTACAGATATTATGTGTCAATAAGAAAATAAAAAAGGAAATAAGCAGTATACAGATTGCGAGGGAAGAAAAGAACCTCTCTGTTTGCAGATAACTTGATTGGCTATATAGAATATCCAAAGAATCAACGTAAAACACCTGAAACTAATAAGCATATATAGCAAGACTATAGGATACAAGATTAATACACAATAATCTTATAAATTTGATTGTTTTTATTAATACCAGCAACAAATAATTACAATTGAAATTTAAAGTGATACAACTTAAAATAGCACCTCCCAAATGAAATACTTGGGTATAAATCTAACAAATTTTGTACAAGATCTATATGCAGAAAAATTCTGATGAATGAGATCAAAGAATATCTAAATGAATGAAGAGATATTCCAAGTTCATGAATTAAAAGATTTAATTTTGTTAAGATTTCTATTCTTCCCAACTTGATCTATGACTTAACACAATCCCAACCTAATGGTAGCAAGTCACTTTGTAGGTATTGACAAAATGATCCTGAAGTTTTTGTCAAAAGGCAACAGACCTTAAACAGAAAACACAATTCTGAAGAAAAAGAACAGAGTTAGAGGTCTAACACTGTTTGATTTTAGGACTTAGTATAAATTTCAGTGATCAGAATAGTGTGATGTTGGTAAAATAATAGACATATAGTTCAGTGAAACAGAATAGGGAATTCAGAACTAGATCCAGAAAATATTGTCAATTGGTTCGACAAAGTTGCAAGGGAGCAAAGGCAATACAATGTAGAAAGAGTAGTTTTTTCAATAAATGTTGACTGAGCAACTGGACATTCACATGCAAAAAAATGAATCTAGACATTGATCTTTTACAAAATGTTTCTGTTTTCAAAAATTCAGAATAGATCACAGATCTCAAAATAAAATACAAAACTATAAAACTAGAAAAAAGTATAGGCAACCTTCTGATGGCAATGAGCTTGTAGTTACATCATCAAAAGCATAATTTATGAAAATATAATTAATAAGCCTTATTGTCATCAAGATAGACTAACTTTGGAGGACTTTTAAAGTGTTCCCAGGTATATTCAGATTTTTTTGAGAACATTTTATCAATGATATTGTATCTTGGGAGAGTTCCTCTTCCAGAATTAAAAAATTTGCCAGGATGTACCTCAAATCTCTTCTTCCATATCAGCAGCTTATCCAAGAAAACGTGTAACTTTTTCTGTAGCAATCATGTTAATTATTTAGGATCTTTCATTGAAAGACTTAATTATTTCATGTTTTAAAATATGTGCAAGCAGAACTCACACTGTCATAAAATAATTTCTTTCATAGTCTTTGCTATAGTCTAAATGTCAGTGTCTCCCCCAGATTCATACATTGAAAAATATACCCCAAAAGCAATGGTATTGACAGGTGGGACCTTTAGGAGGTGATTAGGTCATGAGGGCTCTGCTTTCATGAATAGGATTAATATTCTTAAGAAGGAAGATTGAGGGAGCCTGTTTGCCTTTCTGCTATATGAGGACACAGCTAGAAGATGCTAAATTTGAAGAAAGGAATGAGCCCTCACCAGACACTGAATCTGCTGGTACCTGGATCTTGGACTTCCTAGCCTCCAGAACTGTGAGCAATAAATTTATGCTGCTTATAAATTACCCAGTCTAAGGTATTTTGTTATAGTAGCTCAAAAAACCTAAGATAAAAATTGGTAATGAGAGTGGGGGCTGCTTTAACAAATATCTGAAAACGTAGAAGCAGCTTTGGAATTGGGTGATAGGTAGCAGCTAGAAGGGCTTTGAAGTACATTCCCATGAATGGACCATAAAACTTGATACTTGTGAGAACCAGGAAAAAGAGAAGAGCTGTAGGGAAGCCTCAGCCTTCTAGTGATTGCCTAAGTGGTAGCCGTTAGAATGTTGGTAGAGATACGAACAGTAAAGGCCATTCTAATGAGGTCTCAGACACAAATGAGGAACATGTCATTCAAAACTGGAGGAAAGGCAATCCTTGTTATAAAGTGGTAATTTGGCTGAACTGTGTTCATGTCCTAGGGTCCTAGTGTTTTGTGGAAGGTACAACTTGTGAGTAATGAAATAAGATATTTGGTGAAAGAAATATCTAAGCCAAGTGTTGAAGGTGTGGCATATCTTTTCTTAACTGCTTATAGTAAAGTGTAGGAAGAGAGAAATGAGTTCAAGATAGAATTTATAATAAAAATGGAAGCAGAACTTCCATTTTTCAAGATTAGGAAAATTCTAAGCATGGTAGTAAAGAATGAAAAAGCAAGTTTTGGAGAGAACACCAATGTTGTGGCCAAGTGACTGTTAAATAAGAAGATTAGCATGGCTAGAAGCCAGGTGCTATTCATTAAGACAATGGAGGAATGACACCAAAGTCATTGTGGAGATCTTCAGGGCTGCCCCACCTATCATAGGCCCAGAATTCAGAAGCTTGAGGAGAGAACAATTTTAAGGCTCCACTCACTCATTCATGTGCAGTGGTCCTTGGTCATCCCA
Organism: Homo sapiens; assembly: GCF_000001405.40. Lineage (NCBI taxonomy): Eukaryota > Metazoa > Chordata > Mammalia > Primates > Hominidae > Homo > Homo sapiens. Next base: position 94,688,351 of record NC_000007.14, on the reverse strand, counting down.
GCTGTGGCTTAACCACGCCCAGGTATAACTTTGGCGGGCCCTCCAGAAGGCACAGGTGGTAAACCATGTGGCAGTATCTGCACAATGCCACCTCCACAGGTCCACAGAGTTCATGAACTGTGTGGCTGTGGCTATCTCCAGCTAGATTTCAAACGATGCTCTGGAAAGCCTCTGTGTCCAGACAGAGAACTGCCACAGAGGTGGGGCCACTGCAGAGAGCCCCCATGAGGGCAATGCCCAGCAGAGGCATAGGTTGGGGTCATCACAGAGAGCATCACAACGTTTAGTGTTGTTGTGGGAGTAGGCTCTGAGACTCCAGAATGATGCAACTCCAGCCTGGGAGAGCTGCAGGCATGTGATTCCAATGTATGAGAGGTGCTGTGTGGCATGCACCCAGCCAAGCCTTGGGGATGGGGCTGCCTAATCCTCAAAGGCCCCACTCCCAAGGCTTAGTTGTGCCCCAGTGTGTATAGAAGGCAGGTCATCAAGTCAAAGGATATTATTCTCAAGCCTTAAGATTTAATGTTATTAGCCTTGTTGGGTTTTGGACTTTGAATCAATTACTCTTTCGTTCCTTTCTAGTTCTCTCTTTTGGAATGAGAATGTCAATCTTATGCCTACCCCAACGTTGTATTTTGGAAGGACATGACTTGTTTGATTTCATAGGCTCACAGCTGGAGAGAAATTTGCCTCAGGATGAATCACACATTTGAGTCTCAACAATTTCTGATCTTGATGACATTTAGATGAGACTCTGGACTTCAGGCTTTTGAGTTGGTGCTGGAGCAAGGTAAGACTTTGGGGACTATTAGAATGGAATCAATGCATTTTGCATGTGACAAGAACATGAATTTGGGGGGATCAGGGTGAAATGCTATGATCTCAATATGGTTTTACCACCAAAATTCATATGTTGAAATCTAACCTCCAGTGCAACAGGTATTGAGAGATGAGGCTTTTAGGAGGCAAACTGGGGCTCTTTGGGAAGTGGAGACCTCATAAATTAGATTAGTGCTTTTATAAAGGCTTGAGGGAGCCTGTTTGCCCTTCTGCCATATGAGGACACAGCTAGAAAGGGCCGTCTTTGAAGCAGAGACTGGATACTTACCAGACACCAAATCTGCTTATTTTATCTTGAATTTATCTTAAACTTGAAATCTTCTGGTTTTATCTCGAACTACAGCATCCAGAATTGTAACCAACAAATTTATGTTGTTTATAAATTACCCAGTCTAAGGTATTTTGTTATAGTAGCTCAAACTGGACAAAGACAATGTTCAAAAAGTATTTTTTGTTGTTATTGTTTCATAAAATGTACAACTTACGCCTCAACAAGCATAGCAAGATTTATTCTCTTAAAAGCCAGCAAACTTCTCTTTGGTGGTGATCATATCCTTTTCCCATTCCTTGACAAAAATTTTTAAATGTAATGATTCACATACCTTTTTCTGATAAAGTTAATGAGTTTTATGGCTGTTGACAAAACTTATTTTAAGACTGTAGGAAGCGTTTTGTTGTGAGTACAGGAATGTGTTAAATGATGATGCCAAAGCACTTTCTTTTCCCTAGAAGTAGTAAAAACTAGAGACATTATCAAACATTATAGGAGCTCCATCTGAGCAAAGAATATAAACCTTACTTCCTGATATAATTACTTTGGCCAAAATATGATGTGCTAAGTTTATTAATTGCAATAATTTCTAAGTAATAATGACTAAAAACAATATTTTTAGATATCTGTAATTGTAATTTGATATAAAAATCTCTAATTTCTATTGGTAGCCAAGTCAGGGATACTGCTATTGCTACCATAGTTTGTTTCCTATATTCATCATTGAAGGAAAGTATAAATATCAATTAGATGTTAGTGAAAATAAAAGATAATACTTTTCCATTCAGATTCACAGATTTGCCCTGAATCTGTGGATCTCTTGGGGAACCCATGGATGTTACTGGTCTGCTCAGTAAATTATGATAGAAAAATGATTAACAGCATAAAATAAATGATTCTTAAGTAACATCATAATTTTAAAAGGTTCTAGAATGGTCAAAAGTATCAATATTTTTAAAAGTTGCAAAATAAATAGAGAAACATATTGAAATATATTTTAATTTTGGAATGGGACAGAACTTATCAGAGCTTGTTATATAGCATAGAGACCATCAATAACTGGAAAAATGTGTGACCATAAAATAAGCTATTCAAAGAAGAAATACAAAAAGCCAATAATATGAGCAGCTCAAACTCTCCAATAATTAAAAAAATTAAAACAGCAATCATATTATATTTTGTCTACTGAATTGGTAAAAATAAATCACACTGATAATATCCAGCATTTTTAAGCAAAAGTTTCTGTCTTTAAAAAAAACTTTATTTTATTTTAAGTTCCTGATACATATGCAGGACATGCAGGTTTTTTTACATAGGTAAATATGTGCCATGGTGGTTTGTGGCACCTATCAACATATCAACTAGGTATTAAGCCCCACATGCATTAGCTATTTATCCAGATACTCTCCCTCCATCCGCCCCCTCAACAGGCCCCAGTGTGTGTTCATGTGTCCGTTTGTTCTCATTATTCAACTCCCACTTATAAGTGAGAACATGCAGTGTTTGGTTTTCTGTTCCTGTGTTAGTCTGCTGAGGATAATGGCTTCCGTTCCATCCATGTGTCTGCAAAGGACATGATCTCTTTCCTTTTGATGGCTGCAATAATATCCAGCATTTTTGAAGATAAAATAAATCTTCCACTTTCTCATACTATTGTTGGGGTTGCAAATTTTTATGACCTCTTGAGGGTGAGAGGACTAAGGAAAGGGTATCATCAATTTCAAATGTGTGTACTTTTTGAAACAATTAATACCCATTTTAAGAACCGCCCACCAGGGGCAGGTCAGTGGGAAGATCTGCCCAGGATATAGGTAATCAAGGAGTTGGTAGAGAGTTAAAAAAAATAAGATTAAAACCAACCAAAAGTTATTCTTCTTTGTATTACCACTATGCACCAGCAATTCTAAGCAATTTCAGTAATAAAACACTTCTCCCAGTTAGGGCTGACTGCTCATTGTCACTCCCTCAACCCACCCCTTGATTGCTACTTTAAGATTTAATCCTACAGAATTACTAGTTCAATGCAGCATTATTTATAATAATAAAATAGGCATGTGGCCGGGCACGGTGGCTCATGCCTGTAATCCCAGCACTTTGGGAGGCCAAGGCGGTTGGATGACTTGAAGTCAGGAGTTCGAGACCAGCATGGCCAATATGGTGAAACCCTGTCTCTACTAAAAATACAAAAATTAGCTGAGTGTAGTGTTGTGTGCCTGTAGTTCTAGCTACTCGGGTGGTTGAGGCAGGAGGATCACCTGAGCCCAGGAGGCGGAGTTTGCAATAAGCTGAGATAGCACCACTGCACTCTAGCCTGGGCAACAGAGCAAGACCCTGTCTCAAGAAAAAAAAAGGCACCAATTTAAATACAATGGTAAAATAAATTAGACACCTATTGTTCAAAGTCATTCAGCTCTTAAATCAGATGGAATTCTAATAGAAAGTGGTCCTGACCTATTCCATCTCTACTAAAAATGCAAAAATTAGCCAGTTGTGGTGGCGCACACCTGTAGTCCCAGCTACTTGGGAGGCTGAGGCAGGAGAATCGCTTGAACCCAGGAGACGAAGGCTGCAGGGAGCCAAGATCGTGTAACTGCACTCCAGCCTGGACAACAGAGTGAGACTCTGCCTCAAAAAAAAAAAAAATAATAAAATAAAAAGAAAAATGAAAAGAAAGACAAGTTATATGATCTTACTAAATTTAAAAAGTATGTGTATATGCATGTGATATGTGTTTGTGAGTATATATGTATGCTTAGAAAATTCAGAAAGCAACTATTGTTACTCCTAGGGGCAAGCCTTGCAGAAGAACAAAAGGAAGAATGTATTACTTTTGTATTACTTAGAGAAAAATCCACTGAAATTTTAAAAGAAAGAAAAGAAGGAAAGAAGTAAGAAGGGAGAGAGGAAGGGGGGAAGAAGGGAAAAAGAAATAGTATTCAAATACTATGTGATTCATATCTATGCTCTGTTATTAACCATGAGTCTAAATTTTCTTCAGCTACAAAACACGGCTGGGTGTGGTGGCTCATGCCTGTAGTCCCAGCACTTTGGGAGGCCGAGGCAGGCAGATCATGAGGTCAGGAGATGGAGAACATCCTGGCCAACATGGTGAAACCCCGTCTCTACTAATATACAAAAAAAAAAAATTATCTGGGCATGGTGGCATGCACCTGTAGTCCCAGCTACTCCAGAGGCTGAGGCAGGGGAATCACTTGAACCCGGGAGGTGGAGGTTGCAGTAAGCTGAGATCACGCCACTGCACTCCAGCCTGGCGACAGAGCGAGACTCCATCTCAAAAAAGCAAAAACAAACGAGAAAAAAATAACAAAAAAAAACCCCTACAAAACACATATTCAAATAATTAAAGACAAAATCTTTTCAAATAGGACTTAAAGGCTTAAATGCAGACCACGAGGAATGATGATAGGATATGCTGAGGAAACTGATGAGATTCAGTTGGCTGTCATGAAGTTTTGTACAGAAGTGTGGGGAGAAAAGTGCGAATTAGGTAACGGAGAGTTTGAGTATAGGACCACTCCATGTCCATCACAGTCCATCTCTTGCATTTCTCAGATTCATTTCTTCACATACATTTTGGCAAGCAACTCTTTCAGGATTCATTCCAGCAGGCCTTCCTGCCTGGAGGGAACTTAAAAGAAGGTTAGTAAAATAAACTATGGCCCCTGCCTCTACAAATTTTCTCAGTAAATATGAATTTCTTTTGTCAACAGTGTAGCAGAGTATTATTTTTTAAATACTTACCAGTTTGTGTCTTCTTACCAATAAAATATTTCCTCCTTATCTACCATCTACCATTTAGGTAAAGCTCTGAATTAGATTTGGAAAAGAGGAGGATGTAGGGAAAATGAGAAGGGGAAGCAAAGATGAGCCTGCTCCTTGCAGGCAAGAAAGGGATACAGTGGTAGGGCGAGAACAGCAAGTGTTGAGATGTTTTGCTGTAACAGGACACCAAAGCAGAAATGTATGAATCACTGAGATGGAATACCATGTACCTGTTAAAATAGGTGGAGTGGAACTACAGGTACATTTTGCCATGATAATGCAAGCTGTGATATTATTCAAACAATACTTGGAACAGGTATAATATACTCTATCTTAATGTTGAATCTGTACATATGTAGTTATTCTATAGAAACATTCATGGAAATGATAAACATGACATTTAAAATCGTTGGCTCTACGAAACATAAAATCTGAGATTGAATTTAGTGTGCTTGGCATCAGCCCCTGTGGAAAGGAGGAGAAGGAAGTAGAGGACTGGGAAGAGGCAGAAGTCTAACTATGATGCAGCCCCAACTGTGGCTCATCATTTTACTTTCTTTAGGATATGTTTTGATTGAAGATTTTAATATAGTCATGGATCAATATTTTCTCTATTGTTAGCATTTTTATGTTTTAAGAATTTTTTCCCTATCCTGATATCATACAGATATTTTTTCATATTTTCTTCTAAAACTTTTAGAATTCTGAAGTTTGATTTTCAAATTAAAGGCATTTATTCACTTGAGTTTGACTTTTGTGTATAGCAGGAGGCAGAAACTCGGTTTTGATTTTTGCTTTTTTTCCTTATGAATAAGCAAATTTATCAACACCTATGTTAATTATCTATATAACAAATCACCCTAAAAATTAATGGTTTAGAACAACAATACTTATTTATCTCTCATGGTTGCTGTGGGTCAAAAGTGTTGAGAAAAGCTCCACTGAACATTTCTCACTTGAGGCCTTTCATGCAGTTTCAGTCGTATGTCTTTTGGGGCTGCATTAATCTGGAAACTTGTCTTACCTAGGGCTAGGACATCGACTTCAAAGGTATCTCATTCACATGGCTGGCAAAATGATGTTCGCTGTTACCAGGGGCCTTAGTTTCTCTTTGCATGAGCCTCTCAAAAGGGTTGCTTGATTGTCTTCATAGCATGAAGGCTGGATTCTCCCAAAGGAAACATTTCAGAGAGAAAGACAGAAGATAAAATGCCTTTTATGACCTAGCCTCAGAAGTCATGAACTGTCACTACCACTGTTATTTATTGGTTAAGGCAGTTACAAAGGTATGCTTAGTTTCAAGGGAAGGGAACACAGACTCCACTTCTCAGGGGGAGGTATGTTCGTGTCACAGTATGAGACGAGCATGTGGGCTGTGATATATATTTGGTGCAGTCATCTTTGAAAATAAAATCTGCCACAACACCCATTAAAAAGTCCATTCTTTCTCCACTCATCTTCAATGCCATCTTTTTCACACATTTTAAATTTCCATATATCCATACTTCTGCATTTCATTTCTCTATTGGTTTATGACTCCTTGCCTATCTGGCTGTAATAACATTTATCTTAATAATCTTAACAATATATCTATATTGTTGATATCTGCAAGATATACTCCTCAATTTTATACTTATAACTGAGGTGAATTTAATAGGTTTGGGACTCAGAATAGCATGTTCTAAATTCACTACTGCCATACAGTCAAGATCTAAATCAACACCATTTCCTCTTTTTGCTCATGATTCCCTTCATTCACCTTCCTTCCCTCAATACAAGTTGATATGGTTTGGCTCTGTGTCCTCACCCAAATCTCATTTTGAATTGTAATCATCCCCAAGTGTTGTAGGAGGGGCCACGTGGGAGGTAATTGAATCATGGGGGTGGTTTTTCCCATGCTGTTGTCATGATAGTGAATCAGTCTCATGAGATCTGATGGTTTTATAAAGGGGAGTCCACCTGCACGTGCCCTCTTGCCTGCCAACATGTAAGATGTCCCTTTGCTCTTTGTCTTCCACCATGATTATGAGGCCTCCCCAGCCATGTGGAACTGTGAGTCCATTAAACTTCTTCCCTTTATAAATTACCCAGTCTCTGGTATGTCTTCATTAACAGCATGAGAACAGACTAATACATAAGTAGGTCAAAAACAATGTGGATCTGGATTGTACTATGTTGTAGAAATTGAGTTGTCTATTCTAAATCATTGTTCTTTCCTTTTTCCTTAGGGATGGATCATAGATTTTAGCTGGGAAGAGAAACACTTAAAATGAAATGTTACATTTCCCATCCCGCTATACTCCCACTCATAAGTGAGTTCTCAGTAATGAAATCTAAGCAAAGAATGTTGGGTTTTAGCTTAAAGAGACCTGACTCAGCATAGCAGGACCCAGTTTGCTTTTTTGCCTTTACTGCTTTTAACCAGCAACAATCTCAGACTAGAAGTTGGTAGGATGGAAAGATCAGAATCTAGGTGTCTGGTGATACTGGAGAACCACTTCACTAACCGTGGACTATTTCTTCTTGGTCTTCTATTATTTGAGAGAGGAATGACTTCTGTCTTACTTTAACCACTGTCACTTTGAGGTTTTCTTTTATATGCAGTTAAAACTAACTGATTCAAACCATATACTAGGGCTTAGAAACACCATTTTGCTTGGTTAAAATCTTTAAGGGGTAAGGGGACAGTGTGTGTGTGTGTGTGTGTGTGTGTGCAACTGTAATATTCTTATGTGTTCCATGATCAGTTTTTCTAAAAAAGTGGGACAGATGAGAGACTTGGATTAGTTTAATTCAGTTTGGAAATGATGAAAGTACCATCATCCCTTCAGCACCAAATAGCCCAAGATTAAGGAAACAATACTCCAGCTGAACAGCTGTGACACCCTTCTGAGCTAAACAGTGGAATAAGAAACTAGTGTGGGCAAAATTTTGAACTTTGACTTAATGCAAAAATTTGAACTTTGACTTTTAGCTTTAACTTCAGAGACTTTTATAGTAGTAGGAATTTCATACATTCTAACATGGCCTCCATATCATGTAGATTTCTAAATTTGTCTAGGAATTTCATTTGTGCCTTCCTGGGCATAATTTGAGACTGAAATAGTAAATGGGATAAAATTTTGGCCTAGACTATGAAGTACTTTTGAAATTAACGAATACTCTATTATGACCCATTTCAGAAGTTTCTGGGAATAAAAGCTGAACTGCCCATCATTGGTCTTAAATAAAAGGAGCAGTGCATGTTTTGGGGGAGATGCCTCAAGGGTAGGTATCGGCCTGCCTTGACAAGGTACTGGTGCCTCTTCTCCAAGAGTGACAGCCACCCCCACCACACCCTACAGCCTTGGCTGTGAAACCCAACCAGTTAATAGAATGAGGAGCTGGAGTAAATAGAGGGAAACCATTCTCTGTCTCATCCTGCTTTCATACTATGGCCCATGTAACAAGAACTCAGCTTCTCAGAGGAATTTCAGTAAGGAAAATTTCCTCTTCTCTTCCCTGGAGCATCAAGGAGATGTAGGTGATGATCAATGCTCCTTCAAGGTCCATCACATTGCATTTGCACTTTCTTACTGAGGCTTGCTGCCAATATAATGCTTTCCATTACATCACTCTAGAGCTCTTGAATTCGAAGACCTCCTGTGTCAGGGTCAAAAGCAAGGCTGTAGAATTACAGGGGATTCTAAGTGTAGTGAATATACTACAGACATTCCACTGGTTTTGATATAATAACCTGTTGAGATTACTTTTATTTATTTTACTATAATAAATACCAAATACATATGCACATACAGTCATACATCTCATAATTACATTTTGGTCAATAACTGACTGCATATAAGATTATAGTGGAGCTGAAAAATTCTTACTGCCTAGTGATGTCATATCTATCATAGCATTGTAGTGCAATGCATTATTCATGTGTTTGTGGTTAGCTGGTATAAACCAACCTACTTCACTGTCAGTTGTATAAAAGTATAGCACATATAATTATGTAGAGTAGATATTTCTAATGATAACAAATGACTGTATTACTGGTTTATGTATTTACTATAAGATACTTTTTATCGTTATTTTACAATGTACTTCTTCTACTTATAGAAAAAAAAAGTTAACTGTAAAGCAGCCTCAGGCAGATCCATTATATTCAGAAGAAGGCACAGTAATCATAGGAGATGACGGCTTCATGCATGTTATTGCTCCTAATGACCTTCCAGTGGGACATGATGTGGAGGCAGAAGACAATGTTATTAATGCTCCTGACCCTGTGTAGGCCTAGGCTAATGTGTGTGTTTGTGTCTTAGTTGTTAACCAAAAGTTTAACAGTAAAAAGAAAATAAAAAATTTTAAAAAGAAAGAAGCTAAGCTGTCAGAAGAGAAAAAGTAACAAAGATCAGAGGATAAATAAAGGAAATTTAGACCCCAAGAAACAATGCAAAGGCTCAACAAAGTGAAAATTGGTTCTTTTGAAAGATAAACAAAGTTGATAGATCACTAGCTAAATTAACCCAGAAAAAGCAAAACTCAAATAAGTACAATTGAATGAAAAAGGACACATTACAACTGATTACATAGAAATGCAAAAGATCATCAGAGACTACTATGAGCATCTCTATGCACACGAACTAGAAAACCTAGAGGAAATGGATAAATTCCTGGAAACGTACTACCTCCCAAGATGAAACCAGGAAGAAATAGAAATCTTGATCAGAGCAATAATGAGTACTGAGATTGAATCAGTAATAGTAATAATAATAAAGGACCAGTCAGATTCACAGCTGAATTCTGATAGATGTACAAAGAAGAACTGGTTCTAAAAAATCGGGAAGGGACTCCTCCCTAACTTGTTCTGCAAAGCCAGTATCACCCTGATACCAAAGCCAGGCAAGCAAACAACAGCAACAACAGAAACTACAGGCCAATATCCCTGATGAACATAGATTAAAAAATCCACAACAAATTACTAGCAAACCAAATCCAACAGCACATCAAAAAGATAATTCACCACAATCAACTGGGTTTTATTCCAGGGATGTAAGCATGGCTCAACATTTGCAAACCAGTAAATGTGATTCACCACATAAATACAATTTAAAACAAAAACTATACAATCATCTCAATAGATGCAGACAAAGCATTTGATAAAATTTAGCACCGCTTCATGTTAAAAACCCTCAGAAAACCAAGCATCAAAGGAGCATACCTCAAAATAATAAAAGCCATATATGACAAACCCACAGACAACATCATACTGAATAGGGAAAAGTTGAAAGCATTCCCCGTAAGAACTGGAACGAGTCAAGGATGCCTACTTTAATCACTCCTATTCAACATAGTACTGGCAGACCTAAATAGAACAATCAGGCAAGAGAAAGAAATAAAAGAAATCCAAATTGGAAAAGAGGAAGTCAAATTATCTGTTTGCTGATGATATAATCTTATACCTAAAAGATCCAAAAGACTCTTCCAAAGACTCCTAGATTTAATAAATGACTCAGTAAAATTTCAGGATACAAAATCACCATACAAAAACCAGTAGCATTTCTATACACTAATAAAGATCAAGCCGAAAACCAAGTCACAAACTCAATACCATTTAGAATAGCTACCAAAAAAAAAAAAAAAAAACACACACACACACACAAAATACCTAGGAATACATTTAACCAAGGTGGTGAAAGATCTCTATGAGGAGAACTAAAAAATACTGATGGAATAAATTGTAGATTCTTCTATCAGTATTCTTTCCACATACAAATGGAAAAACATTCCGTGCTTATAGATTGGAAGAATCACTATTGTTAAAATGACCATACTGCCCAAAGAAATCTACAGATTCAATGCAATTCCTATCAAATTACTAATATCATTTTCCACATAATTAGAAAAAACAATCTTAAAATTCATATGGAAACAAAAACAAAGCCTGACCAGACAAAGCAATCCTAAGCACAAAGAAAAACTTCTGGACATTGACCTAGACAAAGAATTTATGACTCAAAAGCAAAGGCACCAAAAACAAAAATAGACAAATGGGACTTAAACTGAAAAGCTTGTGCACATCAAAAGAAACAATCAACAGAGTAAACACACAACCTACAGAATGTGAGAAATATTTGCAAACTATTCATCTGATGAAGGACTAATATCCAGAATCTATAAGAAACTAAAACAACTCAACAAGAAAACAAACCCCATTAAAAAGTGGCCAAATAATACACTGGTAATACTGTGGGTTTTTATTCTAATCTTATACTCCAGATAGGAATGGGGGAGGTGATTCCTGGGCTTAATTTTCTTTAAGGACATGGGAATTTGGCTTCTTTTTTATTGCCATGGGCTCTTTTGGAAGACAGTGAGTTGATTAGTAGGGAAGAACAATAGGGAGTTATAGACTGAGATCAGGGTGTACTGGCTGAACTGTGGAAACAGTATGCAATTCTGCATTCCTCAGTAAGTGAGATTAGCATCTAATGAGTAGCACACCTTTACTGACTTACTAAGTAGTGGTATAAAGGGATTTTTATTTAGTTGATTACCAGGGGGATTTAGCATAAAAGTTCTGGATTCAATAAATCAAGTCAGATTAGATCATTCACCTTAACTTTTACTTTAGCAGCCATTTCCACTAATTTCCATTAATAGTGTTCTATAAAGTTTGGTTCAAAGTGGAATCAATGTCTTTTCCATCTTGTGACAAATTTCTGTGACTATGATGCACGTGAGTGTTTTCATTTCATCTTGTAACTATGGTGTTCCTTTCACCATGACATTCACAAGATCAAATGAATAACTGACCAGAATGAGAATTGTCCAGTGGCCAACAAACGTGAAAAAGTTCTCAATATCACTAATCATCAGGGACATGCCAATGAAACCACAGTGACATACCATCTCACAACAGTCAGAATGGATATTATTAAAAAGTCAAAAAACAACAGATTCCCATGTTTCAGGGGAGCTTAAAAAGATTGACAAGAACAAAACAACAGATGTTTGTGAGGATGTGGAGAAACGATAATGCTTATACACTGTCGGTATGAATGTAAATTAGTACAACATTTATGGATGGAAAACAGTATGGAAATATCTCAAAGAACTAAACAGAAACTACTGTTTGATCCAGAAATCCCACTACTGGGTATCTACCCATAGGAAAATAAATCATTGTATGAACAAGAAATCTGCACTTGTATGTTCATCACCACACTATTCACAGTAGCACAGTCATGGAATCAATCTAAGTGTCCATCAATGGATGATTGGATAAAGAAAATGTGAGTAGTATTTTATGGTGTATATGTGTATATACCTTCAGTGTGTGTATGCCTCAGTATGTGTGTATTTCTTCAGTGGAAATAACTGAGAAACAAAGGCAAATCCCACATGTTCCCCCTTATAAGTGGGAGCTAATAAATGTGTACACATGGACATAGAGAGTGGAATAACAGACACTGGAGAGTCCAAAAGGTAGGAGGGAGAGAAAGGAATAAGGGATGTGAAATTACCTGTTGGGTACAACGTACACTATTTGGGTGATGGTTACACGGAAAGCCCAGACTTCACCACCATAAAATATATCCATGTGAAAAAATATATACTTGTACTCCCTAAATCTATAAAAATAAAAAAAAATAGAAAAAAGCTTATAGAATAAGGATATAAAGAGAAAATATTTTTATACAACTGTACAATATCTCTGTTTTAAGCTGTGTTACAATAGTCAAAAAGCTAAAAAAATTAAAAAGTTTATGAAGCTAAAAATTACAGTAAGTTAAACTTAATTTATTATTGAAAAAAGAAAAATTTTTAAATAAATTTAGTGTAGCCTAATATACTATGCTTATAGAGTCTACAGTCATATATAATAATGTCCTAGGCCCTCATATTCACTCACGACTCATTCATTGACTCACCCAGAGCAACTTCCAGTCCTATAAACTCCACTTATCTTGTGTCCCCCCATAGGTGTACTCTTTTTTTATCTTTTTTTTTTTTTCGAGACGGAGTCTCGCACTGTCGCCTGGGCTAGAGTGCAATGGCATGATCTCGGCTCACCGCAACCTCCTCCTCCCAGGTTCAAGCAATTCTCCTGCGTCAGCCTCCTGAGTAGCTGGGATTACAGGTGCCCGCCACCATGCCCTGCTAATTTTTTATATTTTTGGTAGAGATGGCATTTTACTATGTTGGCCAGGCTGGTCTTAAATTCCTGACCTTGTGATTACTGCCCGCCTTGGCCTCCCAAAGTGCTGGGATTACAAGCATGAGCCACTGCGCCTTGCCTATTTTTTATCTTTTATACTGTATTTTTACTGTAACTTTTCTACAGAAATATTGACCATTGTGTTACAATTATCTATAATGTTTAGTATAGTAACATGCTATACAGGCCTGTAGCCTCAAAGCAATAGCCATACAGCCTGGGTGTGTAGTAGGCTATACCATCTAGGTTTATGTAAGTACACTCTATGATGTTCACACAATGACAAAATTGCCTGACACATTTTTCAGACTGTATCCCTGTCTTTAGGCAATACTATATAACATATAATAATATATTTATACTTATTTTACCTACATCTATTATACTATATTATACTATTATTATAAAACTTATTAAATAACTATGATATATGATATAATGTATACTAATATTTAGTATTCTTATACTATATTATATGTTATACTCCTCTATATTATATCATAATAAATAGAAAATTTATAGAATACAAAATACAATATTGTATTAGTCTGCTAGGGGGTGCCATATCAAAATACCATAGGCTGGTTGGATAAAATAACAAAAATTCATTTTCTCCCTGTTCTGGATGTCAGAATTCTAAGATCAACATGCTGGCAGAGTTGTTGTCTGGTGAGACCCTTGTGTTTGGCTTGCAGATAGCTACCTTTTTTGCTGTGTCCTCACATGACCTTTCCTCTGTGCGGGTGTTCCTGGTGGTTCTTCCTTTTCTTAAAACACTAGTTCTATTTGATTAGGACCCCACCCTTATGAACTCATTTAATCTTAATTACTTCCTTAAAGGCCCTTTCTCCAAATAGGTCACACTGGGGGTCAGGGCTTCAATATATAGATTTGCAGGAGGGAAGGCAGACAATTTAGTCCATAACAAATATGTATTATAAGAATTAACTATATACATAAGTATGGAATTAATCAACATTTAGAAATTCTACATAGACTGGGTGCGGTGACTCATGCCTATAATCCCAGCACTTTGGGAGGCCGAGGCGGGCAGATCACTTGAGTTCAGGAGTTTGCAACCAGCCTGGCCAATGTGGTGAAACTCCATCTCCACTAAAAATACAAAAATTAGCTGAGCATTGTGGCGGGTGCCTATAATCCCAGCTACTTAGGAGGCTGAGGCAGGAGAATCACTTGAACCTGGGAAACGGAGCTTGCAGTGAGCCAAGATCACACCACCACACTCCAGCCTGGGTGATAGAGTGAGACTTCATCTTAAAAAAAAAAAAAATTCCTACATAAAACTAAACCGTCTAAACTACACTTTCCTATTTATAATAAAAATAACTCACACATTCCTTTGGAGTAGGTACAGAACACCACCTTTTAACCTCTAGGTGGGTGTCTGTGATGGTTCATTTATCATCTCATAGGTAGGAATGCGTCTTCTTCAAAGTGATCCTTTAGGCTATCACTGTGGATTGGAATCACTGTGACGACTTTCATCACCATGAAGTCCAGGGTATTAGGTCAGAGACTTGATCTTTCAATGTTAGGGAAACAAAGGACAGCAGGTCCTCTGAAGCAGGAACAAGTGTCATCAAGCTCTTAGGATTTTTATACTTAGTGAACCCTAATATGTTGCACTAGACATATGTACAACCCCTAGCCATCTGGTTGTAAATTTTACATATGTGCAAATAAGTCCAATCTGATATGTATCTCCTGATAAGAGCTGTCACTGGACTGGAGAAAACTTATATATCGGTGTTGACAATGTCCTGAGAACAAACTGGGGCTTTAGTTCTATACTCTGTACTTACATGCAATCTACAAAGACCTTGTCTTAAAAAGGTAGGCTTCTAGGCATATTGGCCTTGCTTTTGTTCCTCTCCCAAGTTATTGATGGGTGTGAGGCAGCTCATGTTCCTCCTTGAGGGGGCTATGTAGGGTATATACTCTGACCACATCTCATCCTCAGATCCAGAACTGGGGAGGAGGAAAGGAGTAGGATGGATAATTTTAACCTTTTAACCTAAGGCCCAAATTGCATTCTACAACTTAGCTTGACCATAATAAAGATGCATTTTAATCCACGTCTAACTACCTGTGTTCATTCTCAAGTAGGTACAAAAGAAGAGAGAGGTCATTAGTGAATACTCTTCCAACCTCAACATTGGATTTTGGTGAGGTTTAGCCCTTAGTAAGAAGACTTAAGCCCAGTTGTCACAGTTGGGTATTATTTCAGACTTGGACTGATAGGGTAATTTGATGGGCCAATGTTGTGGTCCAAAAGCTAGCAAAATATCATTCACCCTACTTTAATTAATCTTAAGAACTGCAGTCAGTGATGAAACTTAGGGTATTACCCAAGAGACTCAAAGTAGAAATGAGCATGTGTAGTCTTCACATCAACTTATGCCTAGAAAGTAGGATGTTGTATTATTTTATTAGATTTATTCTAACATCAGGCTGATATATATGAGATTTAAGTAATGTTGAAACCTCTTGGAAATAAAATAGGAAAAAATATTTGTTTTTTAAAAAGAATTTTATCTATAATAAATTTTTATAAGGTGCTATCTCTGAGTCTGACTTCCACCTGTTTCTTTTTTTTGTAACATGGACTGATTGAGAATAACTAGCCAATGATTCAAAGTTATATAAGTTATAATTAATTTTAATTCAGGGATTTTCTTATGTAAGGACTATAAGGCTAAATAGAAAATAGTAATTAATGATTTAATGATATTCCAAAGATTCACCTGCTCTCTTTTTCGACTGTCTTGGATCAAAATGTTATTCTGTAAATTATCCTGAGTTACCAGGAACTGAGATTCTAGATATACAGCTGTCAACTACCTCTAGGGATTATCTGGGAATAGAATAAGGGAATTTTATTATATGCTAAAAGAGTTGCTTGGGAAGTCAATTTGGGAGGGAGGAACCATTTCTCTTGTTCATTCTTTCTAATCTTCAATTGAAAAACATTAGTAAAAATAAATATTTAAGAAATTTAATGTATTCTAGAAAAAAACCTTAAATGTCAAATATCCTTTGTCTGCACTAAATGATAATTAAACAGTGCCTACTCACAAATGACTTGGGCAACTATGGTGCCTAAGAGCAGTTGGGGTACTCGGGTGCTATTATTTGGATATGGTTTGTTTGTCCTTACCGAAACTCAGGTTGAACTTTGATCCCCAATGTGGCAGTGTTGATGGGCGTGGAGCTAGTAGTAGGTGTTTGGGATATGGAGGCAGATGCCTCATGAATGGCTTGTTGCTGTTCTTGAGGTAGTAACTGGATTAGTTTCCTCAAGAGTGGGTTGTTATAAAGCCAGGATGCCCCTCAGGTTTTTTTCATTTGCATATGTCTGCTTCCCCTTTGACCTTCTCAGCCATGTTGTGACAAAGCTTGAAAGTCCTTGCCAGAAGCCAGGACCATGCCCTTGAACTTCTCAGCCTGCAGAACTGTGAGCTTAATAAACTATTTTTCTTTATTGATTACTCAGTCTCAGGTATTCTTTTATAACAACGAAAATGGACTAAGACACCTAGCTAGAGAACCCTTGGGTGCTCACCCTTCAACTGCACTAGGTGTTGCAGTCCAAGGTCTGTGCCCTGAGTTGCATTCCCCTAGACCAAGCCTACTGCCTTGAACATTGAAAGAAATTAATAAATTGTTATTGAACATACCACACACACATATGCTCTCTCTTATTTTATTTATCCATCCTTCCAGATTCTTCTTCATGTACAGTTGTCCCTTGGTGTATGAAGGTAACAGCTTCTAGGACCTCCCTCCCTGCCAATAGTAAAATCTGAAGATGCTCAAGTCCCTTATATAAAATTCATAGTATTTGCATATAACTTATGCACACCCTCCTGTATACTTTAAATTATCTCCAGATTACTTGTAATACCTAATGCAATGTAAATTCTATGTAAATAGTTGTATTATATTGTTTATTTTTATTTTTATTGTTGTATATTTTTTTTTACTTTTTCTGAGTATTTTCCATCTGAGGTTGGTTGAATCTGTAGATGTGGAACCCGAGGATAAGGAGTAAAGGGTGGGAATTGGGTGTTTACTTAATTTTTCCAGGAAAATATGAGGTGGTTTGGATAATGAATTCGTTATCAAATCATTTATAGGTATGTACCAAATATGTTTCCATTCTGTTGTGCATGTTATCTTTATTAATTTAATTCATCTTAGATGTATTAGTTTACCCTCCTCATACCAATAAGTTCTTCTTCCTTCTCGTAGTCCTTATGCAATTCGTTAGTGTATTTTTTGAGGTATGGATCAAGAGTGATTCTTATCCTCATGAATATTTAATTGCCTTTATGTTTTTAAAAGTTGTTTATTTTCCCATTGTTGTATAACATTTTGTACTGATGATTTATTCAAAAGGGCAACTCAGAGCTCCAATCAGTAGAATATGGACCTCTTTTAAGATTGACCAAATGAATGTACATTTGTGTTTTAAGTTAACATAGTGTGGTCATCATTCTAAACAATTGTTTTGATTGTAATTAGTTGTTTTGATTAATTGCTAGCATCTACTACACTAGATAAGAGGGTGTCTTTATTCATTTCATAAAAAGTTTCAAAAAATATTGCAATTGTTATGTAAAATAAGTTTATTGTTCTGGACTAGCTTTGTCATACAGCTGCATAACTTAATATAATCTTGAGGCTGAGCACCTTTTTTTTTTGTTTTTGTTTAATCACATGGATTATGGAAAGAAGTGGGGCCCAGATGAGGAGGAGTCTAGGTGTAACAAATTGGAATAAAATATTTCCATTTTCTTTCAACTGGATTTGGCTAATCACTTTTGTATCAGGTTAAATTGTAAGAAACCCCCAGGGCAGGTACTTAATAACTCAGTAGTTCTTGGCTGAGGACCCTTACTCCCAATTCTTCAAACCCACCCACCACCCTGCACACGATTGGAGTTTGTGAGCTCTGCTTGATGGATAGCTACTCTGGTAGCCTGCTTCTGAGGGTAGACAGTTTTTAGTTGTGTGTTTTCATTAGTTCTAGATTTTTCCTTTTAGTCACTATCTTCCCAATAAACAGTCATATTTATGTGACTGTCATGTCATATGAACCTAGCAGCCCTTTGAAACTCTTCTTCTATGTCCTAATACTTCATAATTTTATATTAATGAATCTCAAGTATTTAAAGTAAAACTGATGTTAAAGTTTGTGATAATAGCAACCAGAGTTGCTATTAATTGTGTATCTTTATTTTATATGTTAAACTTTTGCAGCTGGAATAACTGATTTCCTGGAGTATTCTGGCTATATAATTCATACTAGGTTGTAATCAATAATGTTCTTTATACCACCACCCCACTATCCCAAACTCAATTCCACCCCTACCCTACCCACCCTCCTACCTCCCTACCCTTCCAACAATCCCACCCTCCCCACAGCCCCACCCTACTCTAGCCTCTCCCACTCTCCCTACTCTCTCAGCCTTCCCCACCCTACCCCACCCCATTCCCTTGATGCTGGTAGATGCTGAAATGATCAGGACACAGTTTGCACTTAACCACTAAATCTTTATTGAATTTTTATTGTAACAGCAATGCAATATTAGCAAATAGAGAGAAATATAGAGTGAAGAGAATACAGCAATAAAGTTAGAAGGAGGGGTAGGGGCAATGGGGTTCAGTGGTAGGAGGAGGGCTACTGACAGGGGTAAAAGCAAGGGTTTTTATTTATCACTTTTATAACTTCCATGAAAATTTACCATCCATCATTGACAAGTTCATTCTAGCAGTAATTTATCAGAGGTCACTCATCCTCTATTAAATTATTAATCTAATCACCTTTGAACTTTCTCCCACTGGGGTTTTTATCCATGTCCAATTCGCTCTAAATAAGTTGGTCTCCCTGCAGTTCCCTCCGAGTTTATTTGAAATCTTTAAGGATAGCAATTATAGGGTAAAGGGTTACAAGTAAGTACGCATGTCCACTTATAGCGATATCTAATACATAATATTATTCTAACATTCTAAATAACCCCACCCACTTAAAATTACTTAATAGTCCCTCCCACCCTAAAATGCTTATGATTATATATCCCCTATTACTTAAACTTGATTACACAAAGAAATAAAAGCAATGCAATTTTCCACAGACCAATTCAATACCATTCTACAATCTAAAACAACAAAGAACTTTCAGTCTCATCAGATGTGCATTCTCTCTTTAGATGAAAATGTAGCATGGTTCCCGCAGGGCTCTCCATTTCTGCCCAGGTCTTTCCAGCAGGTTGTTCTCTGTTGTCAATCTTGGAACTGTCTGTATCTGATGTGAGATGTCTGTGGTGGATGACAACTGGATCAATTCAGAAGTCCAAGAGGTACCTACAAACTTAAACAGAATTCCAGACTGCACCATATAGATGTGGCCCTCTTATTTTGTGCACCTGCAAGTTCACTGTATTACTTCACGATTTGATCAGACTAATTCTCCTTTTTTCCACTAAGACAAATACCTCACTGTCCAAACTAAATTGACCCTTCATAAATGTATGTAAACTTTCTGTGTTTCAATATCCTAGCATGATAAATTTAGCTAGTTCTCTCTAGGCTTGCCTATCAATGGGAGCTCTTAGATCTTCTTCCTTCTTGATTTAATTAACAATGTAAATTTGGGCTAAAAGTCAATTAATTAATTTTGCCAGTTTGAAAAACTCGACTACTGATTTGCTTACTAATTCATCTATCTCCTTTATGTTTTTTATTTTGCTCCCTTTCTAACTTCTTTAGATATCAAATTCCATTGATTTTTTTCCTTTCTTATGAATAAAGCCATTTTTGTTGGAAAATGCCAAAAAAAATTTAAAGGATCCAATTAACATAAATTTGATTAACAACAAAATAAATCAATTGAGTGAAAGGAAACTTAACCAAACTTCAAAACTATAGAATAATAAATTTAGAATTACTTATCCTTAACATCTACATTTATAGATAGCATATATAGCAATAGAGCATAGTACACACTGCCAAAAAGTTAATCACAAGCTTTAGTAAACAGCCAAATGTGGATCAGGGACTTTCTGAGTTGTTAACCCACAGCAGCATATTTTCCCTAATCGTTCTTGTCGTTGGTGAACTTCTCCAGACTTTTGCTTGCAGTGGTGGCAAATGTCCGTGTGCACATGCCAGGGCTACAGACAACGGCCCATTTCTAGGCACCCTGCAGCTTGAAGATCAATTGACAACTGTAAATTTGACAAAAAAACAACTTGAATTCAAATGTATGGAGGATGAATTGATACTTGAGGTAAACAGAAGTGACTCTTCAAAATAGTTCAGAAGCACAAATGCACCATTTTAAAAGTAATTACTCTAAAACACATGAGTGATTGACAAGCTTTCTGATTCCATTGAAGGAAAAAAAAAGTTGTTTTGGATTAAATAGCCAATTAGGTTTCTCTTTTCAAATTTTATATCCTTTTATATGATTTTTAAAGGCCCAATTGATAGAATTGAAATTATATATGATGTTAAAATTGAAGATGAACAGGATGAATTATTATACAAATGCTCCAGTTCTGAGGAGCCTCTCATTCACAGCATTGTAAGAAGTTCACAGTAAAGGAATATTTTACACTATGTTACTTATCATTTTTACTTAGTTTAACAATAAGAACTGGATAGTGCTTTGTAATTCAATGGAAGTTTTTGAAAGCCTAGTCACCACTTCAAAACACACTAAAAATTATACTAAAAATTTTAAGTGTTTAAACATGCAAGAATAAGAGCAGATGATAATGAACATGTGAAAGATGATGCTGATGAAAAGTGAAACTTCACCGTTAGACTCCTCTTCATGTCAGGCAATTTGAGATATACACCATGTTGTTTTCTACTGCTCAAACTGTGCTTTGGCAATTAAAGCCTGCCTCTTACATCTCTGTGTGTGGCAGCAAAATGGAGTCTCAGCAACCAGGCAGGAAAATGACACAAATCCTGCAGCAGGGTCAATGGCAGTAGCAAAGAATTAAACAGAAAAAGAGAGGTTAGATAAAACAGTTCAAGGTAGTAGCAAGGGACCAGGCTAAAGGAAGTCAGGCAGTCCCAGGTTAGCACAAAGCTTCCAGGGGACATCAGAGGTGTCACTGGGCTGAAGACAACTCTTGTGTTGTCCGTTGCTTTGAGTCCTTTGAGTTGCTTTCTGAGGCTTTTCATCCATTGGCAGCTTCACATCAGCTCCATCCTCTAGAGGGACCTTTTTCATTACGTGGATTCTGATCCTTTTGAAGTGGTTACCATCAAGTAATGTGGAGCTCACTAAGGAAGTCCACATCCTCAAGACAGTGTCCACAGCCCTAATTCCTCTTCTTCAAAGATGTCCCCCTTCCAGGCATAGGAGTGTGAATCTGGGTGCTAAATCATTTCTCCTCTCTCCACACATCCTAATGCTACAGTCTAATGAGGGGACTGAAGATGAAATGCCCAGATGCATATGGAGGCAGACACATGGATAGATTCTTCCAAAACGTCAGCTGGTGCTTTTCCAGCCAATTAAGAACACTCATGAAAATTCTTTCTGAAGTACCAGGACAAATCTCTTAAGAGTTGGGTATGGGATTTTGGAGTCCTTTTGATGTGCTACTCTTTAGCCCTCAAAGGTGATTGAGAGGTGGTCACATTTCATGAACATCTAACAACGCTGGAGCCACCAGTAATCTCTGGTTACCAGGTTTAATGCTTTGTGGAAGCCATCATGGCATGATGATGGTAAGGTGTTGTGTCAAAGCCGGAGTCATTGGGTACATGTGATTTGCACCATGATGTGAAGACATAGTCTTAACATGCAAGAGTCCATCTGAGAGAGCACTTTCTTTTCAGGCCTGAGATGTTTCATGTCACAAGGGTTTTTCCTGCTCCTGGGAGAACCAGTCGAGTTGCTGCTCCTTGAGAATTAACAGAACCATGGAAATGGAGTTTGAAGACGGTGAAGTTTCTAAGGGTGCAGCGAGAGGATCACGGAAGCCTTTCCACACTGCACCGATAATTTTGGCTTCCTTAATAAGGCCTCAGTCCTCCAGTGATTTAAAAAGAGGGTACCGAAACCGCAAGAAAAGTCATGTCCTCCTCCTCCTCGTCTCCCCCTCCATAAAGAAATCAGCATTTCCTGCGTTTGTATCAGCTTCTCTGTAAATGTTAAACAGCAAATTTGGCAGCCTATAATTTAGATGGTGATGGAGGTTTTGGCAGGTAAAACCCAGACTTCCAGGACTGGCTGGAAAGTAAACTTATTAATTATTTTAGTTAGATTGGCAGTCAAGGTGGAAAAATGAGAGATCATTTATTGGCAAATACTCTGTTGCTCTCAGAAAATGTTGAAGGTCTTTTGGTGCTTTAGGATGTGTGCCAGTCCAGAGTGGCCCTAACCTTCCATAGCCGTTTCAGAGAGGATGTGCCTCAGGTGGCCTGAAGATACAGTAGCCTAAAATTTAGCACACAGTCACTGATTGAGAAGCTGAACAGGAATAAATTTTGAGGGCAGAGATCCTGAAGGACATGACAGGTATTTACAGGGTACTGTAAGATGGAGGCGGCGGCGGTGGTGGTGGTGGAGGCGGCGGCTGTGGCGGCGGGTACTGTGGTACCGGAGGCTGGCGGTACCAGTGTGGATTCCAAGTGATCATCACAGGTACATATAGTGATCTTCCTTGTCCGTCTCGTCCCACTGGGTACCAGGCGAATCCTACTGGGTAGGTCGGGTACGCGGCATATGTGGGGTATGTTTGGTATCCAGGTATTTGAGGTACGAATTCAGTGTACGTTGCCAGGTGTGCTTGGTCTTCTAAATTTGGAATAGATAGGCGAGGATACTGATTCTGGATAGTAAAATTGTTTGGAGCTCGGCAATCATAAGAAACTTGCAGTTTCCACCCCCTCTTCACCTGGAGAACTTGGGCTCCATTAGGTGCAATCGTTGGAGTAATTAGCCCATCTTTTACATTTCTTGCCACAAAATCTCGAAGAGCTGCCATTTCAGGTTCGGACAGTGAATACACATGTCCACTGGGAATACTGTGTGCTCCAGGTATCATTTCTATGTGAGGGTCAACCAGGCGGTGATCTGGGTAGACGTGCTCATCTACTGGAGTGTACACATTCTGGACATAGTAATACCTCACTGGTTGGTAAACTCTGTATCCATCTACTGGATAATAGAGTGGCGGTTGTGGTGCTGGTGGTGGGAGCGATGGTGGTATTGGAGAATACATCCGGCAGTGGTAGCGGCAGTATTCAGAATCAAAGACGATAGATCGAGTGCTCCATGTGATATTGGGATCATGTGTGCTCAGCCAGCGAACCCCTAGGACGACAGGGAAGAATGGAGACTGAGTCACATCAAATGACAGCACCTCTCGGTGATCTCCCAGGTCAACTATCAGGTCGTGAGTTTCGTGGACAACTGGGCCCGATGCTATGGGGCGCCCATCAATTGCTTCCACAAGTATTGGCCAGTCCTTGATTCTTAGAGGAATTCCATTTTGAGCAACATATTCGTGATCAATGAAGTTGCCAGAAGCACCAGAATCGATCATGGCTCGGACGAACAGGGTGTGTCTGCCCGGAAGATGAATCTGGAGCATCACTTGCAAGTGTGGAGATGAGGCATCATCTTGTGGGGACCTTATTATTTCTGGCCCGGTCGCTGAAGGTCCCTCTACAGCGGGGCCGGGGAGTTTCCCGCCGGCGAAGACTTTGAGGCCTTGGCAGGACAATTGTCAGCGTAGTGACCTCCTGTTCCACAGTAGAGGCACAGGTTCAGCTTTCTGCGTCTTTCTTTTTCTTCCTGCGTCAGGCGCATGCGGGCACCTCCCACCGGCTCGGTTGGATCTACCTGGTGGTGGCTTGCAATGTGAGGCAACACCAGCGCCCGGGGTGGCGAGCGTGGCTTGCGAGCTGCAGCAGCCCTGGCCAGCCTTCTCTCAATGTGAATGCACTGCCCAATCAGAGCAGACAGCGACTTGGCGACCTCGAGGTGGGAGAGCTCCTCCTGAATGTGGTCGCTGAGGCCCTCGTGGTACTGGTCAATCAGCGCAGGCTCGTTCCAATCCAGGTCCTGGGCAATCATCTGGAAAGCATTGGAGTAGTCGATGACAGACCCCATGCCTTGGCGCAGGCGTCTGATCTTGCGTTTGGCAACCTCTCGCCTCTGAGGGTCTTCAAAGACATGCTTCATTTCCATCATGAAAGCTGGGTAGTTGTGCATCAGGTAGTGGGAGCGCTCCAGCTTTGCTGAGGCCCAACGGGCAGCACGGCCGGTCATCATGCTTGTCACGAAGCAGACACGGACACGATCAACTGAGAAATCCCTGGTGCTCTTTTCCATGAAGATCTGGCACTGGGCCATGAAAGGAGCCAGCATGTCTGGGTTGCCATCGAACTTCTCTGGGAGGTCTTCTGGGCACTCTTCCTCTATTGGAGGGGGTGGGGCAGCAGCTGCTGCAGCACCGCGGAGCTCGATGTCATCATCCTCATCCTCAGGGGTGGGTTCCACTTGCTCTCGAAGGGTGGTGTTCTCCTCTGTGAGCTTCTGCACCTGGCTCTGCAGGTTGTTGTTCTCCTCCGACTGCTTCATGACCTTCTCTCTTAAGTTGTTGATCTCTTCAGAGAGCTCGTCCCTTCTTCGTTCGGTCATGTTGGGGACACACGCACTCTTATGGCCGGTGTGCTTGGAGTTGTTGTTGTTGTTGTTGTTGGGGGGAGGGGGAGGAGGAGGAGGTGGGCAGTCGGGACCCAGGGTGACGGTTGGGGTGGGAGGAGACCTCCCAGCTGTAGCTTCACTTCTGTGGGGATGGAGGCCTGGATCCTGGCCCCCTCTTCCACTCCTTCTTTTTTTTGTTTTCAAAACCCGCTTATTTCTGTAAATAAAGATAAATGTATGTATAAATCCAACTTATACATTCAAAGCAGCAAAAGCAGACACAAAGGATTTGGTATTTAAATTATCCCTTGCTCTACGTGCTTACATTAATAATTAGTGAACAAAGAAAATAAACTCTCAAGAGAAAGTTAGTAATCAGCACCATATATAACAAAAAGCAAAGTACTTTTTGATGTTCAAATGACCTTGTCTTCCTCAAAGGCCACCTGTTCATTATGATTCAACAATACATTATCAACAGCATGCTTACCTTTATAAACTATAAAAGAATGTTGAAACCCTCTAAACAAGTAGTTTTGTATTCAAACACAGCAAGAAACTTCAAGGCAAACATGGATACAAAATCAATTATGCAAATTAAAGCCAAAATAATAACTTTTGTTATTAAAGAAGCCAGGCCAAAAATAGTTAATACTGCAACTAATAGAATCTCATTAAAGCAAGAAGGGAGTATTAAAATCACAATGCATGTATTCATCAGCCCTGTGGGCAGGAGGGTACTCTGGCCAACTGTCACAACCCTATTCCACTGCCACCGAGAAGGTAACTGGTTATCAAATCAAACAACCACCACCACAAAAACCACAGGACTGCCTAAATTACTTTTCTGACCATAATTTAAATCCCCAAAGAAAATTCTCTATGGGACAGAAATGGCACTAAGCAGCAATATGTGTATGTCAGTTTCCTTTGTCATTATGCAGTCATTCAAGAAATAATAATTGATGCCTCCTAGGAAAAGCTATAAAATGGGACATTCAAAGAAGCCCAATAATAGTATACCTCAAACTAATTATGAGGACTTAATTAAATAGTGCAGGTAAATTATGTAGTGAGTATTCAACAATGGTTAGCTGATATGAACAAAGTTATTAATTAGAAAATAGAAAGGTGACTATCTGTGTAAAAAGAGTGGGATTAAAAGAGGGAGGGGCTGCAACTATAGCAACATGGGCATGCATTTCCCACCTAAAGACATTTACTTTTTTAAAAATACTGTGTTGGTCAAACAAATTCAAGGCCTTATTTGTCTTGCAGTTTACCAGTTTGTAATCCATAGTTTTTAATGAAGATTTGTCAGCATAGCCCCAAATGAAGGTTTGTAATGTTAAGGTGGGACAGGGCTGCACTCCTAGGGGGTGAGTGGATGTGTGTGG
Source organism: Homo sapiens (assembly GCF_000001405.40). Classification (NCBI taxonomy): domain Eukaryota; kingdom Metazoa; phylum Chordata; class Mammalia; order Primates; family Hominidae; genus Homo; species Homo sapiens. The sequence goes on along the minus strand of NC_000007.14, from coordinate 94,662,153 downwards.
GGAGGTGGGGGTAGGGTGTGTGTTTAAGCATTCTAATTATGAGTGTAATGACAATCACACACATAAAAATCCTGACACAGTGTCTGCCTGTGTACTTCCTGAAAATACAGTTAAATGCATTTAGAATGATTTAATTATTTTAAATTTTATTAATAATCTCAAGTCCCATATTTGGAAAATTTAAATATATAAAAAGTTTAAAACATAATATGTAAAAGTTTAAAAAAGTTTAAAAAACTTTGATTTAAAAAGTTTAAAACTTTTAAAGAAAGTTTATAAAACTTTTAAATAAACAAAAGTTTAAATACATAAGTTGGTCCTCTCTGGATACTCACTATGTGATTTACCTGCAAAAATGGACGCCAAATAAATTACATAGAATAAGGCCAAAAAGATACACAGTTGGTAATTAGAGAAGTTAGGTGAAAAATAGTTACTATTTTCAACCAATAGAGTACAAGAAAAAAAAAAAGTGGTAATTAAACATGATGCCCAGCCCCTGGCTGTAAAGAAATGCTCCTTCCTCTCCAACTCCTAAACTCTTTAGGTACCTCCCATGCCCCAATGTCACCACCCACAGATACTATCCCTGTGTCCTTTGCAGTTGGTGTAGCCTCTCCAAGGAGTGGCTATACAGCAAGCAGGGTCTTTAAGAGACAGGGAGTAGTGTGACATTTTAACAGTTTTAACCCCACTACTTAATTACTTTAGTAACTTAGGCTATAAAAACAACAAATAATTGACATTCAAGATAAAATATTCAAGTTTAGAAAAAATTAGAAAACACAATAAACACATCATAACCCGTGACATTCAGTATCATTTCCAACTCCTTAAAGACAATTGTATTGCTGACCCTGACAATATAACATCACAACATAATGCAATTTTTCCTTATTAAATTAGGAGTTTTCATGTCCCATTAATGAACAACTAATAACCATAAGTAAGGTGACTAAGGTACCACTTTTGTCATCTAGACATTAATATCTTCAAAACCTTGAGACAAGACTTCCTAAAGAGCATTCACAGCATGGCCTGGTGCAGCCTGACCACTTGTCAATCACGGCCACTAAGTGGGGCTTTATTGAAGCCCAGGTCTGATGGTTTTATTATCTGCAAAAAACAGTGATGGGACAGAAATAACAATACATTAGGAAATCAGCAAATAATTACTACATGGTTTAGGGAAATAAAAGATCAATAAGAGTTAAAAATTCAAATACCTTTGGTATATAAGGAAGGTAGTTGAAAAGTGAAAAGAGACCAGAGTTAAGATGGGAGGGGCTGCAACAATGGAACTTGGGGGTGCATGCCCTCCCCCTTACCACCCTCCCCACCCCTGCCCCCCTGCCACCAGACATTTCATTCTTTTTTATTTTTTAATTTAGTTCCTGGTCAAACAAATTCAAGGCCTACTTTAGCCTGCAAGGTCACTAGCTTAAGACTTCTGACCTTTGCCAATAACAAGCCTGAGGCCTTCATATGAGGGTTGGCAAGTTTAGGGTGGGACGTTAAAAGAGACAACTGCCCAGGGAACAGTAGTTTATCCATTAAAAGTAATAGGGTAATGGGCAGGCAGGTTAACAGTGCGTATAAAAATGTTTAAACAGCGACTGAGGCAGCACAAGTTAACCTGGGACAAGAAGCATGTTTACTTGATTTGAATTATAGAACTATGTATGGCTCCTTAAACTCCCCCTTAGTAGGGGCTGCATTGGAGGGGAGGGGTCAAGAGGTCTCATTCCTGAAAACTGAAAGGACAAACTGCATAAAGCCAAGTTGCCTAGGACAGATGCCATCTTTACATGATAATAATTTCAGTTTTAGTCTTTTTAGGAAATAAATACATTTGGTTAATTATTGACTCTTCACAATAGCTTGGAATAATTTCTATTCCACAAACACACCAAAGAGCAATAGTAGCCAAAAACCATAAATGAACATCCTGTTAGGAAATGACATCTCATTAAGCAACTCTTAGTTGCTTCATATTTTCAAATGTCCAATTTTTTAGTACTATCTTGTACTATTTATGAAATGCAAATTCTCTTAATATGCATGTTATTACTGTTGTTTTGAACCTCTTCAATATGCAAATATACAATATCCAAAGAGAAGGGAAAATTACTTAAAGCTGTAATTATGATAAGCACAAATTTTCCATAGATTGTGTACTTGTGGTGGGGAGGGGGTATGTGACAGAGATTTTTGGGAGCCAAAGCCCCCAATTCCTCCCCTACCAAAGTCCTGGCTCATGATTTGTAATATATGGAACCAGGTTTTAAAATTTCTTCATTCAGCTGGAAACACAATTCTTACATGGTACCTCTTACTAGCAATCAGTTATAAATTTGTTTTATACAGTTGTTTAATTTTGCAAGCTGAAACAACCTATATTTTGTAATGTGGCCACTTTATATTACATTACACAAACTTTAATACAATATGTACCATTAATAATACACTTGCCCCAAATTTAAATTAGCTTTTTATGAAAAAAGCTAATTATTTGGAATAACTAGCTTTTTATGAAAAAAGCTAATTATTTGGAATAACTAGCTTTTTATGAAAAAAGCTAATTATTTGGAATAACTAGCTTTTTATGAAAAAAGCTAATTATTTGGAATAACTAGCTTTTTATGAAAAAAGCTAATTATTTGGAATAACTAGCTTTTTATGAAAAAAGCTAATTATTTGGAATAACTAGCTTTTCATGAAAAAAGCTAATATTTGGAATAACTAGCTTTTTATGAAAAAAGCTAATTATTTGGAATAATTAAAATTAATTTAGTTGCTTTGTATTATAATTACAGCTTATATCATTGGAGTTTAAAAACACATACACTTTTTTTTTATTCTGTTAAATGTGAGAGATAACGCAAACAAGGCAACCCAGGACAGCAAAGCACCATAGGAAAGGAGCAAATCAGAAGAGACCTACAGACACCAAGCAAGACACTGAATAAACCAATTTACTCTGGTCATTTAACACATATTTAATGAATGCCTACCATGTGCAGGCACAATTTATTATACATAGGCAAATAGGCTAGGGTTAATCACCTAGAGATTCAAGGAAAACACCCAGCTTCATAGGCACGCAAATAAAAGCCTTATCCTCACTCAGAGGCCAAACCAACAGCACCAATTTTGTATCCACCAAAACATCCGATTCCCAAAGGTCCACTAGTGCCTCTAAAAAAACCTTAAATGTGAAAATATTTTTAAAGTTTTTAAAAATAAATTGTTAAGTTTTGGTTTTCATTTGCAGTAAAAACATTTGGCTAAATTGCCTTTAGAGGCACCAGCCATGTCAGTTTACAAGGTCCCTTCATAAGCCACTATCAGGAGTTTAAATTGTGGGATTATGTTATTGAATATATGCAAAGAACATATTAAAAGTGCTCATAAATTCCAGTTATAATTATTATTGTTAATTGTTTTATTTATTATTCTATTAGACTCTAGTAGCCAAAAAGCAAAACCAACACAGCAGAGAAACCGCAGGGGGGCGGGGCTGTACAGCCAGGGCTCAGGCAAGGAAGGTGCGCAGGTGCAGAGGACCGGCGCCTGAAGGGAGGGGCTGAGGGTTCACACTGCGCATGTGTGCTAGCCGGCTCTGAGGGAGGTGGGACTATAGGCCAGCCCGGCAGAGGCAGGCTTAGGGAGGGGCCAAGCCTTGGAGAGGCGGGGCCTGAGCAGGCTACCTAAGAGGAGGCGGGCCTGGGGAGGTGGGATCTGGGTGAGCTCACATCAGAGGAGGCGGGCCCAGGAGAGGCGGGGCCTGGGCAGTTCACCTCAGAGGAGGCGGGCCCAGGAGAGGCGGGGCCTGGGCAGTTCACCTCAGAGGAGGCGGGCCCAGGAGAGGTGGGGTCTGGGCAGTTCACCTCAGAGGAGGCGGGCCCAGGAGAGGCGGGGCCTGGGCAGTTCACCTCAGAGGAGGCGGGCCCAGGAGAGGTGGGGCCTGGGCAGTTCACCTCAGAGGGGGCGGCCCCGGGAGAGGCGGGGCCTGGACAGTTCACCTCAGAGTAGGTGGGCCCGGGAGAGGCAGGGCCTGGGCAGCTCACCACAGAAAAGGCGGGCCTGGAAGAGGCGGGGCCTGAGCAGCTCACCTCAGAATGAGGTGGCCAGAGAGAGGTGGGGCCTGGGCAGGCAGGCGCTAAGGAGCTGGGAGGAGGGGCCTGAGGAGGCCGCATCTAGAAGGCGCGCTCTGGGAAGGCGCGCTGCAGGGGAGGCGCGCTCTGAGGAGGCGCTGTAGGAGGAGGCGCTAAGCACCGCAGAGAAGGCACACTAGGATGGGCGGGGCAGGCCTGAGACTGGCTGCTACAGGGCTGCAGAGTATCTGCACACCCCCCCCCCCCGCCGCCAGAATCCCCCCTCCCAAACCCCTCCCACCAGTCACCAAAGCCAGATTCATTTCATGCAGCAAGAGCAATCCACAGATCCAATTCCCCCGCCATACTCAGCAAACCCACAGTTTCCACAAACTGTTGCTGGACGCTGATTCGCGCCACCACAACTACACCGCCACTTCAATCAAGCACAAGTAGGCAGGCAGCCTGCTCTGCCATCACCAAAAGATTCCCATTTCCACTCCAATCAGTGCCCCTCCACTCCACTGCTATAGCGGGAATGGTGTGGGCAGAATGTTAAACACTAATTTTTGCCCGGGGCTCCATTTTGTCTACCAGCACCATCATGCGAGAACCGTCCTGCAGAAAAATAGAGTGGGAGCCATTCCAAAAGGTGAAAGGGTGGGGTCCTGCTCCAAGAAAACAGAGGAATTGTACTCCGCAGCTCATGTCCCACTACGGCTGCTTTATTTGTAGCGCAAACGGTCTGCAGCTCCTGTACCTCTGCAGCTCTTACCACTTTGTAGTGCATCTTAGGTGTGAATTGTTCCGCAGCTCATGTACCTCTGCAGTTCATGTGCCTCGCAGCGCAATGAAGCGCTGTTGTCGGGCTGGCTAATCGCATCGTTTTTGTAGCGTTTTTTGTAGTGCTACTCTTCTGCAGCTCAGATTTTGCAGCGCATGTAAAGCGCAATTCAGTTTTCTGTCTGCAGCTCCTATATCGCTGCTCCTCGTTCTGGATTGTAGCGCCACTGAAGCGCCCATCCGTCAGTTTGTGGCACATAAAGCGCCCATCAGTTTATAGCGCAATGAAGCGCCAGTTGTAGCTCCCATCAGTTTGTCGCCCGCGTGAAGCGTGCTTGTAGCGCATCTGAAGCGCCAGTTTGTAGCGCATTTGAAGCGCTTATCTGTTTGTAAAGCATGGCACTTGGTAGCGCATTTGAAGAGCAAATTGCAAATCGATCTATAGCTCCTGACCGTCTGCAGCTCATCACTGTCCGCAGCTCATCTCTGTCTACAGCCCGTATCTGGACTTGGTCCTGGAAACCCAAGCCTTTAAGGCTTGGTTTCCCCATTTGTTTTGGGGTACAGCCAGTGAAGGCGTGACAAGTTTTGCGTGGAGACATTCTGGGGTGCTACTCCATCTCCCGCAGCTCCCGATAAGCACGGGGAATGAACGTGATCTTTAAAAAAAAAACGTCCTCACCGCATACTCACCACGCGAGGACTCCTCTGCGAAGACAGGAAGGATGGGGTCCCACACCTGAGCCAGGCGCGGTCTCCACTGGGTGCTCCGCAGCCCGGAGTGGCTCCGGACGACAGCCCGCTCAGCGGACCTTTCGCCAGGCTCGGTGGACCTTCTCCGCTGTTCTCCTCAGGGCGCAGTCAGGTTTCTTCGACACACACCAACCGAAGTTGAAGCGCGTGTACCAGGAGCGCAGACTGTGAGCCTTATATAGGTTGCACCGAGGAGGGGGGCGCCAAATCCCAGCGTGCTCCGCGGGCTAGGGGGTGGAGGGGGGTGCGGGGATGGGGGATGGGGGTGGGGGCGGTGGCCACGCTGCAGTGGCCCGCCGCTAGAGGGAGTACGGGATTACCGAGGGGGTGCGGGATGCTGATGCTGAACTGGCCAAGCTGGGAGGGAAGAAGAAAGGGAGGGGAGGGGAGAATCGAGGACGGACGGCCTAGCCAGGCCAAGAATGCAATTGCCCCGGTGGTGGGAGCTGGGAGACCCCTGTGCTTGGACGGGACAGGGTCGGGGGACACGCAGGATGAGCCCCGCGACCACTGGCACATTCTTGCTGACAGGTTAGTGGCCTGCGCGCGACGTGGAGGTCCCGGGGCCAACAGGCCGCCGCCTCCCCCTCCCCCGCTCGGGTTCCGGGCGCCTGAGCGCGCCCTTTGGGCACCAGCCTCTCTTTCTGTCCCGGACCCCACCGTACCCCTCCTTCAGTACACCCTGTACCCCATTTCCCCGGCCCAGCTTCTCTCTCCCCAGGCTTGACCCCTGGCCTTTTTTTCCTCTCCGCGCCCCCGCGGGCCCCTCCCTGCTCTGCGGGCGCAGAAATTCCATCTCCAATTCCTGTTCCCAACATCCCCCTCCCCGCCCAGCCCCAGGGTAGTCCTCTCCCGATCCCTGTAGCAAAGAGCTGGGGGTCGTTGCCTGTTTTTCTGGGGGGCCCGTTTCCCCGCGATTGGGCTCTGCGACCGCGATGCGAGCCAAAGGAAATGGGTGTCAAGCTGCGTCCCCGCTACACAAACACATCTTTTTTCCTTTTCTTGATAGTGGTAGAGAACACAAAAATGTGACATTTAAAACACCGAATTTCCCCCTCTTGCTAAGTGCATTTCTCGGTGACGGAAATCTCGGTTTTCTTCGGTTTTACGGAGCAGGGAAGCGGAATCATGAAATGCTGGGAGCTAAACAGGGCGTTCAGGTCAGGGTTAACCCCGGCTGGAGGCCAGAGATGCTGCCGTACCGAGTGCGCTATTTCCAGAAACCAAAACCAATTTAAAACAGCTGTGGATGCTTCCAGTGTGTTTGGCGGGCTTTGAAGGCTCCCAGCTACCGACTTTTGGTGGCGATTACGAGGTTTACACAGAGACCTTGCTTCCCTTGCAACGTTACATTTTCCTAAATCTTGTAGGGTGAATGAATGCGTTTAGTCACGGCAACCGCACGTTTAATCCTTTCCAGCGGGTTGCCGAGATTCGGCCACAAATATTTGCGTGCATTTGTACTATGAACATATATATTTTATGTCAGGGAAAATTGCAGTGGCTGATAAGACGCTAAAATTCTGATGAGGAAGGATGCTAAATAAAACCTTAACGCGGATTCCCATCTAAGCGCCTCAGTGTCAGGTGCTTGGGAAACTGACAATCTGTTGATGATCTTAGTAAAACAAGTTTAAGTTAAAAGGGAAAACCAAATTGTCTACAGCTGAGTTAGGTTTCTGAAACACAGATGAAACGCTTTCATATTTGAAGAGCAAAATTGAGCACATTTTAGTAACATTGCTACGGATTATTTTATACTTGGAATATCAATAAGAATTTGACTTATTGTCATAACAACGTTGCAGACACCGCACTTTAAAAGAGAGCCTTTCTAGGAATAAACAAAACTGTAGCCCATTTACTGAGATTTTACTTTTTATTAGAAAATGCCCACTATCCGGAATATGAATGAATGAAATGCAGCTTTTTAACAAAGACATTTCCCTAGGAAGTTGGGTAAACACAATTATACTTTTTAGAAGTGCCTTTTAATTTAATCTTTAGGATGTTCACCCTCTTCTGCAAGATAGAATAATTCCAGGATTTCTTATGCTTGGTAGAGTACTGTTCTGGTGACCGCTGTCAAATTCTTACCAGTTTTGTTTGTTTGTTTAAATTCGAAAGTTACTTCACCTAGTTAACTGAGACATTATTTTTCTAAAAATTGAGATTTAAAACCAGTATAGATGAAAAGCAGGAAAAATTAAAGTTCAAAAATCCATCTTAAGACTTTAAAAGTTTGAACAAGTTTGAACCAATTTGATTTTTTCATTTCAAAATGCTAACCAGGACTTTTTTTAAAAAACGTAATTAGTATTTTACCATAATAAAAGTAATTTCAGGTCATTGTACAAAATTCAGGAGAGAAAACCCTAGAAAACTCTAAAGAAAAGGTCACCTGTAACCTATTCACCCTGCAATAACACCAGTAAACATTATAGAGTCTGCTTTTTCAGACGTTCTCTATGCATATATAGGTAGCTATACAATAAATATTTTTCATAGGATTGCAGTTAAATACTTTCTAAAAGTTAAAAACAAGATCAAATTAATTCTCCTCGATTATTTTCTTTCCAAAGAGCCTTTAAATGTTAAATAACATTAAGTTTGGAGAGCTTTCTTTAAAGGAAATAATATTAATTTTTTAATTAAAATTTTAAATGAACAACCTTAGTACATAAATATTTAAAACCAGAAAACTGAGAAGAATTTTCTCCCATCTCACTATTCTAACATATTGTAGTTTTTTATTCCTCTACATATGAAAATATTTTCACTTTGCTTAGAAATAGAATTTTCTAAGGGAAAAAACAGCATCAATATATAAGTAATTTAGATAAAACCTTTTTGTTATCCAAAAAACAAAACAATACTAAAAATAAAACAGAAAGATAACATTAATAGAGCAATACTTTAGGTAACATTTTTGTGTTGTCTAGAACAACAAACATTTTCAAAACCAAAACCAAAACCAAATTAATAGATAAGAACTTTAAACATATTTTGGATATTTAATATCTATGTGAATTTTGGATTTTCTCAGATATTTATTTCTGGTGTTGACTATTTCTGCCCATTTTGCACAGGGTTGCATATACAGCAAAGAGGAGTTAATGTGTATTATTTATTTTATCAAATAATAACTGGGCTTCGTATTTAGACATTTTATCTATTTTTATGAGAATTTGCTGTAGATCTACGAAGCTGTTGATTTAACACCTATATTTAACTTCTAGTATGTTAAGAAAATTGTATTTCAAAACAAAGTGGGATTTTCACTTGTTAGATAATAACTAGACTTTCTCTTTGGACATTTTACCCATTTAATGAAAATTTGCCATGTATTTATAAAGCTGTTGAATTTACCTTATGTATTTAGCTTAAGTTCTAGGGTTTTAGAAAACGATTTCAAAACAAACTGGAATTTTCACTTGTAAAATAGTAATTGTACTTTCTATTTGGACATTTTATCCCTTTTTAATGACAATTTGCTATAGATCTATGCATCTGCTGACTTACCACATATATTTGGCTTAATTTCTAATATAGAGAAAATATATTTCTAAGCAAAGTAAAATTTTCAGTTGTCAAATAATAACTGGACTTTCTATTTGGACACCTTATTCATTTTTAATGACAATTGCTATGGATTTACGAACCTGCTGACTTACCACCTGTATTTGGCTTAAGTTCTGGTATGGTACGGAAAATTTATTTCTAAGCAAAGTACAATTTCCAGTTGTCAAAGAGTAAGTGGACTTTGTATTGAACATTTTATCCATTTTTACAACAGTTTGCCATAAATCTAAAAGCTGTTGATTTGCTTCATGTATTTTACTTATCCTATAGTATGGTGGATAAATTGCATTTCTAAGCAAAGTGGCATTTTCACTTGTCTCACAGACATTGAAAATAAGGGACAACACCAGAAAAAACTGGTTAGCGACAACCTCAAGGAAATAAAGATAACATGTATCCAGTTTCTAACACTAGTTTTCCACTGGTGAAAATCATGCAGTACACAAAATATTGAAGTAGTGAAGAAATCCTGACTTGTTAAAAAAATTCCCAAGTCAAATATTCAGATTGTTTCTGATTCTAATAAGTGCAGTATTTATAGATCACATTTTCTCCAAAATACCCAGCCACCTTCTTCCTTTTTCTTTTTTGCTAATTATCCATAATCTACCCAAATCCTTTCCTTAAAACTTACCCTTCCATATTCTGTAAACACCTAAATGCATATTCTAACACTTATTTCCTACCTCCAGTGTAAAAAAATGACTCTAGGGGAATTGATGATATGGGTCTGTGTTCGTTAGAAATTCTTGGGCTGGAGGGGAGATCGCTTAGTCCATAGCTTCACAGAAATATCAATATGATGGCTGTTTTCTTTCTATCCCTCTCAACCTCCCCAGCAGAGACAGACAGACAGACAGATGTGAGGAGCATACATAGACTAACGCACACTCCATTCAGGCTTTTTCTAAACTTCGGAATCCAGTTCTCCAGTCTGTTATCTCCCTGATTTCCAGAAATATTAAGCCTAAAGTAGCAGTACGAGAAACAAAAAAAAAAAATAATAAAGAAGAAAAAGCCAATGTTTCTAGGTATCAATAAGTCTTTTCAAGTGAATATGTTTCTGATTCAAGTTTTCAGGTTGATAGGATCAGATAGAGTCTCAATGCTCTTAAATGCTATTTCACATGGATTGCTTCCAAGCCAAATTCTCTCTTCATAATTCCCAGTGTTTTAAATTCTGTAACCGTATTAAAGACAGTATTAAGTAAAAAACAAATCTCCAGTTTCCACAGACTGACTCTGGAACAACCATTTCCATTGATGTTGTATCCCTTCTAGTCTTTGTTCTGTGTACATAAATATTTGTATATAATTATAATTTTAATATGTATAGATTTCTTACACTTTGTTTTGAAAGATAAGTTAATCCTGCTTTCTGCAAAGCATTTGTCAAGGATGCAGGATGCTCTTGTGTATGAGGTGGTGTGCAGATTAATTAGCAGTATTGCTGTGTGAGCGGGAGGCAGACTGAACCAGCACCGGCGAGGTGTATACGTTCTTGGGTTTGCGTCAGGGTATCGTCCCTGGTTAAGGATCATAAGCCTTTGCCCTGAGTTTTGTCTTCCTCAGCATTTGTACGAATGACTTTGATGAAGATCTAAGAGGCTTGCTTTAAAATCCATGGATTAATTGAAAAGGGATAGCTGTTAGAAATAGGTAACAATTTAGAGTTAACATGGTTTTTAAGTGGGCTGCAATGCTGTGCTGAAAGCAAAAAAATATTTTATAGTAGTAAATGCATCATAATTCATTGGTATGGAAGTATGGAGATGACTTTGTATGGTGGCAGTTCTTTAGGAAAATGAAGGTTATTATGAACCAGTGGCATGATATGGTTGCAAAAGAAAAAAAAATTAGTTAGGTTCTGGTAGTAGTATAGTGTCCATATGTCACAAAAATTAATAGTACCCTGCTCTAATCAACCACATCTGTAGTATTGTGTCCATTTCTGGCTGTCACATTTAAAGAGAGATTTTGACAAATTAGACAACTTCCAGAGCAGTCCATGGGGATGTTGAAGGGTCTGGCAATCCTGTCATGGGAGGTATCCTCACAGGGTCTGGAAGTGTTTAACTTGAGAAGACTAAACAGTCAACATGAACTCTCTGATGTTTGCTTCGGAAAGTAGAACTAGCATCGGTGGGTTAAAGGTACAGATAGATTTCAACATGAGGCCTTCCTAACATTGCAGCTCAACAAAACAATCAACTTTATTTATTCTGTTCTTTAAATATCAGAAATATTCACCTTTCTTGCAATGAATATTTAACTTGAAGACCTTGATAACATTTTAGTGTAGACCTGAAAGATAATTGTGATGAGAACATTTTATTTTTCTGATAAACTGTCTAAATAGCCCTATGTGTTGCAAGTTCATTTCTTACAACTTGAAAATAGCTGCAACAGGGTAATTTAACACACACCCTCCTATCTCTCCCATTCTGTTTCAAACATGAAAACCTGAGAAGAAGATGAAAGATTCCTTTTCCCCCTGCAAAGTGTCTTAACTTGCTTAATTTGCTTCCTAGAATTACTCTTTCCTGGAATTTCTTGCTCTGTCCAAGCAGGCTACTGGGGCTGAGTGGCCGTGGATGCCGAGGGTACCTAGGGCTAGAGGGGGCAGGCTGGCTGCTGGAGCTCAGCTGCCTCTTCTCCAGAGGGAAATAGGGTCCCTTCTGCAACCTCCCCTCCCTTGTGATGTATCTCCCTACAAAACTTAACAGTTACAATTTTTAGCTTTTACATAGCAAAATAAAATATTTTTATCAAATGTTTTTAACTTCTGTCTGTTTCAGGTTAGCCTGGTTTCTGCCTGGCTGAAGGGCACATTCTTAGTGTCTCAAACATGTCTTGAGGCAGATTTTTCTTTCCTGTATGGTGATCTGCCTATTGATTGTTTATTTGGGTTAGTATATCAAACTTTGAAAATATGATTTCTTAAAATGAATTTGTGGATTATATAGGGCTTCCTTACAGGACCCCTTTTGTGAGTAGTTTCGGATTCTACAAAAGCTATTTTTATACCCTGGAGTTATTAGTTCTTGCAAACTAAGAAGTCCAATGAGAGAGGTGAAGAAATGATAGAAAAATTCTTCTGTCATATTTTCTAACTTTTCCCTGCAGCTTTCACTTCTGCCTCACACTTAGAACTTTCTCCTCCACTCCAGTTGTTAGGTCAGAAATGCAGTCACTTTCACTCTGACTGTATGAAGTATATTTCTAATGTTGAACAACTTTCTCTTTTCCTTATTCTCTCTTTCATAGAAGGGCCCCATGCACTTTTGTGGGATTGTAATAATGCAAACAGCAGTTTGAGATGGCTTGCATCCCTGTTGTTGAAGATGCCACGGGCGTTCTTGGGCTGAGTTCATATTTCCAAGACAGAAAAGCTCAAAGATGAGTTTCTGGCTTGTCAACGCTCAGCTGATCTACAGGCGGCTACTTGTAATTCCTTGAATGCAGTGCTTGCTTGCTCTGGCTCTGGCTCCCCTGCTTTGGAAGTAATAATCCCCAGTGTCTACATTTTAAAACTTAAAGATGTTACCTTGGGAAATAAATAGGTAGCCTCAAAACATTAGTTGCTGGCATGATTATTGTTATATTCTTGGAAACAATATGTTAGTAAAAGCTACAGTGCTGTTTTCTTCTTCGGTCACTCTTTGGTAGAATTTTATTTTATTTTTTGTATCTTCATGTAAGAATTTTTGTGCAATGTTTATGCAATAGCAGTTTAAGTGCATTTGATTATTTAAAAACCACGCATGTTTAGCACATTTCACTTTGTATCTAATTGTCTTAGACTAATCAATTTTTTGGAATAGATCTTTGGCATCCTGTACCACGGGAATCGCCATGGTATCTGTTGTGACATGTACGCAGACTCTTTTCTGATAAATGAAGCCGCTCATTTAAAAAATGTATAGGAGTTAGGCAGCTCTGGTATGAATTCTTTCCCATTCTTTAGCTTTTCACTTCCTTATCTGATCACCACTTTGATTATTATGGAGATTTGGGGTTCGCTGCAAATTTGAAAGAAGGGATCACAGTAATTTTCTTACAGCAGTTAAAGTGGAATATTTGTTACCTATTTCTTCAGCAGTATGCATGGAAGTATAGTTGCTCTTTTACCTTGGAAAGCAAAATAAGAGAAAAAATAGCCCTGAGGTTTTTTGTTTCTCCTTCTTAGCAAATTCATGTTTCTTGCTGTGCAGTAAAATGACATTGGCTTTTCTCTTCTATGAAATAGTTAATCAGTGTAGCACTTTTAACATCTTTCATTTTCTGTAGTTACTGGGTTCATTCTCATGAAAGACCAGTACTGCCGAAGTAGAAACAGAACAGATGACTACATGTGCTTATCAGAATTTGAAATGTACAGTATTATTTTTCATCTAACCGTTTTACTGCTAGAAGTCTAGCTTAGAGATATAATGGTGAAGGTGCTTCAAAGATACAGATAAGGATTTTTATTATAGTGTTGATAATCATAATAAGAAAACTAGAAAAAATCCTGGTCATCTTTACTAATTAGTAATTCTTTTTTTTTTTTTTTTTTTTTTGGAGACAGAGTTTTGTTCTTGTTGCCCAGGCTGGAGTACAATGATGAGGTCTTGGCTCACTGCAACCTCCGCCTCCCGGGTTCAAGTGATTCTCCTGCCTCAGCCTCCCAAATAGCTGGGATTACAGGCACCCGCCACCAGGCCCAGCTAATTTTTTTGTATTTTTAGTAAAGACGGAGTTTCACCACGTTGGCCAGGCTGGTCTTGAACTCCTGACCTCTGGTGATTCTCCCACCTCAGCCTCCCAGAGTGTTGGGATTACAGGTGTGAGCCACCACACCTGGCCAGTAATTCCTTTATTCATTCATTTTTTTGAGTGTTGACTAGTTTTGAGACCCCATGCTGGATGCTAGGGAATACACAGCTCGGCTATCGTGGAACTTTTTACACTAGTGGGGTTGACAAAGAACAGGGTTTTTTTCAAGATTATTTGATTAATCAAACAATTACACATATAAATGTGCCCTTAAAACTATGGTAATTGCTATGAACCTGACTAGAACTTGTAAGTAGAGGATTTGGCCAGATAGGGGGTTTAAGGAAGGCTCTTCCAAGGAAGTACTCAGATCTTAAGGATGAGTAAATATTAGTAAGGAGGGACGGTATATATGAGGTAAAAGGAAGACCTCTGTAGAGGCCCTGGGGCAGGTTGAATATGGTCAACAGAAAGTGCTAAAAGAAGTCCAGTGGCGTTGGAGCAGTAAAAGGGTAAGCACAATGTTAAATGAGGCTAGACAGGAGGTCAGGGAACAAATTTTGCAGGACCTGGTAGACAACCTTAAAGGATTTAATCTTTATACTAAGAGCAATGGGAAAATCTTTGCAGGGATTTAACCAGGACATGATCAGATCTGCATTTCAAAAAGAGCACTTTAGCTGTTTGTGAGGAAAAGGTTGGAGGGGTCAGAATAGTTTGCAGCAGACTAGTAAGCTCCTTTAGTAATTGAGGATAGAGTTGATGACCTTGTGGGCTAGCGTGGTGATGGGGAGATGAAGATAGGAGGGATATTTTAGGGGGTAAAAACCAACAGAAGTGAGTGTTGCATTGAATTTGGTGCTAAGTTTGTCGGGAGGAGATTTCAAGGATGATTTCCAGATTTCTGTCATCTACATGAGGACAGATGGTGGTGCCACACACAGGATGAAGAGGGCTGGAATAGGATCAGTTTTTAAGGGAAAGAGTATGGGTCCTAGTTTGGACAAGCTTAGTTTGAGGTGATGATAAATAAATTATGATTGAGACACATAGCAGAAAATGATGTAGCCTTAAAATGTGCTATCATGTAAACATGTTCAAGATATATTCTAAGTGAAAAAATGTGATCATATTATGCAAAAAAGAGCACGGTATGTGTTTTTGTGTGTACACACATAGAATATGGAAAGACACGAGGACGATTAAGGGTAGATACGCTAGGCAGTGACATTGGTGGGATGGCAACAGGGATATGAGGGAGAACATTTATATTTTGTACCCTCCTGGTTATACTATTGGAAAGTATAGTACAATGAGAATGTATGGATTTTTATAATTAAGGAAATTAATAACAATTTAAAGCAAACATACAATATAAGAATATTTCTTTTTTAGAGGTTACTTAGTTGGAAAGAGCATGTGAGCATTGTTATATTTTTTATTGTGAACAGAAATTTTTCCTGCAGCTTTACGTCCCTAACCCAATAGCTCATACACTTGGCTTTTTAATCCTTTTCCACTAGATTGCACTATTACACTAGATTTTATAGTGCCTGTATACTGTTTTGTATTCTGCTTTTCACTAATTTTATTATTTTCACAATAGTCCAACATTGTGCAAGTGAGGACATTAAATTGTAATGGTGCATATAACTGTTGCTTATATGCATTGTTTTTGTTAAAGTTTCCACTGGTGTTCCTGTTTCATCTGAGATATATAGTTCTGTTCCCATGAGTGGAAACCCAGACTTATCTTCTCAGGCTATTTGAGCAAAGGAGCAGAAAATACCAAGAGAAGTGAGTAACCTTCTCTTCTCCATTAACTATTCTGTCAAACCAAAACTTCTTATATTGAACGTTTAACTTTCCACTCAATTTTGATATTGTGTTTAATGCAGTTGAGTCTTGCTCACACATAACTTTTTGCTTTTGCTGCATTGCTTCCTCTGAATAAATATCTAAAAGCTTATGAGAGTCAGAATATAAATATCGATGTAATTCATTTCTTACTACATCAGGCTTCCCTCAAAAGGGTTAAACTGCAGCCCTCAACTTGGCTAAGTGCAGAGAATGAGGATTGGCTGAGATGCCATCTTTTTAGTCCTTGGACAACGAGTGTAGTGGAGTTTGGTATGGCTGTCGCCTCTTCTGAGTAGCCTCTACAGTTGACTCTACTATATATTTCTATAGAATATCATTTTTCATATGTGTCATGATTGTGGAAAAAAATGAGAGTGCAGTATTATTATATAATGCCACCTGTAGTGATGATAGTTTTTTTTCATTTGAAGATATATTTTTAAAAACGATTGTATTTAAAGAAATCCAAAATTTTCTTCAAATTAGTTGAAGAGTAAATGTAATAATAGTTTTCATTTTTGGGGGACATCATTATATGCTAGGCATTCTTCTAAAGTTCTTAAATACATTATGTCATTTAATACTCAACAGTATGTCACTGATATGGGTACTATTCTATTCCAGATGAGGCACAGAAACATTGAGTAGCTTGCCCAATGGACAAAAATTAGGATTTGAACCCAGACACTGTCTGTAAAGACTGATGTTAAACACTACCTTTCTGTACTACAGTTTTATTTCACTCTAAAGTCTCTTATATCTAATTTTTTTAGCTTCTTCTGGCATTCTTCATTTAAAGCCTTGCTGTAACATTTCTTTTAGGATTATCTTTTCCCAACTCCTTTCAGAGGTTGGGGTAAACAGTCCTCCTCAGTAAAGCCATTTTTTTCCCCATAGGTTCCAAAACTTAAAGCTTTCTTCTTTCAACAAATTGTTTTTGTTCTTGTTTTGGTGCCCATAGTGCATGAGATTAATTTCCACTGCACAGTAGTAGCATAGTAATGGTGATGGGAACTTTGGCTTTATATATGAAAAAATATATATAAATAAAAATGTGTATATCATTTTGTGTAAGTACATTCTTTGACTGCACAACAAAATCACCTAACAATGCATTTCTCAAAAAGTATCTCCATTATTAAGCAATGCATGACTGTATTTGGGGGTAGTATTGATGTGTTCATGACATAGACTTTGCAGTCAACCACGAAATGGGTTAAAAATTCAACTCTGCCACTTAGTAAACATAAGACCTGGGGTGAGTTAACATAATTTTCTTAAACTTGGTAGTCTCATTGTAAAATAGAGTGAATACTGCCTACTTAACATAGTCATTGTAAGGATTACATTAGTTAATATGTGTACAACCCTTGGTGTAGTATCCAGCACTTAGTATTTAAGACATTGTAGCTAAAGAAAAGTAATGGCCAACTTACATTTTTTAGAGAGAAAAATGTAAAAATAATGTTTTGATGTAGGAAACAATTTTAAAAGAAATGAGGAGAATTGCATAAAAGAAGGGAAGAGAAAAATGTAGAGGGTCAGGGAGCAGCGTAACAACTTGGATGGGGATGGTAAGAGAAGGGAAGGGATGCCGGACACGTGAGCTATATAACCAACTTCTGAAAACAAAGTCTTTCATCCCCCTTACAGTGGAATATGAAAGAGACAAATGAAGTAGTGGACAGAGAAAGACTTGACAGTTTGCTTTTAAGGTGAGTATGATAATCAGATTAAATTTCATTTGGCATATCCGGCTGTTTACTTGGACAGTGATGTCTGAATAAGTTATTATTTATTATTTCCCTTCCTTGATATTCTGATTAGCTCATCAGCAATCAGTCACTATTCACAGCTCTTCAATTACTTTTATTAAATAGCAATCCTCTCCTCCCCCAGTCAGCAAATTATTCAGGTTTGGGAAACAGTAATATCTCTTCAGAGAGTGCTTGCCCCAGGCCAGATGAAATGTAGTCATGCCGCTACAAGACTCAAAATGAATCATGGAATCTTAAGACAAACTTTAACTGTCATATGGTTTCTAGGGAAGGTGAAGGCATGCCAGCCACCTTTGGATTAATTTAGGCTTTGATGATTTAGAAGGGGGAACATTGAAAAGATGATTAAATTATGTACAGTGATATCCTGGCTAATTGTGTGAATGCCTTCTTAGCTTGGGCTTTGTAAATGCAAGATGCATATGATGTTTTGTTTTTGTGTTTATGAACTAGAGTAAAACTCACACCCAGATATAATTGTAATGTAGATTACCATGAACCTGGTGAGCACAGTGGCGTTCTCTTCCTTTTAAGATTCCTGAGGATAGTCCAGTGTCTTTGGAGGATGTCCAAGAACCAGTCTCTACAAGGTTGACATATCTTTACACATTAGATTTAATCTTGAAAAGTTGTAGGTAGGATACATATTTTAAATATTGAGTCATATTTTTCCGTCCTAGAGAAATCCATTCTCACATAAAAAAATGCATTGGTCCTTTTCTAATGAAAATTAAACTTTAAAATACTAGCCTTTTTCAATGAGTATTCTGTACTTGTCAATGTACAGAATACAATACTTTTCTATACAAGAAGTTAGTCAAGTGGATCCATGATATTGGACACACAATTAAAAATAAATAGTTATTTCCCTATTATTAAAGTTTCTCCCTCAATATGTGGGACTTGGTTTAAGCACATCATTCGTGGCATCGTGTCTTGCCTTTAGTGATATTGCCTGGGGAGTAGAGCCATAAAACATTGTCCTTTTATTGGGATTTATTGGACTTCAGTCTTCTGTGGTCAAAGTAGGACTTCATCTGGATCAATACAAACTTTTAAAAAATGAATGTGTTCAAAAGCAGTGCTGGCCTTGAAATACAGCAATATCTGTGTGTTGTGTTTAAACTATTCTACCCTGCCTCTCTGTTTAAACAATTGAGACACCAATTCAATTTGCTTTTTGAATCCTGTAAAAGCCAACTAGACTGCCCTTATGCAGGACCTGGAAAGTATGAGCAATGATGCATTGATTCACTAGCCAAGGACATGTAGTGGTGTTAAATCTTATGCTGGGTTAGTAGGATTCTAAAAGCAAGAGTGTAAGAAAAAATTCCATAGACCTAAAATTATCCTAGTAAATCCTTTAAATAGCCCATAAGGTATAATATGTGTAATTTTGTATATAAAACTCTGAACAATAATTCTTATGCACAACATAGTCTGAGAACCACTGAGCTAGAATAAAGGAAGGAACAAAAGAGAAGCTGCCTGGGCACTCACCCCATTCTTTCTTTATGGTAACTACCCAGTTCATGGAGAAATGGAGAGTTCTATAGAGTGTCTGCTTGCCTGCAGGATTTACTTCATTATGCTTTAAGATTAAGCCCCTATAATCTTCAGACACATTAATAGATGATTTGGTTTTGTAAGGATTGAATTAGACAGTATATGTGAAAGTACCTTGCTCAGGAGCTGGTGATGGGAAGCAGTTAAATCTAAATGTTGCTTGTCATATCCACAAATACATTGTTCTTTGGAACATTGTAGAGAAGAATTTGGCCACCTGTTTCTTGTCCTTCTAGTTGGGATATTCCACTATCCAGCAAGGTCTTGCATGTTTTTACAAATTGGTTGTACCTGTAAATCAGTTGGAGGTTGGAATGGGTAGGGTTTTCAGGTAATAGTTTATATTTCTTTGGGTTCTGTAATGGCTCCTCTGTCTTCTAGAGTTCACAGTTTTGTATGTGAATTACCTGACGGAATTGTGTAACCCATCTACCTAGACTCTCCATGGTGGAGTCATGAATATGTGTTTTAGAATTTTTTACTATGTATATTTTGGGGGTACATGTGAATATGTATTTTGGGGGAGCTGCCTACGTGCTTCCTATGTAACCAGCATGTTGCTTTTGGAACATAGCCATCAGGAAAAACCCTGGGGGTGGAGTATTTTGCCACAAGAGACTATTAGCATTTCTGATCCTGTTTTAGCTTAAATTATTGGGAAATGCCTCCTGTATTATTCATCTGGATTTAAAAATACATAACTTCCGTTATTAAATAAGCCATTTATTAGAGAAATTCATAAGATTGGTCATTTAGTAGATAAAATTAATATTCTTAATTTGACATATATTTTAAATTGAATACAAATTCAGTAGCTTATTTTGGGGGGTGCTGTGGATTTTGATTTGTACTCCTAGGTGTCACTGACATGATCACCTGAGGTTTTGTTTGTTTTTAATAACCTGGGTTTAACAACTTTTTAAAATTTTAATTATGGATATGTAATAGTTGTACATATATAAAGGGTGCCTGTGACATTTTGATACAAGCATACAATGTGTCATGATTAAATCGGTAGCCTCGGTTTTAGCCGGTTGCAGTGGTCCCAGCAGTGGTTGTAGTCCTAGCTACTTGGGAAGCTGAGGTAGGATGATTGATTACTTGAGCCCAGGAGTTCTAGTCCAGCCTGGGCAACATAGTGGACCCCATCTCTAAAAACACTACTACTACTACTAATAATAATAATAATCTGGGTTTTGAATTGTATTCTTTTCTCATTTTGAAGGGTTGGATTTTTCATAATTTAGCTTAAGTTCAGATTTTTACTGAAAATTCAGTTTGAAAAGGAAATATGCCTTTTACTTCTGATTTATTAAGGTGGGGAGCTCTTTTAAAGTTAAGTTTGCTATACTCCACTAACTGTTGCTGTCTTCACTTTCCTTTCCTTTTCTCATGCCCAAAGTATTTTCCTTACTTCCACATGCTTGGTCCTACCCATTCTACCTTTTCTTGGATTGTATCTTATCAGTTATGCTCCTGTTCTTTATCCTTAATCTCTTCCCCCCTTACATCTTTTCCTCTATTTAGATACAAAATATGTCATCCCTACTAAAATAACCAACCTTCTGTCCACCTTGCTACTCTTCAGTCTATCATTTGATCTTTTTGCTTCCCTATTCTGACCAGTGTTCTTGAAAGATTAACTGTAATTTCTGCATCTACATCTTGACCTTTTGCAGTTTGGCTTCTACTCTCACCACTTTATCAGAACTCCACTTTCAAGGAGTCACCAGTAACTTCTCACTTTTCAAATCTAGCAGTCTTTTCTAAGCTCTCATCCTCTTTGACCTTTTTGCAGTAAGTGAGGATGTTGATCACACTCTCCTTCTTGACATCTCTCTTCTGTTGGCTTATGTTACTCTTCAGACTTCATTTTTCAACCTCTGTGACTGCTTCTCTCTTTCTTTGCTGAATCATCCTCTGCTTTTGATATGTTAATGTATTTATTAACATGTTGTTTTGCTTTTGCTGTCCCTCTTACCTTTTGAGCATTCTTTCTTACTGCATTTCAGGTCCAGAAGTTAGGACAGGCCGGGTGCAGTGGCCCACACCTGTAATCCCAGCACTTTGGCAGGCCGAGGTAGGCGGATCACCTGAGGCCTGGAGTTCGAGACCAGCCTGCCCAACATAGTGAAACCCCATCTCTACCAAAAATACAAAAATTAGCCAGGCATGGTGGTGCATGCCTGTAGTCCCAGCTACTCCAGAGGTTGAGGCTGGAGAATCTCTTGAACCCAGGAGGCGGAGGTTGCAGTGAGCCGAGATCACGCCACTGCACACCAGACTGGGCAACAGAGTGAGACTCCATCTCAAAAAAACAAAAACAAAAAACAAACAAAACAAACACACAGAAGCTAGGACAAATCCCATGGGCAGTTCTTGGGCTGAGCTGAATCCACAAGGAACTTACCTAAAGTAGCCCAAGGGAGAATAGGATGGAGAGCCAATATTGTAATCAGAAAAAACTGGTGCCCAAATCTATCATGTCTAAAATGTAAGGGTGAAAAATCAGAGAGTAGACAGCAGATTGGCAGTTTGGATGGTGAAAAACAGGATCAATAAGAACAGGAACATATATTTGCTCCAGATCACTTTCTATGTAAGAGCCTGATGTATGTGTTACCAGGGACATGGTATCTTTAAGGAATCACACTAGGGCTTTGGCTTCAATAATCATTTCTCTGGAGAAGAACTTTAAATCTGTATGTGAAGCCCCATTACATTATCTTCTTCTTCTCAGATAGTTTCACCTAGATGTCCAACTAGTACCCTAAGTTTAACATATCCTGAATCAAATTAATCATCTTTCTCTTGAAACTGACTTTTCTGAGGTTCCTAAAGTATTGCTATTCTATGTCATTCTAGATAAAAAATTCAAAGGCGTCTTTGATTCTCCTTTTATCCCTGCACCTAGCAGTTTGAAAAAGTATTGTCAGTATTATCTCCATTATCTCCATGTCAGTATTATCTCCATTACAAGGTGTCTTGTAATTGGCACCACTTTTTGTTTCCTTGTGCTTCACCCTGACTGCTATCTGACACTCTTGCAGTAGCCCCTACTTAGTATTCCTTAACCCCTATGCTAGTCATTGCTGCCAGTGTGAGGAAAATTCAACTGTGAATTTAAAAGGTACTTTAAACTTAACAACATTCCTAGCCAGAGATAATTGCTTCCCCATTAGTGTTCTTATAGCACGTATGCTTTCTACCATTTGTGTGTATAATTAGTATGATTTATTATATATGTGTGTGTGTATATATGTGTATGTATGTATATGTATATGTACATGAATTGCCAATCCCCATAGATTGTAAGCTCCTTCAGGGGCAGGAACTATGCCTTGGTTGTCTTGTATCCCCACATACTCCTTGTATTGACATACAACAAATATTTGCTGACTAGAATTAAACAGTTAGCTGGGCTGGAAGGAATCTGATCCCAGTTAATTGTAGGTGATCTGTGACAGTCATTTTAAAAAATCATGACATTAATTTCATTTTTTTGTACATTTGTTTTATTCTGAAAAGCTTTTTTATTAAGCTGTGCTGATGGCATAAATGGAACAGTTAACTGGAAGACCAGACAGGCCAACAATTTTATTATCAGCAGAAAAATGGCTGCTGGGATGAAAGATGGTGAGTTTAGGTTGTAAATCTAAATCCCTTTGGGGGAGCCAATTAAATGTCTGCTTCCAATAGTCTCTTCCCTTTTTTAGTCATGTGTGGCTTTTTGTTGTTGTTGTTAGTAAGTCTGAAAAACTAAAATTTTGTTTTCCTAATCTTCTAAAACTTCTGTTTTAGATCCCGTGTGTTCTTATTCCATTATTTTTCAAGTCCTCTTCCTTGGCTGTAGCTTTGCCCTTTTTAAAGAAAAACTAAAAACCATTCCTATGTTTTTAACTTACCTTTTATCCAGTCACTAGCTTGCCACTTATAAAAATTGTCCTACTGTGGTTACTATAACAAGTTATTTATAATACTGAAAAACGTACATTTAACATGTATCATTTTAAATAGCAGTATGTAACCTTGGAAAAACTCATATTTTGGTTAATTTTGGATGATTCTTGTTGCAAAACCAAATTGATATGTTTTGCTATTACTTAGTGGCACTTGTTTTCTATTGGAAAGATGACTTGACCTGTAAATGATTGATTGATCCTTCTAAATTTTTCTTCAGTATCTATAAATGTGACCATCAGCAATATTCCAGGACCTTTGAAATAACGCATTTCATTATGGAGAAAAGGCATTACTTAACAGTCAAAATATTAGTTGTTTTCAAAATACCAGTTACCATTATGAACTTGCACTTAATATTTCTTTTTTTTTTTTTTGGCTTTATGATCCTTCACACAGAATATTAACTACATGTGTTCATGAACCTCAGCAGAATAGTAGTTTCTCTAACTTCGGAGCAACCAAAATGTCTATAAAAATAATAGTAATATTAAAATGTTTTGAAAAGAACAGTAATTTTATGTGATAAGATGATAATGCCAGATGAAACCTGCTGGGTACTTGTAGGATTGATTCCTGGCTTACTTCATTTTCTTCATACATCTCTGAAGTTGGGCATCACTAACATTTTTATAGCTGGAACCGAATTATTCTTCAGCTGGACACTTCTACCCCCAGATCTCTTTCACAATGGGACAAAGTTTCCCAACATCTATTTTCTCAAGTGACTTTGAAACAAACCTACAAATACCTGTGTATTTCTAAGGAATTTTCCTTGCTAAGATCTGTAAGAAAACATAGAGTTTCATACAAATAACTTCTCATGAAAAGATCACAAAAATTTGTTTTAAAAAGCACTAGATGCACTTGTTCCAGGACACAGGCCCATGATCTCATAGTTCTTTTCCCCACATTCTCTTTAGATATTGCCATCAGATTCTCCCAAGTTCCTTCAAGGGAATCACCCCTGATTACACCCTTATCTGGCTGGTTTCTTGAGCAAGCTGAGGGCCATCGGCTTCTTTGACACAGTCACTCTTCCTTTTTTCTAATCTATTTTCTGGTTATGGGTCCCCGGTGTCCTTCACTGTTGCAGTCTGCACTGCACTTCTGCTCTGTCATCTCCAAAGGACTTGGGACATGCCCTGGTTCCTTGTGCCTCACCGAGGATCTCTGAAGACTCTTCCTCTGGACTTCACATCATTTTTCACTAGATTGCAGTCATCCCTTTTCTTCAGTCTTTCCTCTTTAGCTTTGATCCCTGGAACCTCTGTTCTCTCTGAGCATGCCTCTCTCTCCTCTTGCTGTTTGATTTCCAAAAACAAAAAAATACTCTCTCAACAGCTGCTGCACTCAGCAGAGTCATCTATTATGGTGCTGTTCTCAGGGAAATGCATTTCAAGACCTTGACATATAGTGTCATCTAGAATCTCTAAGAGACGCCAGTCTCTTCCTGTTTCAAACTTCATACTGTCATTGAACCTCACACTGATTTTCTCCTTGGGACCCAAGAGATAACTAGAGTTTTCAGAATAGAAATGATCCCTCCATCTTGAATCTACTGAGGTAAAGAGTTTCGATTATCACATTTTCTTATTTCTTCAGTTTAGCTTGATCTCATCCTTTAGATTATTTTTCTTTCTTCTCATCCTATTTATATCCTATCATTATAGTTCTGAATTATCAAGATACCTTATACAGGGAGTAAGTTTTGTCAACTGTATGAGGAGAATTGTTTCATCACTTTTAAAATTATAATAACAAATACTAGTAACTTGTATGGCAAGGCCATTTTAAATGCTGTCTCAGATATAGAATGTTCTTTGAGATGTTCTTGACCATGAATCCCAGTCATCTCTTTTAGAAAATTTCAAGAGAGCACAAAAGATGATAGGATCATTTATATATAAAATAAATTTGACAAATATATGTTTTGTGTAGCTTTTTTTTTTTTTTTGAGATGGAGTTTCGCTCTTGTTGCCTAGGCTGGAGTGCAATGGTGTGATCTCAGCTCACTGCAACTTCCTCCTCCCGGGTTCAAGTGATTCTCCTGCCTCCTGAGTAGCTGGGATTATAGGCACCCACCACCACGCCCTGCTAATTTTTTGTATTTTTAGTAGAGATGGGGTTTCACCATGTTGGCCAGGCTGGTCTTGAACTCCTGACCTCAGGTGATCTGCCCGCCTTGCCCTCCCAATGTGCTGGGATTATAGGCGTGAGCTGCCAGGCCCAGCAAAGAATATTCCAATTCTTAGCTAAAGCGGTAGGATGGTACTTCTTCTGTAAATAGGATTCTAAGGAATTTGAATGCCTTAACTTTTGACATTCTACCTCAGCACCCAGTAAGTGGTTACAAAAGCAATAAGGAATACTCCAGATATGGACTATGGAATCTCTTCTTTTTTTCCCTGGAATGGGAGTAGGGGACCTACTTGAGCAAGCTGAGGGCCATCAGCTTCTTTGACACACCCACTCTTCCTTTTTTCTATTTTCTAGTTATGGGTCCTATAGGCTTGAAGCAGTCACTTAGTCCCTCTACGTTCAATTTTGTTATCTATAAAATGGACTGAACTCTCCAAGAGAGCAAATGCATGCAAACTCTGATTGTTAGTAACTGTCAGGAATCCTGGGTTAAGTAGGAGGCAGAGGCCATATGCAGGTAGGAAATAATGTTATGATCTGTCTCTTAATAAAGAAATATATTTGGCATGCCCAGACAGGATGACATATAAAGCTCTTTTCAATGTAGCATGCTATGACACTAAGCTTATTGATCACCAATTAGCAATGGTTTGCAACCTTTTTCCGATTGACATTTAAAAAACACACACATGAAATCACACAATAATCAAGATGTTTAGTTCCACTTTGGAAAAACTGAAAGTAAGTGGTTTTAGTTGGGGAAAATATCATGAAGAAACTCTTCTGCTTTTTTGTAGAAGATTCAAGTAATGGTTTCCTCTCCTACTTCATGTAAAGAAAAGTGGCCATATCTCCTAGAGAAATGAAGTTTACAAAGACACTGTAATGCCTTCTTAGTGATGGATTCCACAGCCAAGGCATGGACTATCTGTGACTGAAAAAAAAACAATAGCTGGCCAATGCCAGATGAATGGCCTGCAGTACTTTGATGTTGAGTGAATTAAAGGTGAAGGGCAGACTGCTGAGAAAAGCTTTTGATTCAAAGCCAAGATTCATAAAGTTGTATTGATAAAACACAAGGTAAATCTTAGTGAGAAAAACAAAAACAAAAACAGGTTGTCTAACTGGCTGGATATTGATCTCTCTTAAAATATTTCTCTACAGCAATTACCTGGCTTAATAATTAAATTTCAATTTGACTGTAGTAACAACATGTTAAAAAAATAAATTAGAAAGGAATCCATAAATGTATCAGGCTATGCAAACTTTGAAATGAGTTCTTTTGATGCAGAGACAGCAAGTGAGATTTGCCTCTTGTTCAATTCCTATGTATACAGGGACTCTGAATCTCATAAAGAGTTTTTAGATGTTAAAACTATAAAATATGAGACGAGAAGTATTATTTTTTGTCAGTACTTAACATTTTTAATTATCAGGGATGATGATACCTAGTTGCTTAGGCAACAATTTATTTTAAAAGATACAGCAGATAGGTGGCTGTTTAGTACTCTCTTTGTATCCTCAACATACCTTAAAACCTTCTTAATCATTCTTATCCAAAACATTTTTTTAGATAATACTTACTGTTAAGGCAATACTTAAACTAAGTTCAAATTACTTGAACAACTAATTTCCTAGCTGTGAAATATATACTATCATATTTAAATAATTTGAACTTAGTTAAAACACCTTTGCGATGCTTCCCAATGAACAGCTTCCATCTTCAAACTCTTCATGTGAGAAACAAATTGATAAAATTGAAATGCTTTTAGAAATAGACTTTAATTGCTTATTAATAAGTTACTTATTAATTATATTGTGTTATAGTATCTTAGGCTGATTTAGCTATAACTAAGGGCAACATATCATTTAATCCATAGATCTCTTCGTTTAAATTGTGCAGTGTATTTCCCACATATCGAATATGTAAGTGTTTTATACAATGCATTCAATCCATTTTTTATTTGACAGTTCACAGTTATGTAATATATGGGTTGAATTAAGACTTTCAATTGTACACCTATTTATTTGTGAATGTATTTTATAACAGAGTTTCTGCTGCCATCACCTTAAGTAATGGCTCTCTCTCAAGTATAGTAAGATCATCTATTCAGAAGTGTACTGCGTCAACTAAGAACTAGGAAATACGCCACAAAAGAGTCTTTCGGCAGCCAAAATAGATGCTGCGAATGCAGGCTCCTGTCTTTTACATCTAGCAGAGCCCTATGTGTGTTAAACAGCACGCATTTGTTTTTACTTCAATGTGCAACCCTGCCTCATTTGGTAGTCTGGTTTCTAAACCTGCAGCCGATTAATAACAGCAAATTAGAGGGGATAGAGAAGCTGCTATGGGAAACATACTGATAGCAATGAGAAATGACAGCTGACAACTTGTCTACAAAAGAGAAAACAAAATCTGTAAAACACACAACCTTAAAAAGCATTAGCAGACTGGGACCCACAGTGTGATCGGTAAATGACAAGGCAACCAAACAGTCCATACGGGTATCACCGTATAATAGAGCAGAGTGCAACAATTGATGTACAAAATGATGATCTTATACCATCATGAAAAAGAATCAACTGCAGAGTACTTCAGAAACATCAGCTCTGTGGAACAATTCATTTCATGTGGTTCTGGTAAACTGAGATTTTATTAGATCCTTGTAAACCTTAAAAATTAGAAAATGATGATATAAATGGACATTTTAAAGTGATTAGTTTATTAATAAAGCATCTATAAGAGAGACCTAAACATACTGGGTACCTAATCAAAGTCACCCGGACATAAATATTGACAATACTTTATGACTTTCTTCTCAAAGATTTCAGAAGACAGATGGCTTTAAGATTTAAAACTAGCTCAAACTTGCAGGGTCTTATACTCAGTTGTTATTTTATCTTTATAGCCATGTAATTGTTCTTGGTGATGCAGAAAAAGAACTGGCAAGTGTTCTCTGGACATTTTTGTAGTGAAGGGGCTGTGTGTGTGCCTGTGCTTATGCACATGCCATTAAGAATAATCATTGTGAGAATTGTGAAGTTATATGCTGTGGATTCATTGGCAGCGTACCACCATAGTACTTTCAAAATTTAATGTTTACTAAATACATTCAAACTTGCTTTGAAGGTAATTGTAATAAGCACACGTGCACACCCATATATTTTCATTATGGAGAGAGAGTTTCCACTGGACTATTAGTAAAGGAAAACAAGACATTGTTTAGCTAGCATGAGCTCCCTTTTTTTTTGCTACTGCTTTCGTGGTCTGTTATTTGATTCTGGGCTCTATGCTGTCACATAATATAGAGTTGTTGAAATGGCTGCAGATTCTATACCCTGTGAATGAAACATACAGATAACAGTTTTGTGAACAAGGTTTTGGTAACATGGTGATGAGATAAATTGGATCTATGTTTAGGGAGAGCGAGATAATGATCCCAGCTACTTGCTTACATAACCCTTTGGCTCTCTCTACTCAGATATGTAATTATTACTTAAAAAATTCTGTTCCTTATGACTACCTGTCTTCAGAAGTTTTTAATCTTTGTAAATCTAGCTATGCTTGCTATTTGGAGATGATATTTTTGACCTCTTGCGGGTTGGACTTTTGGTCTCATTGTTTTTCCCATTAATAGTGATAGAATTGCATGGATTTAACCACCCATAGTTTTCCAGTTTCATTTATATCTAGTGGCGTATGTTTGCAGAGGTAATGGATTTGCAGCCGTAGAAGATTGCAAAACCATGCGATACACAGAGAGGCCAGACCCTGTTACCTTGGCTTGATTAGCATGGCACTGTACACATGTATATTTCAGAGATTATTAGATCTTAGTGTTGTGGATTCTTAGAGTGTTTAAATTTGATTTTCAAGACTTGCTCTTAAGGAAAACAACATGCTTTAAGCTTATGGTTTGTGAGTGCTGCCTGGGCATATGTGACTGCAACATGTGTTAACTGTTAGTAATAGCCTCTGTAGGTGTTGGAGTGGACCCCATCAGCTTTATTTATATAGCTCACGTTTAGAACAAGAACCTATAGCTTCGAATTCTCTGTGTCATTTGTTGTTTTTGAAAGGAAGCATAGGTGTAAATACTGCCTAAATTGCCTCCGTTGCAGAGCTATTTGTTTTGCAAGTAACAAATGCGAAAGGGAAAGGCAAAGGGCACTCCTCTAAAATGTTGTGTGGGTGCCTGTAATTTAAACTGATGCTACAGAAAGGAAGTATTATTTTTACAAACAAAACATAGTGGCTTAGTCATTTTCCATTTCTAGATGATGAATGTGTCATACATCTGTATCATGTTTTTCTCAAAGTGAATGGCATACTATACTTAAAGTGAAGCAGCCTTTACTGTGGAGTTGCCAAGGTAACTGACCAGCAAGTATGCAGTTCAGCAGATTGCTGAAAGGCAATTGAGTACACATGAATAAAGAAATGTGCTTGTCATCTTCAAACCCAGGAGGGCCATGGTAGATTGTGTCTTGGCTCTGTAGAACGCAGAAATGTTTTTTATAAAAGCAGAAACTGAGATGTTCTATGCAAGTTCTTGAAGTGAGATGATATGGAGTGGCAGGTACCCTTTCTTTAATGGTTCCACTTCAGGACCTGTGGAGGGCAATGTAGAAAATGGAATCATTTCAGTATTATTTAATATGAACAACCTTTCATTTTGCTTTGTTAGCTAGCTTTTACCACCTTATAGCAGCAAATACTAAGGGAGACTATTAGTTTATAATGTCAATGAAGGATGATAATCTACAGAATGCTATCCCTCTAAGTATTATATATATTTAGTTCACTAATAGGAAACTTGTGTTTACCTCTGCCGTACTTTGTATTAGAATGTACTCATCCATTCCATAGGCATTGATACAATTATTCAAATATACCAGACTCTCTTCTAGCTGCCGAGAAAATAGCAAGGTAAATAAAACTTAGTGCTGTACTTCAAGGTATTTTTAATCTCTAGAAAGAATGAATTAGATAATTAGATAAACTACAAAGAGATTCCTTTAGATTATTTGTAATGTTCTCTGCTTTGGATGTAGGGTTGTGATCCTGAATTTAAATACTTTGATATACAGAGTGAAATGACTTTTTAGCAGGAGTTCAAAACTCCCTATTTTAACTCTTCTTTTCTTCCCAGTTTTGCCTCCCCCTACCTTAAATTTACCCCAGGATCCAGCATTACTGACTTAATTCCCTTCCCCGAAAGGCCCCCACAGTATCCAGTATTGTATCTTGCACATATGTTCACTGTGAAATGCTGAAATTCCACATCTCTGAGTTTCAGAATCCTACTACTGTAGTATTTTAAGAGCCATATTGAATTCCACTTCTTCCATAAATCTTTTCTGAATCTGTCCAACCTTAATTGCTCCTCCCATATTTCCAGGTGTTGCCAAAGCAGTTTTACCTCTGGGATAATACCTAGTTAGGTGGATGTTGGTCTCCCATACCAGATGGTGAACTCCTGGAAAGCAGTGGCAGGGTCTCTTTCATCTTCATATTCCCCATAGCACCTCACATTCAGGGTACATTGTGGTATCAAACTGGTAAAAAAAAAAAAGTATAAAATTCTCATCTTTACTATTTTTCTGTGATTCATTCATTCTTGTTTCGCGGAATGGGATTATTCCTGCTGGTAAGTACATTGTTCTTGAGTAGAAGTTGGGTACTGTAAATGCCACAGGGGAAGATCACTTATGAATACTAGTACAAAACAAATCAGGAAAGAATAGATCTCTCTGCATACCTAGTTTAAACATAACTTGTAGCTTCCTTCCCTCTGTTACACAGCCTTTGAAGTTATGTTTTTAGTAGTAAATCTGTAGATACGTGAAGCTACAAGTCAAATATTTTAGCTCAGTTCCCCCTTTTCTGGCAGCCATCCACCGAACTGCAGGGACAAGTTTTCACAGATAAAGAAACATTTTGTGGGAGTTTTTATTTTTGTGCTGAAAAATGTAGTTCAGTGATCTTGCTATCCAAGGCTTTTAGTAAGTTGTGAGCTTGGAGTGAGCAGCCTTGTGGTTCATAAGGTTAATTACCATATTTACAAATCCATTAATGACTTAAAAGAAAGAACTGGCCTGATAGGGTTTATCTCTCTAAAAATTGCAGCCACTAGCCAATCAGGAATATAGAAACCCAAAAGAGATCGTAGAAGTGACAAGAGTAACGGCAATAATGTGTTAGTGGAGAAGATGCTATCAGAGCAAAAACAATAAGTGGAAACTAATCAAAACAATTGGTCATTTTAATGTACTCATATCATATGTCTTAAGTAACTGGTAAATCATGAAATTTGCTTATTTCACTTAAATTATTTTGCCTGAATTTTATTATGTAATTGTTATTGCTTATTTAGGATGCAGCATAATATAATAGATTATATTGTTTGAATTATTAAATATCAAGATCAGAGAAAATTGAATAAATCATTTCTACAAGAGATGCGAGGAATGAATACCCAGAAAAAGTATCCAATGCATTTTTATAAGTATACGTAAAAACCGCATTACATGTATTGATAGTGTTATATAGTCTGACATGCTTTGTCTAGAAAACAATTAGTATAGTATGGATTCTTACCACTTAAAAATTACTCTGTACTTTGCTTTAAAAAAAAGGAAAGAAGAAAAAAATCTGTAGCAATTATGTAGCTGGTCAGTTCTCATGATGTATTTTGTTGGTAATAACTTCAAGTAAAAAGAAATTACCAAAAAGATATTATGGATAGCTTCATTATTTGATAACAGTCTAAAATATTAAATGTGCATAATTTTGTCTATGTAGTGTTTGAAAAGGCTGTAAACACAAATCAAAAGAATTTTTTCCCATTTTGTCCTGAAATCACTTCCATTTAAAACAAATTGTTATTAACAGTTTCCTTGCATGTTGCTTCAGTTTTTCCAGAAATGTCTACATAGTGAGACCCCTCTTTATAAACAGCGTAAGCTGAATTATCAAGGGCGTATCTCATTATTTGTCTTTCTGTCACTTATCTTTCCTCTTTGTTTTCAGTGTACAGTATTTTCTCCAAGGTACACTCCGATCGGAATGTATACCCATCAGCAGGTGTCCTCTTTGTTCATGTTTTGGAAAGAGAATATTTTAAGGGGGAATTTCCACCTTACCCAAAACCTGGTATGTTCTTTGTGAGGAAAAAAAAGCAGTTAACGTACTAAATTTTTTGTTTAATTTGCATAATATAGACATATATGATAAAATATCATTAACATTATTTCAAATGGTCTAAATATGTGATAAATTGTTGTAGGATATTTCTCATTTACAGATTAGAAATTTAATTACAGACAAAAATAATTTATTTTTGAATGTTAAGGAAAGCATATTTCTGGATTCTCAGTCTTGAGTTTTATGTCTCTGACAAGTGATCTACCTATATTCACATGGAAATAATTATAGCTGTAAACTTATGATTTTCTATATTAAGACCTAGATTCTCACATAGTACATTGATTTTTGGAAAACTATACATATGTTGTAGAGGAGAATGAAAAATGGCATTAGGTAAGAGCTTTTAAAAAGCTTTTACAATAGGAGATAATTTTATATAACTCCATAATAATATTATGGAGATTAATTTTTCCTTTTAAGTGATACCAATTATGAAGTCTTACTTAATTCACTATTGGTTTAAATATGTTATTTTGAGTGATCATAAATGCCATCAAGTTAATGAAGATATACAAAGAATAGCAAGAGAAAACATATCATTACAGCTCTTCCTTAAGCAGCAAATAAAAGTGAATTTTCTGAAAATTATATTGTATAAGAATGTTTTTAGCATTAGAATTGATATAACTATTCTTTTTGAAGATTATATGATGAATACTGTACCTGAAAACTCTTCCACAATATAGTTAGCCATGTTCCTAATAGTATTCAAGAAGATGAAATACGGCTTGTAAAGCATTTAACACAGGGCCAGGATGTGCTAATAAATGATGCTGTTATTATTGCTTGTGATTAATAAATGCTGTCGTTAGTACAGTTGTTATGGATTTGTAACGTCTTTTTCATCCTATCCTCCAGTGTTTTAAAATTACATTATTTTTGTTTTGATGAGACTTTTATAATTTTGGAATATCTTTCATACTCATATGATAGTGTCCAGAGTTTCATGAACGGAATATTTCGCAAAAGAATGAGTACATTAGCATGATTAGGGAATTCTCCTGAAAGATAGTTGTCTCACTGGCAGAACTATATCACTGTTAGGTGACCAAAAATATATTTCCAAGAAAATTGTATGAATCTGCTTTCTTTGTTGCATCAGATTTTGAAACAAATTAAACAACCAAAAGGATTTTTTTTAACGTGGTGCCCTAATTTAAATTCCCAGATGGGTTTTGTATGTGTGTATTTAGTTGGCTACAAATGTAAGAAAAAAATTTTAGACAGAATGTTTTGATTGAAACTACCAAAGCAACATGTGTGAAAATAACTGTCTTATGTCTTAATTCTCTGTTTCTTATCTAGGCGAGATTAGTAATGATCCCATAACATTTAATACAAATTTAATGGGTTACCCAGACCGACCTGGATGGCTTCGATATATCCAAAGGACACCATATAGTGATGGAGTCCTATATGGGTCCCCAACAGCTGAAAATGTGGGGAAGCCAACAATCATTGAGGTAATTTACACCTAGAAAGAGCAAAACTATACATATATGTGTGTGTGTGTGTGTGTGTGTGTGTATTGTAATTTGAGTTTTAAGTGTTGAAACTAAAGTTACCTGATGGTGGTTTTTAATATTTTGTGCATGGAAACACAGTAGATAACATTTGGAAATGTGCCATTCTTCTCTGTTTATAAAGTTTTTGTTTCAGCTTTTATATTAAAA